>NC_000008.11:17435860-17738890 GCF_000001405.40 Homo sapiens | reverse complement strand
CCGAGATGACAGGCATGAACCACCACACCAGGCTAACGTTTAATTTTTTTAAAAATTAAAATTCTTGTTGCCCAGCTGAATGGTTTAGAAACTGTGGCACTTTTCTTTTCAGGCCTTGGTTTAAAGCTTGATGTTAACTCTGATGTGAATGATTTTATGTGGCTATTGAAAATTAATGCTGCTTCAGGAAAAATAGCTAATGCATGCCGGGCTTAATACCTAGGTGATGGTTTGGTAGGTGAAGTCAACCACCATGGCCCATGTTTACCTATGTAACAAACCTGCACAGCCTGCACATGTACCCCGGAACTTAAAACAATAAAAAATACAGTAATAATAAAATTAATGCTGCTGAATAAATAACTGCTGAGTAAATCCTTCATGATCAATTCAGACATCTTTAGAGAGACCCGCCTTCACTCTCTTTTGGAGGCAATACCAGCTTTTCCCAGGTTTTAGATGATAAATATCTGTGTTCTTCTCTACACACATGAGTTGCCATTTCAGAGGCCAGCCTGAGCCAGGTAGGATTACAGAAGTAGCGCAGAATGCTCTCCCTGCCCCGTGACTCCTGTGAGCTGAGGAGGGAGAGTGCGTGTTTATGCAGCAAACACAAAGCGGCACAAAGAATGGTGATGGGTGGGGAAAAGGCCCCATGAGAAGAATGTCCAGGGGTGGGTCGGTGAAGAAAGGCCTCCTGAAAGAGATGGTTTTTGGTTTTCTTCTAGAGAAAGAGAAACCACATTTCAAAAGGGCAACTCTTTATTTCAGTTGAGTTTATTGTGGGTTAATAAAGTAAATTCCTTTCAAGACAGTAGTCCGTCCGAAACTTGCAGTGACTTGCCTGTCATCGCAGGTTTCTCTTCTTTCTTGCTAAGTTATTTCCTTCGTGGTTTATGTAAACTGATTATTTTTTCATTCATTTCGTGTTAAGGTAATTTCAAATCTTCTTCAAATTACTTTTATATCCTTTTAAACTTTTCTAGGTGAGAATTTGAGGGAGACAGTAAGCAAAATTATGAGAGATTTTTCACATACTTGAATAAAGTAATTACTAAAAATCAGAGGTTATTACCCAATAAGTTATTCTAAAAGCCAAGTTGAGGCCGGACATGGTGGCTCACATCTGTGATCCCAGGAATTAGGGAGGATGAAGTGGGAGGATTACTTGAGCCCAAGAGATTGAGACCCACCTGGGCAACAGAGTGAGACCCTGTCTTTACAAAACATTAAAAAATTAGCTGGGCAAGTGGCACACACTTGTGGTCCTTGCTACTCAGGAGGCTGAGGTGGGAGGATCACTGAACCCAAGTGGTTGAGGGTTCAGTGAGCTATAATTGTACCACTGCACTTCAGGCTAGGTGACAGGGCAAGACCCTGTCTCTGAAATGTGAATAAAATTTAATTTTAATGTGTCGCTAATAGATGTTTCTATATTTTTATGTAATTAAATTAGTTTCCTTAAAGTGTGTATCAGGATCTCTTTTCATAAAAATAGTATTAGTCACTAACATGTTTTGAGTGCCTGTGTGCGCCAAGCACAGTGCTAAGCCCTCTTTTAAATGCATAATCTCATTTAATTCCCACAACTCCTAGTAGGGATACTGTGATAATCGCCATTCTACAGATGAGGAATTTGAGGGTCTGAAAGCTTCAGTAACGTGTCCAAAGTTACACAGTGGGGTAATTGGTGGAGACGGGAAATGGGCCGGGTGTTCTGGCCCCACAGTCTGTGCTCTTAACCCTGGTCCTTTACGTGCATGCAGAAGTCTTGACACACTCCTGTCTTCTTTCATGGACATATGTGAATTCTTCATTAAACCACATATGTGTGAAGGAGAATGTGGGGAAGGCTGGTTTGTGCTAAGAACTCTTCTAAGTGCTGGAATGAAGTGCACAGAAGAGACCCGTTCCTTCCATTAGGGAGCTTAAATTCTAATAAGGGGATTAAGAAAATAAATACATTTTTGGATTCATGATGATGAATCCAAAAATAAAAGAGAAAGAGCCAAACATGGTGGCTCACGCCTATAATCCCAGCACTTTGGGTGGCCAAGGCAGATGGATCACTTGAGGTCAGAAGTTCGAGACCAGCCTGGCCAAGATGGTGAAACCCCATCTCTACTAAACATACAAAAATTAGCTGGGTTTGGTGGCCGGTGCCTGTGGTCTCAGCTACTTGGGAGGCTGAGGCAGGAGAATCTCTTGAACCTGGGAGGTGGAGGTTGCAGCTAGCTGAGGTCGCACCACTGCACTCCAGCCTGGGTGAGAGAGCAAGACCCCATCTCAAAAAAAACAAGCAAAAAATAAAATAAAATAAAAATAAAGCAGTGAAGGAGATTAGATTTTTAAACGGTTGGTCAAGAAAGGCCTCACTGAGAGGGCGACATTTGGGCAAACACCTGAAAGGAAGGGAGGAGGGAGGCATTTGGGTGTCAGGCGGGAGGACTTTCCAGGCACAGGGACCAGCCGTGCAGAGACCCCGAGGTGAGGCAGGGTGTAGGGTGCGTGAGGAACAGTGAACCACGCACTGTGTGTGGTGGGGGCTGGAGGACATGGATGGGCGGAGGAGGTCAGGACCAACCAAGCAGGGCCATGCAGGTGCCTGCGAGGCACATGTCCTCTTTTCATCCTCACGGACATCATCACTTGTAAATGCTTGATCTTTTCCAGGCGTTTCACACAATTCTTACTTGGCAGTAATTATGGAGAAGATTGCTTTGTGGAATGACTCATGAGTAGGCTTAATATGTCACAGTGCAGGCTTGCCCATTCATTCAAGAAGTGCTTAGAGTCGCTGCTCTGTGTTGGGCAGTGTACTAGATTCTGAGACTACAAACAGGATTAAGCAAATATGCCCTCTTAAGGAGCTTACTGGTTGGAGGGTGAGGGGATAAGGGGGTGTCTAAGCAAATCGTTCCAATGAAAACTCTTGGCTCTTCAGATTCCACCTCAGCTGTCCTGGCCTCTCTGCTGCTTTGCATTTATAGTGCTGTATGCTCATTATTTCCTTACATGTCTGTCTCCTTCTAGACGGTGAAATCCATAAGGATAGAGTTCAGCTCTTAGTTATTTTCATATTTTCCAGTGCCCAGCACAGTGTACTGGTTGCACAACAGGTGTTTAAAAACATTCCTTGGCTTGATTTGAATGGAGACCTGTGCGAAGCACTGTGTATCCACAGTAAAGGAGCAACACTAACTTGTTGTGAGGGAGAACTGGAGGAGAGGCGGTGACATTTGAACTGTTTGGAATGCGCCTGCAGGAGCTTGCCAGCAGAGGAGGCTGCTGGGGTTGCTGAGGGTGCAGATGTGGCCTTGTCAAAGGATACCATGTGCTTGGGGAACGTCAAGGCCAGAGTCAGCATGCCTGGAGCAGACGTGTCCCGGGGTCAATGACAGATGAGCCTCTGCCTCGAGGGAGGTAGAGGCTGATTAGTTCTAATAATGTAGACACAAACTTGCACGAGTGCTACATATTTTTTGGGAACGGATAGTAGAATGCATGTTTAAAATAATTAGGAGACAGAGTGTCTGGCCACTTCTGTTGGTGTGAACAGTCCTAAGTGTCTCCCCAACCGCCGCCTTCAGAGGCTGGATAGGTGGTGGGCCATGAAGTGAAATGTGGAATAGAGTAGCAAGAAGTTTTCCGGAGGAGAATAGTGAGTTTAATTCGGGGCATGTGAAATTGGAGGAGGCTACAGACTGGGAAGCACCTCAGAGGGGTATGTGCATGCCTGAGGTTTAAGAGTAAAAATATGTAGAGACTAAGGAAACCATCAGAAAAGAGCTGACATAAAGATATAAGAGACAGGCCCAGTGGCTCCCGCCTGTGGTCTCAGCTACTAGCTACTCGGGAGCCTGAGACAGGAGGATCTCTTGAGCCCAAATTTGAGTCTACAGTGAGCTATGATTGCACCACTGTGCTCCTGCCAGGGTGACAGAGCGAGACCCTCTGAAAAGAAAAGAAAAAAAAAAAAGTTGGTGTGAAGTTTTGAGGTCTCAATGATCTCACCACCTCATTGCTCAGTGGAGCTCTGCTCATAAACCTTGACTCCTAATGAGCCAGGAGGCTCACTGTGCACCTTCTTTTGTTCTTATCAGGCATTATTAGCATAGGTGTCAGATGGTAAATAAATTTGCTGGTGAACATGTGAAGACCCTTGTTTATCTCCTTTGTATGGTAGCTGGGAAAATGAAGCAACACCTTTAAGTCTTTGGTTTATTCCCCTCTGAATTTAAATGTTCCTGTAGTTGTGGGACACATGTTCCAGGCCTGTGACTAAGGCAGTTATTTTTGTTTAATCCCCACCTGAAGCCACAGACATCTTGTGAACATACTTGCAGAGGCAGGTACTGACAGCATCACCGAGAATGCTGCGCTTCTGTGGAGTTCGAGTCATCGTGAGAACTTCCCTTTGTGGGACTTTTTGCTCCTTTGTCAAATTACTGCAGTCTTAAGACTTGCCGTGTTTTTGTTATGACTCACCTGTGTTGCTCTGCCTTTGTCTGGGGAGCTTACCCTTGAATTTAAGCAAATGAGGATAGTTATACAGAGTCCTATTGCCTTGATGAACTCAAGAAGGTGGAATAGTAAAATCACTATTTGCAACATATAAATCTAGAGTGTTACTGAAATATTCTGTGTTCTGCAACGTATTTACTTAACAGATAGAGCGTGTATGCTAGGTAAGTCATGTACCAGACACTGAGGGATTGTGGGATGAGTAAGATGTAGTTTTTGCCTTCTTGGTATTAACTGCCAAATAGAAGAGGTGACAAGTTCTTGTTTCATCACATTTGTTCTTATAATACTAAAATTTAATAAAAAGAACTGTAGGATTTTGGAAGAGGGTGTAATTACAAATACCAAAGTTCGCTTAATGGTTTTCTTTCTGTAATATAGGAGATTATATAATGTAATAGAGTTACACTCTTAAATAGGTAGGGGCCAGGCTTGGTTTAATGTTGATGCTTTGTGCTGTTTAACTTTTGCCCCCTGAGATCTGAGAAGTAAGGAGGATGCACATGTATTGAGCTATTTTTCAGGACTTGACTGAGATACTAGAAGGTAGAATGAGAAGAGGAGTTATGGCTCAGAATATAGAATGTAGAGATTGAGGTCAAAGTCAGTAATGATGGTGTGAAAATACAGAGGAGGGCCAACAGGTGATTAGGACACAACAGATTGGCTTTCTGGCAGTCAACAAAGAAGAGGCTGACCTAGAGCCTCTTGTCAATGTCAAGAAAGGGATGCGGGGCCCTGTTTTATTCTTTACCTCTTGTGTCTTGAATTTAACCAGGCAAATTGGATAGTTTATCAAGTTTACACTACTCTCTTCCCAGTAGGCTATTTTAAAGGTATAGCATTTTAAATTAAAAGTGAGAAAATAAACACCTGTCATCTTACCACCACCAAATAGCTTTTAACTTAAAAATTTATGACTATTTGGTACCTTTTCTTTTTGCATATTCTCATGCACATATGTTTATGTATATAATGGAGACAGTGTCTGCTGTTTTTTTTTTTTTAATTTTTTTGAGGCACAGTCTTGCTGTGTCGCCCAGGCTGGAGTGCAATGGCATGATCTTGGCTCACTGCAACCTCCACCTCCCTGGTTTAAGCGATTCTCCTGCCTCAGCCTACCGAGTAGCTGAGATTGTAGGTGCCTGCCACCACGCCCAGCTAGTTTTTGTATTCTTAGTAGAGACAGGGTTTCACCATGTTGTTCAGGCTGGTCTTGTGCTCCTGACCTCAGGTGATCCACCCACCTCGGCCTTCCAAAGTGCTGGGATTACGGGCGTGAGGCACCGTGCCCAGCGTGGATCATGTATAGTCTTGAAAATCATAGTTAGGACTTGGAGTTTGAACTGGAGTGACTTAAATGTTAATGGGATCACTCTGAGAGTTGTGTTGGGAGTAGATTGGATATGGGTGAAGTAGGAACAGGGAGATCAGCTTGCGGGGGTCGCTGTGATGGCAGCAGGAGGTTATGTTTTCTCGGACCAGGTTGTGGCAGTGAGGCCCGCTCAGATTCTAGGTATGTGCTTGAAGGTAAAGCCAGTGAGGTTTGCTTAGATTGGATTGGGGGTGAGAGCAAAGGGAGGAGTCACGGATGAACATGACCATGTTGGTGTGAGCAATGGAAGAATGGTGCAGCCTTTACCTGAGATGGGAATGGATGGTGGAAACACAGATGTTGGGAAGGGGAGATCTGAAACTCAGTTACATAGAAATGATTGATAAGAGGCCATGTGGAGTAGAAAACTGGATATGCAAGTTTGAAGTGCGTGGGAGAAATCTGGTCTACAGATATAAATTTAGGATTCAGCACCATATAGAGGATATTTAAAGCCACCAGACTGGATGAGAGCCCCACGGCAGTAAGTGTAGAGAGCACAGGTCAAGGATAGCTCTGGGGTGCTCCCTGGACTCTCCAGAGTCAAGAAGGAACAGCCAGGAACGTAGGGGCATCCCTGAAGCCAAGTAAGGAAAGCCTTTCAAGAAGAAAGGAGGAACCAATTGCATCCAATACTGTTGGCAGGAGAATGGCGCAGTTAAGAACACAATTTACAGCAGGCGACAGAAAACCCAACCAGTGGACATAAACCAGAGGCTGTGTGTGTTTATTCCTCGGGAGGGCTAGAGGCAGGCTGTTCCAGGTTTGACGATTCATAAATGTCCTCTTTCTGCCTCTCCACTCATCTCACATCAGCATGTGGCTTTGTCATTGGCTTTTCAGTTAAAATATGGCTGCTAGGAGTTCCGTGTGCATCCCACCACTTCCTGTGACTGCATTCAAAGGCTGGAAGCAAAGGACGGCATCTCAGGGCAGGGACCTCCTCCTCTCTTTGTTTTTCATGGGGACACCCATGCAGCAGCTCCCCCTTCGCCCTCTTGTCCTTATGTCTGATGGGTACAGACCAGATCTGGCTCTTGCCCCTACTGGCATGAAAGGTTGGAAGCAAGTATTTGACTTTTTAAACTCTTCTATGGGGTTAAGCAATGGTGATGGGGATTAGGAATGACAGTTGGCTCACCAGGAAAGGTGTTAGACACAGTGAGGTTAAATAAAAGAATAATAATAAAAGTTATCAACTCTTTGTATTCATTGTTTCATCAAGAGCTTTCGCTCACTTATATTTGGGGGCATAGGATTTTTTTTTGATCTGCTGCTGTTCATTTCCTTTGCCTGTTGTTTTTATGTCTTTTTATTTTGCATATGGTGATTTCTTAATTTTTTTTCACTTTTATGTTGTCAAATACATTGTTTCCTTTAACTTTTCCTGTGTTTTTATGCATAATAAGACGGTCCCTACTCAAGAAGACTGACCTATGTTTAATTATTTTTTTTATGGTTTCATCTTAAGCCCTTTGCGTTGTAATCCAATTTAATTTATTTTGGTGGATGGCGAGCGCTGACAGCTAATATTTGTATGGTACTTTGTGCCAGATGCTGTTCTAAGCATTTTAAAATTATAAATTCATTTAATTCTCACAAGAACCTATGAGGTAAGGAGTACTCCTATCACCCCCATTCTCACATATGAGAAAACAGAAGTGCAGAACGGTGAGGAACCTGCTCACTAGGCAGTGTGAGGTGGCGCCGGGTTTGAACCTAGACGATCTACCTCGAGATTGTCAACTATTAACTACTGTACCGTTCTGCTTCTCAAATTTTAATTTGGCAATTCAAATATCTTAATACCACAAATAAGTATGTTTTTGCTGATTTAAGATACCTCCCTTATCCTATCCTATCCTGAATTTTTATATCTCTGAGATGTATATACCACCGTATTAATCTGTCAGTATGGTTTTATTCCAGTAGGACTTTTATTATTTTATAATATCTTACTCCAACTAGTTGCACAAGTTCCTTGTTTTTAACTTAAATTGTGGCAAAATATATATTGCACAGAATGTGCCATTTTAACAATTTTTTAAATGTACAGCTCTGTGGCATTAAGTACATTCACATTTTTTGCAGCCATCCTCCATATCCATCTCCAGAACTTTGTTTTCCCCCCTGAAATCCTGTATCCATTTTACTAACCCCCAGTTCTCCGTCTCTTTCAGCCCCTGGCACTCACCACTCTATGTTCTGTCTATATGCATTTGACTATTCTAGTAATCATGAAAGAGAATCATACATTATTTATAACTGGCTTATTTCACTTAGCACCGTGTCCTCAAGGTTCATCCATGTTGTAGCATGTGTCAACTTCCTTTTTAAGGCAGAATAGTATTCCGTGGTATATCTGTACCACCTTTTGTTTATTCGTTCATCTGCCTGTGAACAGTAGGGTTGCTTCCACATTTTGGCTATTGTGAATAATGCTGCTGTGAAGATGGTTGTACAGATACCTGCTCAAGTCTTTCACTTTTTTTTTTTTTTTTTTTTTAAAGACAGAGTCTTGCTCTCTTGCCCAGGCCAGAGTATAGTGGCATGATCTCAGCTCACTGTAACCTCCACCTTCCAGGCTCAAGTGATTCTCCTACCTCACCCTCCCAAGTAGCTGGAATTACAGGTGCCCGCCACCATGCCCAGATAATGTTTTTTGTATTTTTAGTAGAGATGGGGTTTCACCATATTCGCCAGACTGGTCTCAAACTCCTGGCCTGGCCTCCGGTGATCCCCTGCCTTGGCCTCCCAAAGTGCTGGGATTACAGGCACGAGCCACCACCCCCGGCCTGCTTTCACATCTTTTGGATCTGTACCTAGACATGCAGTTGTTGGATTATATGGTAACTTCAGGTTTAATTTTTGGAGGAACCACCATACCATTTCCACAGTGGCTACACCATGTTACATTCCCGCTAGCCTTGCACAAGGGTTCCAGTTTCTCCGTGTCCTTGCCAACACTTGTTAATTTTTTGTTTTTGCTTTTTTTTTTTTTTTTTTTGATGATAGCATCCCATTAGGTACAAAGTGGTATCTCGCGCGATTGTGATTTGCATTTCCCTAGTGACTAGTGATGTTGAGCATCTTTGCATGTGCCTCTGGGCTATTTGTTGTCTTCTTAGGAGAAATGTCTATTCGAGTCCTTTGTCCAGTTTTTAAATTGGGTTTTTTGGTATTTTCGTTGTTGAATTGTAGTCTTAATGTTTTTCTGTTCTAAATTTTTTTTTGGCTATTCTTAATTATTCTAGATTACTTTAACATGTTTTAAAAATTCAATTCCTGCGTTTAAAAGCAATCACATGTAGGTTCAGATTGCAATAGCATTTAATAAGATATCAATTCATGGAAGAATTCACATGTGTACACTTGTTCAGAACTTTTATTTTTCTCATTTTTATAATTTTCACAATAGAATAGCACTTTTTTGATAAATTTATTCACAGAAACAGTGCATATGTGTGTGTCTATGTGTGCAATTCCTTTTTGTTACCAAAGTAAGGGATTTCTTTTTCTGTTTTTTCCTGGCACATAGGAAATATATGGATTTTGTATAATACTTATTTGGTAAGAAGCCCATCAGGTTTATTTAATATTTATACAGTGATACTCTACCATTGAAGCTAAGTTCTTAAACATGTATATTTAGTGTTGGTGAGAGAATTTGGTCCCTTAAGCTTAATTGGAAGTGGACCTGCAGCCACGGTTTTGAGTATGTATAATTTATTTCTCTTATAACTTGTTAACTTGTTTGTCACTTTTAAGTTTCCCCTGATTTTATAATAATTCCTAGTTACTGTAGGTAATTACTCTAAAGGTAACTGTCTCTAAGTAGTTGAGTTGTATTTAAGGAACCCAAGTTATATAATTATAGCTACAGACATATTCTCTGAATTAACTGGAAAAAAAATACATATTCTCATGTCTCGTATTTTAACTGTGTCTGTTAGTTTGGCATTTTCTCTTTCTTACTTAGTAGTTAGTGGCCTTGCCACTTGTGTGCCATACTGATATATTTCAAATGGACCTCAATAATCTTTTCATTTTTTAGTTAAAATTCTCACTTCTCTAACCCTGGCAGGTGCTGGTACACTAGCTTCCTATCTTTTTCCCTGATTTCAGTCTTCAGTCAGTTCTGCACACTGCTACCACACAATCAAGTTCTGATGTAAATGCTAAAAAAGCCTCACCCTCCCCGACCCCCCCAACCCACATCTTCCCACCATATCCATCCCTAACATTTAAGGTCTAAAATTATGAGTCTGGCATTCAATGCCATGTCTCACCCAACTGTAAACTACCTGCCTCTCCAGCCTTATTTTCTTCTTCCCACCTGTGTTCCTACTAAGCTGTATAAACTACAGAACAACATACCTTATGGTGAGACATGATGTTTTCTTTAGTTTACAGTTTTTACTGAGAACGTCTAATTCTGTGGCAGGATGTCAGGTGGTTCTGGCTCTGTATATGTTTGAACTTTGTGATTACTTGCACTTGCCTTACTAGGTAAGCACATAAATACTTGTGTAAGACACACCTTCATGTGAATCTATTGTCCAGATTTTTATTAAGATGATCTGTTTTGGCCAGGCACGGTGGCTCACACCTGTAATCCCAGCACTTTGGGAGGCCACGGCAAGTGGCTCACTTAAGGTCAGGAGTTTGAGACCAGCCTGATGAAACCCCATCTCTACTAAAAATACAAAAAAATTAGCCGGGTGTGGTGTTGTGTGGGTGTAATCCCAGCTTCCTACAACACAAGTTGTGCAGCACATCTGTAGGACGTATTCATCTTGCATAACTGGAACTTTCTACCCATTGAACAACTCCCCATTTCCCTTCCCCACCAGCCCCTGGCAAGCGCCATTCTACCATTTTGTTTTACAGAATAGGATAATATTAATATTAACACTATCCTGTTGTTCACTTAATCTTTCCATTGAAATTTTAGTTTTGCTAGGCGTCTTTTACTGATTTTTATTGTTGTTAAATATAGTATACTTACTCAGGTTTTCTGAGGTGAGTATTTTAGTAAATTGGTTGATTAGTGAAGGTTTGCTTCAAATCCAATAGACTGTGTTACTATCTAAGGCAAAGTGGAGGTGTTATTCCTTCCAGATTTTCCCTACATAAAAGATGGTTATAATTACAGAATAAAAACCAATCTGTTGTCTATACGTAAGTCTATGCTAAGTGCACGAGCTTAAAATAAACCACTGAGGTCAATAATATCCTGCAAGTAGATCTTAAATCTTTATCTTTCTCATCTGGGATAAGTTACACAATACGATATGACCTGGTAAATGTCACCTTTTCGGAACTGTAACTCAGAGAAGTCCTGTATTGATTTCACTGTTTAAGAATTTAGCGCCTGTGTTACTTGCAGTCTCTCAATTAACCTAATATTGCTATGTTTTAGTATTGCCAACTTTACCGTTAAGCTAAACGTCGGGACTGTTGGTGAAATAGTTATATGTCTTTGTTGCATCCGTACGGTTTTCACCATTCCGCTGTAGGAGCTCCTGTCCAGTAAGAGCTCCATTCTGAACTCTGTCTGCCTCCAAGCCTCATACTTTTCTTTAACTGAGATGTTTCTATTCTGTGGCATGGCCGAGGGAACACTGGGCAGGTGGTTAGACACTTGGATTCTAGGCCTTACTGTCACTGGCCGGGTATGTGACCCAAGTAAGCCATTTAACCACCTAAGTAGTCTTCTCATCTATTAACTGGGATAGTAATAGTCACACACTGTTAGGATTATTCTATCAAAGAAACTAATCTTTTGGTGAAATCGGCATTCATTATCCTCATTGCTCATTAGTCAAGAGCCATGGTGGAATTGGGAAGACTTTGGTGAGGACTGGCTGCCATTAGGTGTAGGGGATGGGCCTGGATGGGGGTGACAATGAGATAGGGGAGGTCAGGGAAATGATATTTGGTTGCCGGGGTAAGCTTTCCTCTAGTGCAGCTGTGTGAAGGTACAGGTCTTCTGTAGTAATTCCCAGGCACACTCAGAAATGTCTGCAAACCTAAGTTGTGTTTAGAAACAAAGCTATGAGGCATGCATTTCTGAAGAATAAGCTGATTTCCAAAATGTAGGAAGCCTTGGCTGCACTGTGGCTGTGGCCCAGTCATTTTGATCTGTTACGTGCCCAACCTTGCTTATTAGTTTTGATGATGACTCATCAGTGTTTCTGCTGAAGGGGCGGCAATTTGGCAAATTTATATTCTAAAAATCTGTTTTCCTGTTCTTCCTAAAGCAAGTAAAACTGGTGGCTAACCATAAATTTTTAAAGTGTGTATTTGCTATCTAACAGTTGCTAATTATTGTAAAGGATGTAAAGAAAAAAGTCTCTAATAGACTGAAGATTCAAATAAGCTTGTAAAAATGGGTTAAGCACTGAATGCTTCAGTATAGATGATGGGAGAACACATTATCAAAATACATCATTTACTGTTGGCATTTAAAAAAATGAATTTGTTGAGGAAACATTTATTAAGTCTCACTCCATGCTAGACCTTTGCCAGTTCCTGAGGACCAGAATTGAATCAGGTGCTCTTCCTGATCTCAGGAACCTTAGAGATGGTCCAAGAAGAATGTGGAGGCAAATGCTGTGATAGAAACAAGTACATGGTGTGAGGAGAAAGCAAGGCTTAGTCCACGGCATTCAGAGAAGGGTGTCCTGGCAGGATAAGCTCACAGAGAGGTCCTGATTCTCAACAGTGCTTCAGAAACTCCAGGTGCATTTTAATCACCTGGGGATCTTGTGAAACTGCAGGTGGTGATTCAGTAGGCCTAGGGTGGAGCTGCAAATGAGTAGCAAGGGTTCAGAAGAGAAGCTTGAGCTGACTTTGGATTCACTGGACAGAAATAGGGGAGGGGATAGAAAGGAGGCCGTTCAGTCGGAAGGATGGGCGTAAGCAGAAGAATAGAGCGAAATGACTGGAGAGAAACCACGAAGGGGTGTGTGTGTATGAAGGGGTAGAGGCATGGCCTGAGGGGGAAGAAGTGGGTAGGGATCAACCCCACATTGCCTTTTAAGCCTGTGAAATTAAATATTAAATAAAAGGATTGAAACTACGATCACCATCCTATAGATTGGGGTGTGCAATCTTTTGGCTTCCCTGGGCCACATTGGAAGAAGAAGAATTGTCTTGGGCCACACATAAAATATGCTGATGATAGCTGATGAGCTAATAAAAGAAATTGCAAAAAAATCTCATAATGTTCTAAGAAAATTTATGAATTTGTATTGGGTTAGCGTTCAAAGCTGTGCTGGGCCGCATGCTGTAGATGGTGGAGAATCCCAAATTTTAGATTGGGTCATGACCTTAATTTTCACATTTAGGAGATTAACATGATGGAGTTGGAAGGGATGGAAGGACAGGATTTTAGGAGTCCAATACAGTTTAGACAATGATATAAAGGGTTAAATAAGGATTCAAAGGGTGGAAGAAGAGCTCTTTGAAAAGAAATGATGTGCCTGTTGGAATATTAATAGAATAGCACATGATGTGCCCTGGTGTCAGAGAGAAAGCGAGGTTAATCGGAGCAGAGCACACATGGATGTAGGAGAGCCATACAAGAGTGAGGCTGGAGCCGAAGGAGGGGAGCTTAATGTGGTAATTTCAAATGCCAGGCCTGAGGAGCTTCAGCATCTTTTTCTCCATTAGGATGAGGTTTTTATGAGCAAAATCGCTAGAACAAAGCAATGGGCATTACTTTCCAGCAGCATTATTTGACTCACTTATGGGATCCTTAGTGATACGCAACAATGTCATTTTCATCAAAGGTCTTTTTCAACTCTGGGTAGTCTTCAGTTAGGTGGTACTGGTAGCATTGGGAGACAGTGCTAGAATATATGGGGATCTGGGGAAGAAAAGATGATTCCAATGGTTTGAAGCTGGAAAAAAATAAAAAATAGGGCTATATGGCTGGGTGGGGTGGTTTACACCTGTAATTCCAGCAGTTTGGGAGACTGAGGCGGGAGGACTGCTTAAGGCCAGAAGTTTGAGACCAGCCTGGGCAACAAAGCAAGATTTTTAAAAAAATAAAACAGTGGAGCTATAATTAGCATAAACAGGAGCATGTCGGTCTAAGATGAAAACCTAGAGTACTCAATAAGTACTTTAAAACATGAGTAGCCTTGAGATTCAGAAGGAAGATAGGGCTGCAGGTGAGAACATGGGATTCATCCGCATAGGACAATGGTTAGAGGAAAGTAGAGAAAATAGACTCTCCAAGAGAATGGGCATGAGGAGGGTTAAGAGCGAAAGACTGGGCTTGGGAAATGCCCATATTTAGGTAGCAGGTTCGTGAGCATCAGGAGAATGTAGTTTCAGAGATGCCAGAGGATACGCAGCCTGTATATTTATTTCACTGATAAGTGGAAACATTTTTACTGCAAGAAAGAGTTGCAAGTTGGAGTGAAGATCATTTAAGTTTGGCAAATAAACTGTGTGGGGAGTAAAGAAGAAAAGGTGAGATTAAAAAAAAAAATCTTAATAGTATAGCACCACCTGGTGTTAGAACATTAGGCATTTTTCAAATGAAATTTTTGCTTATCAAATTGCATTTTTCTTCCTGTTTGGGTGATTTTAAAATTTTCCACTCAGGAGAATTTTGTTAAAGTTTTCAGTTAACGTGAGTTCTGTTTTCTGTGTATAAATGAGTGAATTTCCTGAGATCTCTCTTTCATTCCAAAGATGTATTTGGACTTGGTTCTTATTTATTTCTTATATGATAGCCTATTGTCCTAATGGATTATTTTTTTTTTAGTCACCAGTATGGGGGGTCGTATCAATTTGTTTATTTTTTTATTTCAGTTTTGCCAAAAGCTGCTTTCTCATGATTATTCTGATTGATCATCTCCTTCAGAGAACATGTGTGAGTTAATTACTTTAGGAGACAGGGTTACTCCTACACTTCTCATATCCTAATTGCCTCATCATTTCTGCTCTCTTGCCTCTAAATGATCAAAAATAAACATGTCTGCGTGAAGCTTTCATCTTTCATCTGAAGTTACATGATTGTGAACATTCATTTTGTGTTTTGACTTTGTTGTTAGTGCAGAAGTTTGAGTTTACAGGCTTAAAAAGTGCCAGCTTTCGGGATGAATAGCACTGGAAACTTTTTGTTTTTTTTAAACCCCAAGGAAAGCCTACATCCTTGAAAACTGCACAGTCGTCATGGGTGAATTTGCCTAGACCACTTCCTAAATCCAAAGCATCTTTGAAAAGTCCTGCGCTGCGGAGGACAGGAAGCACCCCCTCAATAGCCAGCACCCACAGTGAGCTGAGCACTTACAGCAACAATTGTAAGTCGACTTTATATCACACTTCGGGGGTTGTGGAAACAGTCATTACAAGAAAAACTAATGCTCTGCAAATAATTAGAATTTTTGTTTCTGGGGTTTCAGGAAAAATAGGCATACTGCTTCCTTGGAGTTGCTCTGAAAGTTTGGCAGAAAAAAAATTCTTTGAAAAACACTCTTGAAATAATTATGTGTTAAAGTATATTTTTGCATGAAGGATTCGAAAGTGCATCGTCTGAAGTGATGGTGTTTTGGAGGTTTAAGAGTAGCAACCCAGGGGATTTGGACTCTAACTGGAATCAGAAAAAAAGATTATTTCAGTTTCATTTACTTTGCAAAAGACTATCTCCTGTGGAATCTTTGGATGCTAGATTTTGTGTAATAGGACTAATATAACTTGAATCCTAATTCTAAAAAATTGAAACTCAGGAGAATTTTGTTAAAGTTTTCAGTTAACGTGAGTTCTATTTTCTGTGTATAAATGAGTGAATTTACTGAGATACCTCTTTCATTCCAAAGATGTATTTGGACTTGGTTCTTATTTTCTCATTTCCTTTTTTATACTTCCCCACGAAATAATTCATAAATTTAAACCATCTTGGAGTGCCCGCTGTGCACAGACACCATGATAGGCGCAGTGAGGAGCACAGGATATAAAAGAAATGGCCCTTATTCTAAAAAATAGTTGAGGAGAAAAAGAAGGTATTTTCATGGATGATGAGAATACCAATAAAACCAGACACAAGGGTGTGGAGAGGAGTGGCGAACTGATCTCTTCAGTTTGACAGATCAGTTTCTTCTTTTGGGTGAGGAGTTGGGGACAAAGTGTAATAATGCTCATGAGGCTCCTCTGGGTGTGGAGCAGTACTTTAGGATGTCCATATTTGCTTTTATTTTTTTCTCTCAGGTAACTTCTGCTGTTACCCTGATATTTATATAGAAGGTGATTGAGGCTCAGAGATGTTGTCACTGGTCTAAAATCACACAGCAGCTATGTGAGGGAATTGAGAATGCATTTTTTGTAGAGAAGGCATTGAATTAATGACCGAATTAATGAGCACATTTCCGACGGGTCACCTAGCAGCAGTAGCTGGACTCATATGAGAGTAAGTAGCTGCATACCCTGGCACTTCAGGAATACTGGGATATGTGACTTGCAATTAAACAGGATTGTTACCAGCTTTACTGTTGGAATTTTGAAGGTGTGGCACAAAATCAGGCTTGCATGTAAGAGGGAACTCTGAATTTGAAAAGGTAATTCACACGTGTATTATTTTAAGCTCTCTTTGTCTTGCAAAGCAATTTTAAAGACAAACTGCCAAAACAGAATCACCAACATGCTCTAGAAAAACTGTTGTGGCAACAGAATTTGTGGCACTTGAAGCAGACACAGTCTGTAGTGCCACAGCCCCGTGTTTTCCATCGACATCCATGTTGACTTGGCCACCGTTTCAGTACTGTGTCTGATGCTCCTAAGGAGGCTGTAAAGTGCTTTTGTCCATTCCTTTTTGTCTTTTAACAAAGGGGTTTACCATACACCCACAGAGCCTGTCTAGTGGCGATGTGTTCCTGTTGCGGATTAAGCATTCAAATCAGTGAGTCTCTTTCTTAGTTTGATTTGCTAGCTGGTTTAATCTGTTTTGTGTAGTGCCTTGGAGCTTACGCATTTTTTTTTTTTTCCCTCCATTCGAATTCACTAAGAGCAAGCATGAGGGATATGAGAGTGAACATGGCTGCAGTTTTTCCTGCTTAAGCTTGCTTTGATCCTTTTAAATGACTGTACCAGGAGGATTTCGCAGTTGTACAGAAACTGATATTTCTTCAAAAATCTTTATCAATTCTACACTCACCCCACCGGCTGGTTCAGAGAGGCACTATGATGCTACCTTATTGACACTGCTGGTCGTGGGATCGTACAGCCTTTGTATAATTCCTTTGTTAGCCACGTTTACTGGGAAAAAAAGTAGGTCGACGATTTCTGGTTTCTTTTCTTTGTAAGCATGCTTAAATTTTTATTCAATAAATTGATTTAGGATCTCTTGACTTCTGTTTTTGTAACTTGTAATTTATGGTAATGGTAGTATTTGGGGGCATTTTGTATGTATATTTAAGATGTGAATGCTTCTGTGTAGGACCAATTTTGTTGTCTCTTTTATGTGTTTTGCACTCTTAATATAATTCAGCAGCATCGTTAATGTTCTGGCACATGAAATTATCCTATTATCAAAGACTTTTTGATGGTTTAATTTCTTATGAAATAACTAGTTTTTGTGTGTATGTAGCTGGTAGTTGTGCAAGTGTAGAAAAATACTTTTCTAAAATTAAAATGGAAACATCACATCTTTATTTTCCTAAGTTGTAACTGAAAGTATTAAACATGTATACTTTTAAAGGCTACCTCAAAACATGAAAAAATCATCTCGCGCTGAAAATTTCCTGTTTCTGATAATGGGTGGTCATGTTAAGAATTAACTTCCTCTTTTGATCAGTGTTCTGATTTATACTGGCTTAAGTATTTGAATCCCTTTAACAAATATTGGTTTCTCGCTTTGTCTGCTTGTTTCTTTGTGATGTGATATCTTTAGTGGCATCATTTAAGAACTTCTGATATAACACAGTGCTGTTGTAAAATTAGCACTGGGTTCTCGGAACTTTGGGATCCTATAGAAATAATGTTACTAAATTTTTTAAATGACCAAATCAAAATACGTAAGGCAATAAATTGTTCTTATTTGGGAATTTTAGCAGGTTCTTTGTGTGTGTTCTTTTAAGTGTAGAAAATTTCAAAGTTACGATCTTGATCCTTTTGGATATTAGTGTAAAACATTTCACAATGGTTTCTATACCAAATGTGCTCATTTATAGAGGTTAAAGATTATAAGGTCTTTCACACTCAGATACCTAATATCCAGTTTTTAAGATCATTAAAGTAACTGGGTAAAAATAAATGATATATTGTATGTCATGAACAGAGTTGAAGATTTGGGGACTATTGTGCAATTTAGAAGGGGGTCTTGGGAGAGTGTATAACTTTGCGATGTTAGCAGGAAAGTAAGGTCCAAAGACATTACTTCCTCTTCCACTTTGGCCACAAAACCATGTTTATATTTGAGAGCCAGATGGTAGGGGAAATGTAAGAGGTGCAGACCAAAGCTATTTGCATTCTCCTGGAAATGGAAGGAACAGAAGGAGACTGAATAAAAGAAATGGAGTGTTCTTTCCCTTCACCTTCACTGACAGCCCTGGCTGAGTGGGGTGTAACATGCAGAAAAGGGCACTAACCTTGGACCCACCTTAGTTTGTTTTTTGTTTTTTGTTTTTTTTTTTTTTAGATGGAGTTTCGCTCTTGTCGCCCAGGCTGGAGTGCAGTGGCATGATCTCAGCTCACTGCAACCTCTGCCTCCCGGGTTCAAGCAATTCTCCTGTCTGAACCTCCCAAGTAGCTGGGATTATAGGCATGCCCCATCATGCCCGGCTAATTTTTGTATTTTTAGTAGAGATGGGGTTTCACCATGTTGGCCAGGATGGTCTCGAACTCCTAACCACAAGTGATATGCCTGCGTCTGCCTCCCAGAGTGCTGGGATTACAGGCATGAGCCACCACGCCCGGTCCCACCGTAGTTTTCCTACTAACTCATGTTAAGTTGGACTATCTTTGTCTTTTCTTAGCCTCCAGCCTCCATACTCTCCTCTGATCAATGACAAGGGAGGACTGGGTCATCTTCAAAGTCCTTGCAGCAACAAACATTTCTGACCCTTTTCACTGCAATAAGACAGGGCCTCATTGTTTGGCAGGATGGTGTTTTGAGTTGTTCAAGTGATTAAGCTGATAAAGAATAGGGTGGATCTTATTTACCCTTAGTTTTTTGTTTTTTGTTTTTTTTCTTCTCTCACAACAGGAATGGGAAGTGAATATTGTCTCACCTGCCAACACTGGTTAGTGGCCAACACTGGTTAGTGGATAAGAATTCGCCTGTAGGATGGTGTCAGTGGTTTCTCAGGGTGCCTCCAGGTTCAGAGGGAAAGTTTTGTGTTCAAGTCGTGATGTCTGTCATGGGTGAGGCTAAGATGAGGAACAGGCGGTAGATTCATTAGGCTCCACATCACAAAACATGTTAGTACTTACGCACTTCTGAATGGACTATTTAAAAAGGAAATATTATCCAGACCACTGTTAACTTTGTTCTCGTTCTTTCTCTGTTCACGTTTTTCTAGGGTATATGTGAGACATTCTTGTTATTATATAGTTGAGTGATATTGCTTTTGAAATTCAAAAGTTTAGATTTCAGTAGTACTTTGATTTTAAGCCAAGTGGGCAGATGATCTGGCACAGTGGGGAGTGTTAAACTGATTCACATAAAATTCAAGAAATGAACAGAATGTTGGCTCTGTGTGTATATACATAATGTAATAAAAGCGAATTTTCACTAGGTGTTAGAATGTAGTATGAATGTTAGTTTGCAGATAAAAGTCTGAAACAATGAGAAGCCCTTTTCTTTTTTTTTGAGACAGAGTCTCACTCTGTTGCCCAGGCTGGAGTGCAGTGGCACGATCTCGGCTCACTGCAACCTCCGCCTCCTGGGTTCAAGCAGTTCTCCCACCTCAGCCTCCTGAGTAGCTGGGATTACAGGTGCCTACCACCACGTCCAGCTAATATTTGTATTTTCAGTAGAGACAGGGTTTTGCCATATTGGCCAGGCTGGTCTCAAACTCCTGGCCTCAAGTGATCTGCCCACCTTGTCTTCCCAAAGTTCTGTGATTACAGTTGTGAGCCACTGTGCCCAGCATGAGAAGCCCTTTTCTAATAGGAAAATCATGTCTTCTGCTTGGGCTTTCCTGAGAATATCCCTTAGTTTTTCCTTTTAGACTCACCAGCTCCTTTATTTCACTTGAACCACACTTTGGCCATGGGGAAATGAAGATAAAGATTCCAGAGAATCTGTTATTCTGGCATAATTGAGACAGTTGGGACCAAAGATGACAAAGGGGCAGTTTTAAACTACATATTAGATCAGGTTGAGAAGTAGGTGGCCACATGAAAAATTTTATGTATTGTCTCTTCAAGCCAGCAGTGTTTAGTGTCCATGGCTCTCTAGAACACTGTCTTTAGGATGATTCTGAGGATGCATCCAGCCTCAGTGGGACTGAATACCACAGTGAGTTGTGAAGGCAAATGCACTGTCTATTCCCATACCCGATATGGGCGAATGCACTGTCTATTCCCATACCCGATATTCAGACCCTTGTTATTCATAGATAGGTGATTCAGCACAGCTAGGCAGTGGTCAAGTCAGCACCAGAACTAGGATATTTTACATCCTGTTCCATTGCTGGAAACTATTATGCATCTCTTATATTGGAATTGTTGCCGCTGAGGACTTTATTGTTTGGATATAATGACTCTGGCTGAGGGAAAATTTAGATAGCATCAGGATACTCAGTCAGTTGCCATGTTAGGAACAGAAATAGAGGGCAGGGGAAATATTTGAAGAGCATTATGACTCATGGTGGTATACATCCTTCAAGTTGGGGTTTACTGGAAAGCAGTGGGCCAGCCTAGAGTACAGTAAGTAGAAATTGAGAGAAAGATATTGTTAGTCATAAAATTATGTTCAGCTCAGTACAGGTTGTGCCTGCCATTAGTAAAGCAGAAAGCAGGTACAATCGTTGATCATAGAGTATATGAATATGTATCTTGTATATATAGCTTTCATGTAAATATGTATAAAATATAAATGCATGTGTGTTTGTACCTGAGTCAAACGCAGACATTTTATCCTTGCAGTATGAATTCTGACTTCATGTTGCGTGTTATGAAGCTGATGATGGGTGTGGTGCCGGGTTGATCTAGTGTTGTATTGAGTCTGAAAAGTGGCAGTGAGACAGCTGATTTCCAGCACACCACCTCCTATTTTGCATGTGACAGAGAGGCAAGGGACACAGGAGTACCATCCCTCATGAAGAACCTGTCCTTTACTTTAGTGAAAATCTTTTTACTGATCTCTTTGTGAACCGTGGGCCTTTGTGTCTCTAAATTTTAGAAAAGAAAAGCATGAATTTAGAATCATACAATTGCATATTAGGTCTGTAAATTGAACTCAGTTTAATTTTTTAAAATATGAATAAGTGACTTATTTGTTGCTGAATATAATCAAATACGGCTTCAAGAAAAGTAAGACTAAAATCCAGATTGTTATAATTCCATGGTTAAGACTGTCTAATTTTCTTTGTTGGATTTGATTCAGCAAAAGCTAAAATGCTAATTGAAACCCAATATCCATTTTCTATGAACATCTAAAAAGGGTTCTGTTGAATGTTGTAATGGCGGTGTCTTTAATACTGTCACTCCCATTAGCTTCCTGTCAACTTTGGAAAAGCCAAGTCTCTAGGTTCTAGGGAAGGTGAGAATTGGAAAAAAGGACAGGAAATTGACAGAATTTTCTCAGCAGGAGGGAAAGCTCTGTGTTGATTTGACCTAATATTAGGAATGTTATTTGGGCACGAGAACAATGAACAGATGGCTCATTGTACAGGGCCTGGGTGTGGATTAGGGGAAAATAATAGCACGCCTGTACAAAGTTTGAATGTGATGTGTATAAGCACTATTGTAGCAGTTGGAATAGGTTAGCCTAGTGAAAAATTTCTAGCTGTCTTCACATTTATAATGCATTTGTAAACAAGGTAGGTATCTTAACCCTTTGCTAAGTGAGTGAAGTGAGAAAAGGGATCATAGTTGGTAATAAAGAAATTTATAAGCGTTGAATAGTAGAATAGAATTGGGTGCCTAGAATTGGATATTGATCATTATTTGGAAACAAACAGGCTAGGTGCGGTGGCTCACGCCTGTAATCCCAGCACTTTGGGAGGCTGAGGCGGGCAGATCACGAGGTCAGGAGATCGAGACCATCCTGCCTAACACAGTGAAACCCCGTCTCCACTAAAAATAGAAAAAATGAGCCGGGTGTGGCCGCGGGCGCCTGTAGTCCCAGCTACTCAAGAGGCTGAGGCAGGAGAATGGCGTGAACCCGGGAGGCGGAGCTTGCAGCGAGCCGAGATCATGCCACTGCACTCCAGCCTGGACGACAGAGTGAGACTCCGTCTCAAAACAAACAAACAAACAAACAAACAGTAGAAAATCCAGTCTGGATTGGTGGAGGGGAAATTTTTACACATAATATAAAAAGATGGTTTTTGTTATTGAGGTAAGATTCCCTTTTATGTTTTTGCTTTGGAGCTAAAACATAAAGTTTACTTTGGAACAAACTTCCTTTGTTCAGGGCAGAAGTTAGCATTTTAACTCCTTGCTGTAGGAGCAAGGATTTGAACCAGAGCGTGTCCTTATAGCTACCAAGGAGTCTGTATGTTACTGTTCTTGTGTCATTAACTAGCTGACTGTGCGAATTCTTCCTTGTCCCCATGGAGATGGGTGCTCTTCCTAGCTGCACCTGGGGCATTCTTGTTACATAGCATGAAGTGGCTGTATTATTTCTTCCCCAACTCTTATCTGGGATGAAAGCTGAACTGGACAAGATGCATAAGCTTGGACTGTGCCAGGCTAACCAGGATGTGTGGTCACTCTGATTATAGCCTTTATTTCGCATCCCTGAGACACAAGCTACCTGTTATCCATGTTGTATTCCCAATGTTCAGTAATGACTGGCATGTCGTAGGTGCTTATTGAGCATTTGTTGGTTCAAGGACAAAGGAATAAATGTGGAAGGTCGAAACTGTGTTTATCTATACAATAAAATGTACTTTTCTGTTTTATTACAGCTGGTAATGCCGCTGTCATCAAATATGAGGAGAAACCTCCAAAACCAGCATTTCAGAATGGTTCCTCAGGATCCTTTTATTTGAAGCCTTTGGTATCCAGGGCTCATGTTCACTTGATGAAAACTCCTCCAAAAGGTACAGTCCTCATTGTGGTTTGAAGAGGGAGGGCAAGACGCTTAAAGTCCTTGGCTTGTAGAAAGTTAAATTTTGACAATTAGGTTTATGGTATAGTCAACAATGATTACAAATATGTTGAGAAAGGAGATATAATACATTTTTGCACTGAGGAAATTGTTTTTCTGACAGTTGGTAGGTTCTATAGTTAAAAATCATTACGTGTAAGTCAGCAGGCAGAACAAAGGTATAAGGTAGAAACAGCAAAACTTCAGGAGTTAAATTATTCTAAAACAGTGCTCTAGAATAGTGAGAAAGGAGTAGAAATGCATGATTACTTTTCATCAGGGTAGATGTTTTATGTTTATTACTGTACTTGTGTCTTCATGTCTTTGGTCTAAGACATTGTTCTTCCTCTAAATGTTCTTTATCTCTGTTCCTTCTCATATCCCTCACTTTTTATTTGCTGTGATTATGAAAAGTAATTTTCAGGTTTACAAAATATGTGGTATACACTTAATGTGCAATGTTTTCATGCAGCTTTGTCTCAGTGGGGCCAAAGCACATCAGAAGCCTTCTTTGTGCCACATGCGGTGGCTCACGCCTGTAATCCCAGCACTTTGGGAGGCCAAGACAGGTGGATTGCTTGAGGTCAGGAGTTTGAGACCAGCCTGGCCGACATGGCAAAACCCCATCTCTACTAAAAATACAAAAATTAGCTGGGCATGGTCGTGTGTACCTGTAGTCCCAGCTACTCATGAGGCTGAGGCATGAGAATTGCTTGAACCCAGGAGGCAGAGGTTGCAGTGAGCCGAGATCGCGCCACTGCACTCCCGCCTGGGTGACAGAGTGAGACTCTGTCTCAAAAAAAAAAAAAAAAAAAAAAAAAAAAAGCATTATTTGTGCTTAGTGAACTGAAGCTTAACTAAAGCCTGAGCGAATAATTGTGAGTGAGAAACTTGACCTATAAAATGAGACCCACATTTATGTTAGAGAATTTGGAAAACACAGAAACAAAGAGTCTTCCTTAATTCTGTCAACCAGCAATTGCTGTCACATTTCCTTGTGACTTTTTTCCTCTGTATGTATATGTTGTTTTGTTTTTATTCCAGCAAAACTGAGGTAATAATGAATATACTCTTCTGTATCTTGCTTTTTATTAAGTTAGTAGTGTATCAGGAGAGCTTCTTCACTTTAAATGGCTATTCTATGGTTGTCCACTTCAGTTTATAGTGGGCAACTTCTGACTTTTATTGGGGTTTATTAATACTGAGATGAACCTCTTCAAATGTGAGTCAAGATTCATTGTTTCAGATTCTGGTTACTTGTGGATATCCCAGAAGGAGGAATTACTGGGTTAACCTGCATGAAACTCTTTGGATTGTTAATATCTATTAGTAACTTTCTCAGAGGTGTTACTCTGTCACAGCATCCTCCTTAACATGTCTCTCTCTCTCTCTGTGTGTGTGTTTAAAGGATAATATGGTACCTTGAGGCTGGTTAATGTATGTCAATACCTTTTCTTTGTACTGAATTGAAGAGAAAATAGGCATGAATTTTAGGAGTGGGTTGAATTCTTCAGTGTGCAGCAGGTTGTCATTTGCCTAGGGAGTTAATCAAATTTCGGAGGCACCAAATGACCTCTTGCTGAGTTGACATCAGGTTGGAAAACTGTGGTTTTTTATTGATGATGATAAAGCCCCATGATCCACACAGCAATAATGAAGTTAACGCTGTTGAACTTTGATACTAAAATAACTTGCAGAGAATGAGATTCCATGGACAGCTTTGTAGAACAGGAGACTCAGAATTCTAAAATGCCTCACTATTGAATGGATAGGTTATGTCGCAACAGTTTTACCTGTGTGGGAATCAGTGCTTTCCATTGATAACAGCCACGTATTTTAAGAGATCATCATCTCTGTAAAATTTCAGATAGAACATGGTAGCTGTTCTAACTGGTATCTGCAGATGATTATGTCCTAGAAACAACTATTTCATGTTAAGTAGAAGCATCATAGATTTCTTTTAGTGACTTACAGCTGTGTACCTATTACCCCTCCTGATTTTATATTTTATCAGTTTGGAGGAAAAACTTCTATTTTTCTTCATAGCTGAATAGAAACGGGTAGTTTCGGAAAGCACACGGGAGTGACTGTCCTTCGTGAAGTCTGGCCTCTGCTCTCCCGGCAGCAGAATGGCATATGTGCACAGTCTGTGAATTCAGTACTGTTAAAACTTGAACTTCAGCTGTTCTTGACTGAAAAAATACTGCGGCTTTTCCTTTTAAAACTGGTCCTATTTAATTTGTGGTGACTTCATATCATACTTAAACATTTTGATGTTATGTGAAATATCACCTTATATTTAAAATGCACTTGACAAAAGTTGGTTGAATCTCGGTGATATTTCCCACCGGGAACCTGAAATGTAGCGATTGATTGTTTTTGAAAATAATTCTTATCAACATGGTTTGTTTTTATGTGATATGTCAAATAAAACATATGTATTTTACATGTTTCTTTTATATCTTAGGTCCTTCGAGAAAAAATTTATTTACAGCTCTTAATGCAGGTGAGTGACCACTTTATGGATGGCGATAAAAAGAATCTTTTTGTAAAGTTATGTTACTACAAGTATTTACAGTGATTTTTTACTGGTGTGCTTATAAGTAGAATTTCCAATTTGAGGTGTAAACCTAACTTTTTATGACGGGTCGCATAGCATTAAAATACGGTAAGCATGACTGGCCATCTAATGCATGAAAGGACATTGTATTACTAATAGATAGTTATAGTCTTTTAAAAAATGATTTTGTTAATGTGGTCTAAATGAAATGGAAAATGTACTTCCCCCAAGATCAATGCTATTTTGAAATTGGATATTCCTTAATTTTTAAGTGGTCTCAATATTTGGTTTTAGCACCTTTTCCCAGTTCAGCAGCCTATATTTTTATGTTTTTTTTTTCACACTTTCACTGGACTTAACATTCCCAAGATAGCCTGCAGCCTCCACTATTTGAACCACAGCTGAGAATCCAAAACTTTATGTCTCTCAAGAACCCATAAAAGATTTCACAAAATATCTTCACTGCGATTCCTATACTTTGGATGGATGGATGGATGGACAGACAGACAGACCGACAGATAGGCTGGGCCCAGTGGCTCACACCTGTAATCCCAGCACTTTGGGAGGCCAAGGTGGGTGGATCACTTGAGGTCAGGAGTTCAAGACCAGCCTGGCCAACATGGTGAAACCCCATCTCTACTAAAAATACAAAAAAGTTTGCCGGACGTGGTGGTACGCTCCTGGAGTCCCAGCCACTCAGGAGGCTGAGGCAGGATAATTGCTTGAACCTGGGAGGCAGAGGTGGCATTGAGCGTAGATTACACCACTGCACTCCAGCCTGGGTGACACAGTGAGACCCTGTCTCAAAAAAAAAAAGATAGATGGATTGATCTCTCTAGATAGATAAGGTCTCCTGTACACTGCCTACATTGTCTTATTTTATATACAGTGATAAAACAGTTATGTGCCTTCTAAATCCATGGCAGATTAGAAGAGCAAATCAGAAGAAACGAAGGTACAAGCATCGCTCATTTTCTGGAGCCTTGCAAATACTGTGCTTTTTGCAACTCTACCAGCATCATTTTTCCAACAGCAGTTGCTCACTTCATGTCTGTGTGTTACATTTTGGTAATTCTCACACTATTTCAAGCTTTTTCATTATTATTATATCTTTTACGGTGATCTGCGATCAGTGATCTTCCATGTTACTGTTGTGATTGTTTTGGGACACCATGGACCATGCTCATCTAAGACAGTGAACACAGCTGATACGTTTGCATTTCAAGTGCTCCACTGACTGGTCCCTCTTCCATCTCTCTCCCTTTTCTTGGTCTTCCTTATTCCCTGAGACACAATAATATTGAAAGTAACCAATTAATAGCCCTATAATGACCTCTGAATATTCAAGTGAAAGAAAAGTTGCATGTCTCTCACTTTAAATCAAAAGATAGAAATGATTGAGTTTAATGAGGAGGGCACATTGAAAGCCAGGATAATTCAGAAGCCAGGTCTCTTGTGCCAAGCAGTTAGCCAAGTTGTAAATGGAAAGGAAAAGTTCTTGAAGAAAATTAAAAGTGCTCCTCTAGTGAACACTCAAATAAGAAAGCAAAACAGACTCCCGGCAGAGAGAAAGTCTGAGTGGTCTGACCAGAAGATTAAGCCAGCTGCAACTTTCACTTCGGCCAAAGCCTAATCCAGAGTGAGACCCTAACTCTCTTTAATTGTATGAAGGCTGAGAGAGGTGAGGGAGCTGCAGAAAAAAAAAAGCTGGAAGCTAGCAGAGGTTGGTTCATGAGGTTTAAGGTAACTCTTCATAACATGAAAGTACAGGGCGAAGCAGCAAGTGCTGATGTAGAAGCTACAGCGAGTCATCCAGAAGATCTAGCTGGGATCATTTGATAAAGGTGGCTACACAAAACAACAGACATTCAGTGTAGGTGAAACAGCCTCATATTGAAAGAAGATGCTGTTTAGGACTTGCACAGGTAAACAGGAGAAGTCAGTGCCTGGCTTCAGATGACAAGCTGTCTTATTAGAAGCTAATACTTCTGGTAATTTTAAGTTGAAGCTGACGTTCACTTACCATTCTGAAAATTCTAGGGCCCTTAAGAATTACGTTAAATCTACTCTGCCTGTGCTCTATAAATGAAACAACAAAGCCTGGATGACAGCGTATTTGTTTACAGTATGGTTTGCTGAATATTAAGCCCATTGTTAAGACCTACAACTCAAGAGATGTCTTTCAAAATACTACTGCCGACTGACAGTGCACCTGGTCACCCAAGAACTCTGATGGAGTATAGTATAGTGTATTACATAGTAATATATAGTACAAGAGTATAGTACAGGAAGATGGATGTTTTCACACCTGCTAACATAGCAGCCACTTTGCAGCCCATGGATCAAGGAGTAATTTTGACTTTCAGGTCTTACTATTTAAGAAGTACATTGTGTAAGACTGTAGCTGCCCTAGATACTGATTCCTCTGATGGAACGGGGCAAAGTCAGTTGAAAACCTTCTGAAAAGGGTTTGCTCTTCTAGATGCCATTAAGAACATTCGTGATTCATGGGAGGAGGTCAGAGCACCAACGTGAATAGGAGTTTGGAAGAAGCTGACCTAACCGTCATGGATGACTTTGAGGGGTTCAGTGCTTCAGTGGAGGAAGTCACTGCAGATGTGGTAGAAATAGGATGAGAACTAGAATGAGAAGTGAAGCCTAAGGTGTGACTGCATTGCTGTTGATCTCTGGTAAAATTTGAGCAGATGAGGAGTTGCTTCTTATGAATAAGCAAATAAAGTATCTTCTTGAGATGGAATCTACTCCTGGTAAAGATGATGTGAACACTGTTGAAATGACAAAGGAGTCCGAATATTCCATAAACTTAAAGCAGTGGCAGGGTTTGAGAGGATTGACTCCAATTTTGAAAGACTCTCTGCTGTGGGTAAAATGCTATGAAACAGCATCACGTGCTACAAAGAAATCTTTCATGAAAGAGTCAATTGATGTCGCAAACTTCATTGCTGTCTTACTTTAAATTGCCACAGCCACCCAAACCTTCAGCAACCACTACCCTAATCAGTCAGTCAGCAGCCACCAACATTGAGGCAAGATGTTCCACCAGCAAAATAATTCCTGCTCACTGAAGGCTCAGATGATCTTTAGCATTTTTTAGCAATGAAATATTTTTAAATTAAGGTGTTTTTTTTTTTTGAGACAGAGTCTTGCTCTGTCGCCCAGGCTGGAGTGCAGTGGCATGATCTCTGCTCGCTGCAAGCTCTGCCTCCCGGGTTCACGCCATTCTCCTGCCTCAGCCTCCCGAGTAGCTGGGACTACAGGTGCTCGCCACCATGCCCGGCTAATTTTTTGTATTTTTAGTAGAGACGGGGTTTCACCGTGTTAGCCAGATGGTCTCCATCTCCTGACTTCATGATCCACCTGCCTCGGCCTCCCAAACTGATGGGATTACAGGTGTGAGCCACCACGCCTGGCAAATTAAGGTATATATTTTTTTAGACATAATGCTGTTGCACACTAGACTATAGTGTAGTGTTAATATAAGTTTTATATGCACTGAGAAACCAGACAATTTTTGTGATTTGCCTTATTATGTCATGTGTCTTATGGGGTGATATATATCTCCCAGGTATGCATGTAATGTTACAGAATGTTGACTACAGTTTGTTCACACATTGTGAGTGTCAGGTGTTAAGGATGCAGTCCTGAGCGAAGAATGAGCAGGGGCCTTGTCTCTGGAGAGCTAATAGGATAGTTAAAAAAATAAAATAAAAAACCTGCTCAAATAGACATGAATCACAAATGCACTGAGTTCTAGGAAGGAGGGTTGTCTTGTCCTAGAAGAGAGGTCCGGATTGAAGGCTGTCATGTGAGGGAAACCTGGGCAAGAGGTATAAATTTCTGAGCCTGTTGTGTAAAGAAAACAGGGTGGGATAACATTACATCATGAATAACATGAATAACAAATATCCTTGATGCCCCATCAGGTGTATTCAGTTTCCTCAGTGTAATAAGCAGGGAAGTGTGGGGAAATTATCTCAGAATTCTTTTTCTTTTTTTTTTTTTGAGGCAGAGTCTTGCTCTGTCGCCCAGGCTGGAGTGCAGTGGCGCGATGTCTGCTCACTGCAAGCTCTGCCTCCCTGGTTCACGCCGTTCTCCTGCCTTAGCCTCCCGCGTAGCTGGGACTACAGACGCCTGCCACCATGCCCGGCTAATTTTTTGTATTTTTACTAGAGATGGGGTTTCACCGTGTTAGCCAGGATGGTCTCGATCTTCTGACCTCGTGATCCGCCCGCCTCGGCCTCCGAAAGTGCTGGGATTACAGGCGTGAGTCACTGCGCCCAGCTATCTCAGAATTCGTAACCTTTTGTAGGCTCTTAAAGCTAGGAAGACAGCCATGCAGAATGATCTAAGTTCTAAAGATCCCCAGGATGCTGAGTGTGAATATATGTGGTTACTAAAGCCTTTATAGGGTAAAAATGCAGAAGAAACTCTGCTGTACACATTTAGGCTTTTATTTCCTTTTAAGTTTCTGGTACATCCTAATATCTGGGGAAAAAAGATAGCTAATATTCTATGGAATGGCTTTGTTTAAAAATTAGTTAACCATTATCAGAAAACTGGCTCAATTGGTAGCTCTGTGTTTAACAGTTTAAGAAACCTCCAGGCTGTTTTCCAAAGTGGCTGGACCACTTTATATCCTCACCAGGAGTGTATGAAGAATCCTGTTTCTCCACAGCCTTGTCAACACTTGGCTTTGTCTGTCTTTTTTATTATAGCTATCCCTACTGGGTATGAAGTGATACCTCATTGTTGTTTCAATTTGCATTCTGACAGCCAGTGACATTGAGTGTCATTTCGTGTGCTTACTGGCCATTTGTATATCTTCTTTGGAGAAGTGTCTATTCAAATCATTTGCCAGTTTTAAACTGGGTCATTTTTATTGTTGAATTGTAGGAGTTCTTGTATAGTCTGATATTAGACCCTTGTCAGAGTTATCATTTGCAAATATTTTCTCCCAATTCTTGGGTGTGTTTTCACTTTCTTGATAATGTCCTTGGAAACATAAACGTTTTAAATTTTGACAAGGTCCACTTTATCAACTTTTTTTCTTTTGTTGCTTCTGCTTTTGGTATTGTATCTCAGAAACAGTTGCCTAATCCAAGGTTGTGAAGATTTAAGCCTGTGTTTTCATTTAAGTTTTTTTTGCTATTCTAGCTGTTATAGTTAGGTTTCTGATTCATTTTGAGTTACATTTTTATATGGTATGAGATAGAAGGTCTAATTCTTTTTTGCACATGGACATCCAGGTGTTGAAGACATGTATTTCCCCCATTTAAATGCCTTGGCACCTTTGTTAAAAATAATTGGTTAAGAATGTGAGGGTTTATTTCTGATTTCTAAATTGTGTTCTTTGCATTTATATGTTACCTTTGCCAGTGCTACACTGTCTTGATTAGTAAGTTTTGAAATCAGGATGTGAGTCATTCAACGTCTTTCTTTTTCAAGATAGTTATGGCTATTCTGGGTCCCTTGATTTTCTGTATGAATTTTAGGATCAGCTTGTCAATCTCTGTAATGAAGTCAGGTGAGGTTTTAGGAATGTAATCTAATAATTCCAATTCTAATAATTTCTGTTACATTGAATCTATAGATGACTCTGTATATATAGAATGTATTCTAAGGGGTCAACATTGCAGCTTAATCTAGATTGTGTGGTAGGCCTCTGTATTTTCCCGAAACCATAAGCATGACTTTCCCAGGTTCTTCTCGATGGTTAGTTATTATCATGACTTAAGACTAACCTGGTATTATGAGGAGCCTAGTGAGGAAAAGTTACTGTGTGGACAGAGGACCACAACAAAGTGTGTTTGCTTTGGAAAGACGACTTTGATGCTGAAAAATGATGCTGAAAAGCCAGTGACTTTGGGTGGATCATTGAACCTCTTTGATAATAGTTTTCTATGTAACTGAAAGGGTGGATTTCTAGATTTCTCCCTACTGTGATATTCTGTGACTGAAAATCACCTTGACTTTTTTCATATTCTGCTGGAAATGAGTCATATTTTAGCTGATACAGAAGACATTGCCTCCACACATAAACATGTTCCTCTGAGTGTAAATTTTTAATCGTTGTACTATGGCTTTGAGATATTTTTATTTTAAAGCTGTAAGTAGTGGTGGAGATTACAGTTGAGTTGACCAACTTCATATTCCTTAGTTCTAGTAAAATAATCACTTTTAATTATAGCAGTTTGCCAAACTTCAAAAAGTTTAGCATGTAGTTTAGAAATCACCCTTCAGCTTTTTAAAATTTGTCGTTTTAAATGAAATTTAGATAAGTGTATATCCTGCTTTGTCATTTAACATATAGTAATCACTTTTACATTTAGCAGATACAGTAACATTTAACTACTTTTGAATATTTAGGGTGCTTCTGTATCACATTCATAAATGATTCTATGATGAACATCTATACAATTAGCACTTTCAACTTTCAATTTCTTGTGATAGATTATTAAAAGTAGTATCAGGAAATCACAATATGTACCCATTTACAGTCACTTCACTCAAATAGCCAAATTGTTTTCCAAAAGCTTCATATCATTTTATACCGTGGTTGACATAAAAGACACCTGGCTTCATCATACCTTGGGTCAACATTGGATATTATTTTTAAATTTTTTTGACTAACATAATAGTTTAAAATGTTACATCATTGTTTTAGCTTGACCTTTATCAATTAAAGAAATTACATTATCTCATAAGACAATGTAGAAAAGCAGGAGGAGAACGAACTTTTAAGGCACGGGATGTTGGTTTAAACCTTCGTCCTGCTGCTTTCTATTTGTGTCCTGACCTTGGGCTAGTTGCTAAGCCTCTCCAAGTCTCAAATTTCTCGTTTGGAGACATGGGAATATTGGGGAAATAATTCCCAGAAAGGCAATAATATGACATCATAGAATTGTTTTATAAAAGGTTCTCAAATAATAGTTAAGTCAGCTGCTAGGAACGGTAATGATGGCGATCTTTTACATTGTTTTTATAATTCTAGGGGCTTATTTTTAGGGTTCTTTTCCAGGAAGTTGAATTATTTTAAATCTCTAAAGCAAGCAGGAAAGACTGCTTAAAGTCAAGAACCAACCTCTTGGGGTCTAACTGTTGTAATTTATTTAAACGTTATGACGCTGCAAGATTGTAGTTGATATTGACTCTAAAAAAAATCTTGGCTTACTGCTGATAAGGAAGATGTCACACATACCACAGAATACTATTATTACCTTGGTTCTACCATACACTAAAGCCACTGGCATACCAGAGGCATCAGAGCTGTATTTATCCAGTACCCTGATTGGTTTACACAAGATCATCACTCTCAGGTGCCAGAGTGTCTGCCTTGGAAGGTAGAAAATGCACTGGTCCTTCCGCAGTTACTTAGTAAAGACATCACAGGAGAACAGGGCGGCTTTCTTGCCTTCTTTTGCCAAGTGCTGGGAAGTGGTTGCAAGTTGCAAACCTGCTGATGAGGTGATGCCGAGGCTGCCAGGGTTTCTTCTGGTGAGAGTAGAGAGAAGGCTGTTTTTTCACTGTTGTTTTATGATTAACATAACTTTCCCCCTATACTTAAAACACAGATGCTCTTTTCATATGGGATACATTTTTGTTTCAAATTGGTGTTGGGGGTTGTGAGGAGTGGATCATTTAGTAAATCTTCTTGAGACAGTGACTACCTTTTTAGCAGGAGCTAGATCTTTTTCACATATATACAAAGTATTTCAGATAAATTAGTTTTAAACACACAAAGTAATTAAAACACTAAGAATATAGACTTAAGTAGAAAAGATCTTTCCAGGAACACTAGTATAATAGAAACGATTAATAATTAGGACAACAAAAGCTTTAAAAAACCTTAGAAACAGGCTGTGCATGGTGGCTCACGCCTGTAATCCCAACACTTTGGGGGGCCAAGACAGGTGGATTGCTTGAGGCCAGGAGTTCAAGACCAGCTTGGGCAACGTACTGAGACCCCATCTCTACCAAAAATACAAAAAAATTAGCTGCACGTGGTTGTGCACACTTGTAGTCCCAGCACTCATGAGGCTGAGGCAGAAGAATCGTTGAACCCAGGAGGCAGAGGTTGCAGTGAGCTGAGATTGCACCACCGCACTCCAGCCTGGGTGACAGAGCAAGACTCCGTCTCAAAAAAAATAAAAAGAATAAAAATCATTAGAAACAGTATTTATAAGCAAAGAACAAACTGAGGTTATATTAGCACATACTCTGTGTAGAGCTCTGTCAAATCAGCAAGATAAAGACAACTCTATAATAGAAGCTAAATGGACATACCACCCAAAGAGATCTACAGATTCAGTGCAATCCCTATCAAAATCCCAGTGTCATTTTTTTAAAGAAATAGAAAAAACAATCCCAAAAGTCATATAGAATGACAGAGGACTGCAAATAGCCAAAACAATCTTGACAAAGAACAAAGCTGGAGGCATCACAGTTCCTGATTTTAAAGTATATTACAACACACAGTAATTAAAAGAGTATGGTACTGGCACAAATATAGAAACATAGACCGATGGAATAAAATAGTCTAGAAATAAATCCGTGCATATACGGTTAGCTAATCTTCAGCAAGTGTGCCAAGAATACACAATAGGGAAAGGATAGTCTTTTTGTAGATAGTACTGGGAAAACTGGACATCCACAAGCAAAATAATGAAATTGGACCCTTATCTCACACAGTACACAAAAATCAACTCGAGATGGATTAAAGACTTAAATATAAGATCTGAAACTATAAAACACCTCAAACAAAACATGGGGCAAAACTTCATGTCATTTTTCTTGGTATGACACCAAAAGCCCAGGTAACAAAAGCAAAAATAGACAGGTTGGAGTACATCAGATTAAAAATCTGCAGAGCAAAGCAGTCATTTAATAGCATGAAAAGGCAGCCTATGAGATAGGAGAAAACATTTGCAAACCATACGTCTGATAAGGCGTTATTTACCAAAATAATTGAAATCAGGATGTTGAAGAGATACTTGCATTCCCATGGTCTGTCGCCCCCAATATTTCAATGTAGGTTATTTTTGTTTCCTGTAAGTGTTGGCCGGTCTGAGAAATAAAGAGAAAGAGTACAAAGAGAGGAATTTTACAGCTGGGCCTCCAGGGGTGACATCATATTGGTAGGTCCGTGATGTCCACCTAAGCCGCGAAACCAGCAAGATTTTATTAGGGATTTGAAAAGGGGAGAGGGTGTATGAACAGGGAGTACGTCACAAAGATCACATGCCTCAAAGGGAAAAAGGCAGAGCAAAGATTACATGCTTCTGAGGAAACAGGACCAGAGCAAAATCAGAAACTCCTGATAAGGGTCTATGTTCAGCAGTGCACGTATTGTCTTGATAAATATCTTTACAGAAAACAGGATTTGAGAGCAGAGAACCGGTCTGACCTCAAATTTACCAGGGTTGGTGTTTCCCAATCCTAGTAAGCCTGAGGGTACTGCAGGAGACTAGGAGACCAGGGCGTATCTCTCTCAGTCCTTTTTTTTTTTTTTTTGAGACAGAGTCTGGCTCTGTCACCCAGGCTGCGGTGCAGTGGCGCGATCTCGGCTCACTGCAAGCTCTGCCTCCCAGGTTCACGCCATTCTCCTGCCTGGGACTACTAACTGGGACTACAGGTGCGCACCACCACGCTAGGCAAAGTTTTTACATTTCTAGTAGAGACGGGGTTTCACCATGTTAACCAGGATGGTCTCGATCTCCTGACCTCGTGATCTGCCCGCCACAGCCTCCCAAAGTGCTGCGATCACAGGCGTGAGCCACCGCACCCGGCCAAGCTATCTCCACCGCATAGGACAGACACTCCCAGAGCGGCCGTTTATAGACCTACCCCCAGGAATGCAATTCTTTTCCTAGGGTCTTAATATTATATTCCTTGCTAGGAAAAGAATTTAACGATATCTCTCCTACTCGCACGTCCATTTATAGGCTCTCTGCAAGAAGAAAAATATGGCTGTATTCTGCCCGACCGCGCAGGCAGTCAGACCTTATGGTTGTCTTCCCTTGTTCCCTAAAATCACTGTTATTGTGTTCATTTTCAAGGTGCACTGATTTCATATTGTTCAAATAAACATTTTGCAATCAGATTGTTCAGTTAATGCAATCATCACAGGGTCCTGAGGTGACGTACATCCTCAGCTTACAAAGATAACAGGATTAAGAGATTAAAGTAGGACAGGCGTAAGAAATTATAAGAGTATTTTTAGAGAAGTGATAAATGTCCATGAAATCGTCACAATTTATGTTTCCTCTGCCGTGGCTCCAGCCGGTCCCTCCATTCGGGGTCCCTGACTCCCTGCAACAATGGTCATTGCCACATTATGATAGCCAGGATGTGGGAACAACCTAAATGTGTCCATAGGATAAAGCAAATATGGCATATATGTGCACTGGAGTATTATGCAGCCTTTAAAAAGAAGAAAGTCCTGCCATATGCTGTGATACAGATAAAGCTGGAGGACACTATGCTAAGTGAAATAAACCAGTCATGGGGCAAATACTGTATGATTCCACTTATAGGAGGCATCTAACATAGTCAAAGTCAGAAACAGAGTAGAGTGGTGGTTGCCAGGGAATGGGAACTTGATGTTCAATGGTACAAGGTTTGTTATGCAAGGGCGAAAAGGTTTTCGAGATGTTTGTTACAGCATTGTGCCTACAGTTAACAATATTATATTGTTCTTTTAAAATTTTGTTGAGAAGGTAGATCTCATTAAGTGTTCTTGCCACAATTAAAAAAACTAAACAAAAAGAAAGGGAAAAATAAGTGGATGGACAGAAAAGAAATATATGAAGGACTAAGGAATATATGAAAAATGTTTACCAAATATGAGTTAAAATAATGTGCTCTCAGTTCTTGCTTATTTCTTAATGTTAGCACCTGGTACTGGCGAAGAATAAGAAACAGCACTCATATGTACAGCTCCTTGGTAAATTACAGCAGCTGTAGCAGAGAGCAAACACCTTCCACCCGGGAATTCTGTTTTTCAGAATTGGTCCTAGGAAAGTAATTTATTTACTTATTGACTGCTTTTCAGAATTGTTTACAATGGGGGAAAATTGGAAACAACCTATATACCTTACAGGAATTAAGTTCGTTGACATTTTAAAGACATTTTTGAAGCCATTAAAATAACAATATAAATGCTTATTTAATCCCATGGAAAGATAAGTGTGAAATTTTTAAGTTTAATAAGTTTATTAAGCTTATGTTAAGTTTAAAAACAAATTGGAGAGCAGTCTGATGTGTAAGTAATTTAAATTGAAAAGAAAATTCTGGCCGGGTGCGGTGGCTCACGCTTGTAATCCCAGCACTTTGGGAGGCCAAAGCAGGTGGATCACAAGGTCAGGAGATTGAGACCATCCTGGCTAACACGGTGAAACCCTGTCTCTACTAAAAATACAAAAAAAATTAGTCAGGCGTGGTGGCGGGCGCCTGTAGTCCCAGCTACTCAGGAGGCTGAGGCAGGAGAATCACTTGAACCCGAGAGGTGGAGCTTGCAGTGAGCCGAGATCACGCCACTGCACTCCAGCCTTGGCGACAGACCGAGGTTCCGTCTCAAAAAAAAAATTCTACGATGAACATATGAGGTTTTGTTTTTTAAAAACAAACATTGTACATGAATTAAAAGCATTACTGCTTTTAATTTAAACTCTTATTTTGCTTATTGCAAAATAAAAGGCAATGTCACTGTTCTTTGAGAGCTTATCATCTTACAGGTGGGTGGAAGTTGATTGTTTTTCTAATTGCTTTGTGTTAATTTTTTGATAATTACAATTTATCTTCGTACTGAGGAAGAGGATAGTGTGGAAAAATTGGGCCTTAAGTTGAAGTTTCTACAACTGGAATAGAGAATTGAACTTACTACATTAAAGACTGTGAGGAGTAAAATGAAGAAAATGTTGCAATTAATGCTGTGTTAGGGAAAGTAAGGAGATAAATATAAAGATTAATATTCCATATTAGGCTAAGGAAGATTGGTTGGATAGAGATGCTTGAATCTCCACACAAGTCACTTGGTTTAAATTTTAATCTTCTTCCTCATTCTTTATGATCATTAACAACAACAAACAATAACAGATAAATTGAAGGCATTTTGTAGCATCTAAGCACCCCATACAGATTATGCTAGATTCTTGTCTAGAATCATGACATCATTGTTTTCTAAATCACTGATTTAAAAAAACACATTTCTATGCAGACCAGTGGAATTTCTGTTTGTTTGAATATACTGTGATATTACAACATACTGACTTATGAAACATTCTGTATCATCCTCTTTTGTTATTTAAGCCTTAGTATAGACTTTACACATCGTTTATTTTTCTTTGTGTCATTATGAAAACTCGGCTCATTTTGTAGGCTTTCTATAAAATTATTCTAACACTTAAACTTTTTAATTTTTTTCTGGCTGCATGATTTTTGAAAAAAAAAATTAGGAAAATACAAAAACATATAATAAAGAAAAAATAGAAATCCTCCCTCTTCTACCTCCCAGAGCATTGGTGACATTCTGGCATGTTTGCTCCAATATACTTAATCGTTTTTGTTTAATGTTGAGATCCTACATTGCATAAAATTTTAAATCATGTTTTTGTTTTCCACTGACATCCTAACACAGGCTCTGCTTCATAAAGACTCATCTTTTTTTTTTTTTTGAGGAGTTTTGCTCTTATTGCCCAGGCTGGAGTGCAATGGCACAATCTCTGCTGATTGCAACCTCCATCTCCCAGATTCAAGCGGTTCTCCTGCCTCAGCTTCCTGAGTAGCTGGGATTACAGGCCCCTGTCACCATGCCCAGCTAATTTTTTGTGTTTTTAGTAGAGACGGGGTTTCACCATGTTGGCCAGGCTGGTCTTGAACTTCTGACCTCAGGTGATCCCACCTGCCTTGGCCTCCCAAAGTGCTGAGATTACAGGCATGTAATCTCACCACCGCGCCCGGCCCATAAAGACTCATAGCTAACTTTTACAACTACAAACTGTTGTACTTTAGGCACTAAAATTTCCTTATTTTTTCCTCTACTGTCCTTGGTGATGCCTATCTTTTCCTCTTAAATTAAGACTTTTAAAAATAACAAAGATGCTTTTTTTAGGTACTTCTCACATTCGTTCAATTTCAGAAAATATGGAGTTCCTAACTGGTAACAGATGATCAAATAATCAAAGAATTTTTTGGAACCAATTTTTTATCTTGGCTCCCCCCAGAGGCATATATAGTATAAAAATAGTTGTGACCTGAAAGTAATTGCTTATCCAGTTATTTAAATGAGCAAACGTAAAGTGTGTAAGAGAGTGCTTGGAGCAGTAGATTGTAAGCGATGGCCATTTGTTTATGGACTGCCAAGGCAGCTCCCTTGCTTTGGTGCACTTGTGCTGCACGGCCACCAGGAGGCAGACTATGTTTGGGAAAGAACTGAATTTAGTTTATTCCTGCAGCTTCTTGCTCTGCTGTTAAGAGATATCATTAACAATGTTTATTTTCAATATGTGTGGTTATAGCTTAATGTAATTCAAGTAAAAATGTTAATGAATCTGATTAATCGATGATTAGATGGTAATTTCTTCTTTTAGGGAGTCTAAAGAACTTCCCTTTTAACAAGGATAATTTAAGGCTGGGCGTGGTGGCTCACCCCTGTAATCCCAGCACTTGGGAGGCCGAGGTGTGTGGATCACCTGAGGTCAGGAGTTCGAGACGAGCCTGGCCAACATGGTGAAAACTCATCTCTACTAAAAATACAAAAATTAGCCAGGCATGGTGGCGGGCACCTGTAATCCCATCTACGGAGGCTGAGGCAGGAGAATCACTTGAACCCGGGAGGCAGAGATTGCAGTGAGCAGAGACTGCGCCATTACACTCCAGCCTGGGCAACAAGAGTGAAACTCCATCTCAAAAAACAAACAAAAACAAACAAAAAAGGATAATTTAGAATTTGCTGTTACTGAAGAAACAACAAACACAACCAAAAGAAAGAAAAACCACCTCCTACTATATGGAGTGGTGGCATGTCTGTTTTTAATCATGGCAAAATTTGACTCTGTTCTTCTGTTTGTTTTTAATGCTGATTGGTTTCTTGGTTTTTACAAGGTTTTGGGAGGTAGAGGAAAAGGTTCTGGTATATTTTTAGTATGTAGAATCTGGAAGGAAAAGGTGTTCAGGTTTTTTAATAATAAACTGGGATGAAGTAAAAGGCAACACCTAGAAGCAGCTGGCCTTGATTTTAATTCCTTGATCATTTAGCTTCAGTTGCTGTGGTGCAATGTATGTAGCAGGTTTTTCGTCAGTGTATGAACTAGGTGTATCTTTCTCACAGGAACCCTGGACAGGTTATTGGGTCTGTCTCTCTTGCTGACAACCTCTAAAATGGCAAGTTGGGGGCTTGAGTGAAGAGGGAGGGGGCTTGAGGGAAGAGAACTTATTTAAATTTTCTCTTCCTCCCTCTCTCTTCCCTGCTTCATACCCTACTCTATAGAATTTCTAAAAGAACTGCTTCCTGCTAGTTTTAATAGCACTTAATAGTGTTATTTATGGTAACAATTCTGCATTTATTTCTGAGTCTTATTTTCTAGGAAATCTTGGAAACAGGCATAGGACATTTTTAAAACATTGTTTTGTTTATAACATTTTTAAAAATGTTAAGAGCTCAGGCTATTCGTGGTTTAATGGAATTAGCTTAAGTGGGCATATTGTTGTTGTTAATTCTTATAACCATATCTTTGTTTTTCAAGTTCTTTTGGTTTTGCTATCATGTTTTAACATACTTTTACAAGCCACTCTACTGAAATAAAAATTAGTAGATAACTGGCAAAAGATATTCATAACTGTGCCCTCCTCACACTCCTAGTCTTGAAAGACCACTATAAGAGACCACATGATGTTCTATAAATGCAATTACTCATGCAATAAATGTAGTCTTTAGAATATGCCTATCTGATGGACTATTCTTCTGGAACTCTGATATTACATCTGATAGAGAAACCGTATTAATCTTTTACTGTTGATTATTTGTGAGGTCCTCAGCATGTGGGAATTAAAGTTGAACTTTAACCTTTTGACAATCTGTCATTAATATATTAGAATAGAAATTTTCTTAAATATTGTAGTTGAGAACATTTATTGCCTGAAGTCTTTAAAAAAAAAACTTTTCCAAAATACCAGGTTTAAATGTAGTTTACATGTAAAATATCTAGAGAAAAAATGCTCATGTTATCATTGTGAATATAAGGAGTGAAAAATGTTAAAATCAGGACACAGTTTACTTTCAGGAAATCCTAATTTTTTTCTAATTATGAAAGAAACATTAGGCACTTGAAGTAGTTAATTTCCCCTAGCGATCTTTCAAGTGGTTACAGGATCTGTGACATTATTGGTTGTTCTGTAAAGCTCCTGAGACCACCCACTTTCTCCTCCCCTTTACCATCTCGGATGAAAACCATAACAACTCCACAAGCATGCACAGTGTGATGTGGTTCAGAGGCAGCTTCTAGACCTGCAGGAGGGAGATTGTATTCAGAGGAAGAGCATCATTTTGGCAACATCTGAAAGTGAAAACGGAAGCCAGAAACACTTGGCCAGCCCTGGGGGATTTTTTTCTTCTATGCCTCTCTGGTGGAATGACATTTGCTGTGTAGGCATCTTTCCTCTGACTGTATTTCTTGGCCTTGAAGAGTACTGAGTTTAAAAAGACAGTATGTGACAGTCCATGGAAATTGCCTCTTCTGTGAAATCTCGCCACCTGCTCCGAAGACATGTTGTTGTCTCCCAAATTCTCCTTATCCACCATTCACATACGACTGACGGCCAAAGGATTGCTTCGAAACCTTCGACTTCCTTCAGGGTTTAGGAGAAGCACTGTTGTTTTCCACACAGGTCTGTCTCGCATAGATCTCTGTTTAGTGTTGCACGGGGGATGTCTTCATTAATTTGCAGATGTTTATCAGAGGTTTTTCCAAGGAGACAGATAATTGGAGGAAAAAAGCTCTCTCTAATGAGAGATGAGGCTTAATTTAAAAATTGTTTTCTGTTGCTTCAGCACAAGTGCATAGTACTTTTACTTTTGGCAGCAGATTGTGTTGTTTGTGTTGATGGAAGGCAGAATTGTTGCCTTGGTGTTCCCTAGCTCTTTTCTCCATCACCAGCCAAATGTGTGAAAATCAGCACCTGTTAAATTATATTTTAGTTCCAGTGTTTGGGAAATAGGACACAGGTAAATTTAGAAGAATATTTCCTGTTCGCCTGTGTAGATGAGAAGGTTCCCATCGTTTTTCATTGGATAGTTTCTCAGTCAGATTTGACAGTTAATTTTAATATGCTAAAAGATTTCTGTATACTAAACACTTCTGACAGAAAACATCCTAATGGTTATGGGGAAGTAGTAAGTGAATCACAAATCTAGTTTTCCAATCTTCATAATAAAAGTGTGTGCAGTCTCAAAATACTTCCCCTGAGGTTTATGTTTGTATCTGCTTATTATTTTCGGTGCCTAAGATGAAAATAAATTTAGTATATATTTTAGGCACGTGGTGACCTGTCTGCTCACTTTTAGGGCATTGGGTTGGCCTATGTTGCTACTTTTGTCCTAGATGATTTTACAGCTACAGTAAATTAAATCAGTTTTATTCTGTAAAATATGTTAGCTGGGGTGTTTTTATATTTGTTTTGGGCTGAATAGCGTTAGGTGTCACAGGAATGTTTGATGAGGATGTAAATAGATTTTTGTTTCTGCTTCATGTGCACGTGACCCCTCGTGTTTCTTATTTTCCACGTGGCTCATCTCTGTCCCTGGTGATTTGTTTTCAGCTGACTATTTTTAGTTTTCCCAGAGGCATCTCCCTTCTCTGTGGGAGAATTCTCATTTTTTCCAGCACCTCTCTCTCGTGTTTCATAACTCCCCTTGACCTGTCATTTGATTTTGCCAGCCTCTCCCTTTCAGTCTGAGCTGACGGTAAATGGGGGGAGGCAGCGAGGAGGAGGTCAGCAGTGGCCCTCCTCTCCCAGCTCAGGGCCGCTGCAGCCCTTCCAACTGAACAAATTAATAGGGGGGAAAAATAACAAAGGGTGCCCTATATTTGCAATAATTTGTCTGATCTAAAGTAGCTCCAAATAGCTTTTAATTTTAAAGAGTTCTTTTAAAAATACTGTAATCCACGCTCCAAGTTAAAAATCAAACAGTATGGAAGGTTGTGCAGTCCTAGGCAAGCCTCTCTCTTACCCAGAGTCCCTGTCTGCTCTCCGTGGAGACAGCCGCTCTCAGCTGCTTGCATAGTGTTCTTGCACGTTTCCAGTCACATGTAAATCTATGCAGGTCTTTTTTATTCTTTTTTGTTATACAGAAATAAAAGCGTACTATATATTCTATACCTTTTTAAAGTTAATGTGTTTTAGATTTGCATGTGATCACATGTTTATCTACCTCATTAAAAAAAATAGTTCTGTAACATTCCATTATTGGGTAAGTCATGATTTACTTAACCAGTGCTCTAGTAGTAGACATTCTAAGTTGTCTGTAGTGTTGTTGTGAAGCAGATAGCTTTCCAAGACAGCGTAAGCAAACGACACAAGGCTTCTATTACCAGGGTTTAGTTGATAGTGATGTATTGGACACATTTTATTTTCTAAACTTACGTAAAACTATTTTCTGTTTATTTGCAGTCATAATTTTTTGAGCTAGAGTTCACATAGAGGTGATCTAATCTGTCTTATACCAGGAAGTCTGAGGCCCAGAGAAGTGAATTCGCTTGCCCAGAGGCACACAGTAAGTGCCAGAGATAGGACTAAAACCTGGGACTTCTATTTAGAATTTTTGGCGTACATATTTTCCAGCTGCAAATTTTGCTGTAATTTTGTTAGATCCAAGGAATAGCAGGGATGGAGGAAGCGTTTTGTGTGTTGGAGGCTTTTTAAAATCATGTAAGGAATATAATTCTGCTTACTCCCAATATCAGTCTTTGATGGGCTTATCCATGTTATGTCATTTTAACGTCCGAGAAATCGTCCGTCAAGTGGGTAATTCATGCCGTCATGGTGACTCTTATCTGAATGGACTGTCAGCAGTAACTTGGGTTGGTATCCTTAGTGAAGGAAGTGGTGTTGGTTGCCTCAGTGCAGTGGTGTTGACCTGGATCCCAAGAGGCCTGGATTGTAGCCTTGATTCTGCTGGTGACCAAGTGAATAGCCCTGTGCACCTAACCTCACACGGCTACAAAATAAGGGAACCACAAGAGATGACTTCCAGGTTCCCCTTAGCCTCCAAATCTGTGAATTTCTGGCTGAAGATTTGAAAACCCTCAGTGTATTACTCTGCTTGGAAATTCATCTTATCTAAATGATTTGTCTCCTTATTTTTTTACCTCCTAAATTCAGTTAATACTCATGAATTATCTGTTTCTTTTCATGACACCATGTGTCTGGTCATCAAACCCCACCTTTGGTTTTTGTTGTTTTTTTGTTGCTTTGTTTTAGATGGAGTCTCGCTCTGTTGCCTAGGCTGGAGTGCACTGGTGCTGTCTGGGCCCACTGCAACCTCCGCCTCCCAGGTTCAAGCAATTCTGCTGCCTCAGCCTCCCGAGTAGCTGGGATTACAGGTGCCCACCACCATACCCGGCTAATTTCTTTGTATTTTTAATAGAGATGGGGTTTCACCATGTTGGCCATACTGGTCTGGAACTCCTGACCTCAGGCAATTCGCCTGCCTCAGCCTCCCAAAGTGCTGGGATTACAGACATGAGCTACCACGTCTGGCCAAACCTCACCTTTGAATCATTACTTGTCCTGATTTATCCACAATCAATTGGTTGAAAACTCTAAGACTCCATCATTTGAAATCTTGATTTGTTTTTACCACCTGCCATTACCCTAGTCCAGGCATTATCATGTTGAAGCATTGAAACTGCTCTTCCTGGCTGGTGCCACTGGCTCACACCTATAATCCCAGTACTTTGGGAGGCCAAGGGAAGAGAATCACTTAAGGCTAGGAGTTTGAGACCAGCCCTGGAGAGTTAATGAGACCCTGTCTCTATTTAAAAAACCACACACAAAAAATTAATAGGTAAAAAGTGGCCAAATATGAACACTTTTGTATAATAAGTCAAAAGTAGCCAAATAGGAACAGTTTTGTATAATCCAGCCTAAGATGTTGACTGGGCTTTCTGAAGAGCTTAGTATTTGGTCTGTGCCTCCAGCCTTTCCCTTGCTTCTAGACTGTCTTTCACATTACAGATTAATTCATTCGTTTCATAAAGAAGTACCCGTTAGATGAGTACTGTGTACCAGGCATAATGGTAGGTGCTGAAAGTATGACTGGGACTAAGTCCCACATGGACCCTGCCTTCACACAGCCCACTGTTTAACAGAAGGAGACAGAGCACCAGTTAATAATGCAGGGTGTGGACTTGTGCCCAAGCAGCTCTCAGCAGGTGGAGGTACCTTTAATCCAGGTCCTCCAGTAGAAGTGCCTTTTAAGTTGGGTCCTCAGGAAATGGAGAATTTACTAAGAAACAAAGTGTTTCCGACAGAGAAAACAGCATGTAAAAACCTTGAGGGGCTTGAGGAAGGGCTCCTTCAAGGAAACAAAGGAGTTGTAGTATTTCTGAGCATAGAATGTGGTGGGACGGGGGCTGGTCATTGTAGAGATCCGGCCAGAATAAGCTTTCTCATTGATCCCACGCAGAGGGCACTGGGCACTCTGATATATTATTACTGGGTGGTATCCATCACTGGCAAAGCGTGTTGTTGGATCGAGGTTATCTTTCCTCTTTAAACAGGGGAGAGGAGGAAAAGAGTGAATTTGTCAGGAACTGTGCGTGATGTTGCAGGACATTAGGCACAGATGAAAATCTAAGAAGTCCAGTGATGACGTCACTGACATGGAGAAGGGTCAGCAATAGTCTTTTTACCAAAGTATTAAACTCGGTCTATTTCGGAATTCTACCTCAACATATTAGTTCTATTTTTATAATGAGTTAGTGGAGGGAAAAGACTTTGCTAAGAAATATTCCCTGCCACTTAGCATTCAGTTTTTCTATGAAGCTGGAAATTCTTGTATTAATTGCTATGAAGAGTGCCATTTGAACCTCACAGGTTAATTTCCTTCTTGACTCCAGTGAAGGCAATTCAGTACGCTAAAGACAGAATTCTTTCTGCTGAGCTAGTGACATTAAAAGTGATTACTGCAGCGCAAGGGAGGAACATGTGTACGTACGTATCGAGGGATGGCAGAGGTAGTATCAGAACAAAATATTTCCATTTACTTTTGCCATTTTATTTTATTTTGAACTTTTAGGTTCAGGGGTACATGTAAAGGTTTGTTATATAGGTAAACTCATGTCACAGAGTTTATTGTACAGATTCTTGTACAATAAATAGTTTATTGTACAGATGATTTCATCACCCAAGTATTAAGCCCAGCACCCAAGTTATTGTTTTCTGCTCCTCTCCCTCCTCCTACCCTGCACCCTCAATTAGACCCCCATCTGTTGTTTCCCTTCTTTGTGTTCGTGAAGAGAACCGTTTTAAAGAAGTGTTCAGTAACAGGCAGGCAGAATGTGAATGCGTTTGTTTAATTAGGATGAAATTCATCAAATTATGTTCTCGCATTTGGTATTCACTTTTGACTCTTTTTAGATGGAATTAACAGCTTCACTAAGAAGCAACTTGTCTCACCTGAAGAAAAGCAGCTTTGAGGTTGTTCGGTGGCTCTGCCGTGTCAGGAATCCTCATCTCTGCTGTCTTCTTAGCCGTGTCCTCATGATTGTTGCCTCATGATCTCACAGTAGCTGCTCCAGGAAGGAAGAAAAAGAAATGAGGAAGGGGTGGTGCCAGGTCGCTTAAGCTTCCGTCTCATTGGCCGGGTCTTAGTCACATGACTCGACCTGGAAGGGAGGCTGGGAAATAGAGCGTGTGACTTCTCTAGTCTCTGTCCCACAGACAGGTATAAAATGTTATAAGAGCTCTATTGGAATATCTGCCACAGAGAAGGCAGAACAGGTATTTCTCAAGCGGATGTTGGCCGATTATAAATGAGGGGAGTGTATTATTTAACAAGTTGGATCTTGCAACAGGCCTTGCTATTTTTTCTCTATTCTATGCGTTTTGGAGGGGCATTGATTACCTGTGTGTAATGGTTCCATTAAACTTTCAAGTTATTTTGTCGTTTGGACGTAAGTCTTAACATTTGATTTTTGATCTCTTGAATGAATTTTCAGTTATAAAATACATTGGGAAGAATGTGTTCAACTTTAAATGTGGCTTTTGTATGCTTAATATGTTATTAGCGCATTTATGGATGTGTTATGGATTAGGAGGGCATTTATTCATGTACTGTTAAGGTGACAGTAAGTAAACTTCAATTTCTCTTGTGTTTTTCGTACTACAAAATGTAGACGTCAATGAAGCCATATTAGAAAGCTTCCATTAAAAAAAAACACATATATTAGCATTTGCGTGTGAAAAGGTAAAATTCAGGGATTTGTAGAATGTAGAAGAAATCAAAAGGACCAAGGTGAAGAAGAACGAGAGATGTAGTCTTTCACTGCCCCTTAGTTATCTTACTGTGAATCCAGATTCTTCCTTTCAGCCTCCTTGAAAGCAGTCATGAAAGATTTTGCTGGCCTCTTGCCACATAGACAAGCATTTGCTAAGAACTGGTGTGATGAATGGCATGATGCTGAAAACGTTTTGTCGTGGATTGATTCCAAGCTTCGGTAGCTGTGGCGGTTTTAGAGCTGTAGCTTTGCCGTGACATGAATATCTGCCCTTTTGTAGTTACAGCTTTCAATTGAAGAAGACAATAAAGTGTTGAATGGCAAGTTTTGCTCACAATAGGTAAGATTTTGATAAGTTTTTAAAAGTGAGATGTTGAAAGGGACAGTATGTCCTAATTTGACAAGTTTCAGATAACTAGAGTTTTACTACACTAAATTATGTTTTAATGTAGTATCTACTTTTACACAAAAATGGAAAGTAAGTAATAAATTACGGTTTAGAGTTGCATTCAGAATGGGAAGGATAGCAGTGTTTTTCATCAAGAGACACTGGAGGAATATGGCAAGCTGTATATAAGTAAATACTTGTTTTGTTAGAACAATTTATTCTGGTTAATTAATAGATAATTACCCTATAAATTAATGTAATGATGCTTTTTATGAGCTTTAAAGCCTCTTTCAGAGCTAAGAATAATATTTTATTAATAGTATATGCATATTATTTTCTTAGAAACACAACAGGTGTGATTTTAGAGGTATCTAATATTGAATATCATATTTCTGTATTTATCTTAGGCAATACTTTGGGTCATTTTAGTACACGAGGGTCCTTTTTATAAACATCAGCAATTATGTGGCTCTGTGGAAAATTAAGAGTAATAGAGCTTTCTTTTGGGGTGAGAGATTTGCCTTTTTTCTCCCTGGTGACCTGAGTCCTAGGCACGTTTCTTCCAAATTGCTTGTCGACAGTTTAGTATTTTGAGAATGATGTTCTCTTTTTATTTATTGTTTGTATTGTAAATATTTCTAATGTTTAATGTTTTAATTGGCTATTTTAATTTTCATTTCTGTTATAAGATAGTCTGTGTTTTTCTTTTCCTTTGGGAAGATACCCAGCAGTGGGATTGCTGGGTGAATGGTAGTTCTATTTTTAGTTCTTTGAGGAATCTCCATACTGTTTTCCATAGAGATTGTACTAATTCACAGTCCCACCAACAGTGTATAAGCATTGCCTTCTCTCCACATCTTTGCCAACATCTGTGGTTTTTTGACTTTTTGGTAATAGCCGTTCTGGCTGATAGGAAATGGTATCTCATCGTGGTTTTCATTTGCATTTCTCTGATGATTAGTGATGTTGAGCATTTTTTCGTATGTTCTACTTTTTCCATATGTTGGCTGCTTCTGTGTCTTCTTTTGAGAAACATCTGTTCATGTCCTTTGCCCATTTTTTATTGGGGTTGTATTTTTTCTTGCTAGTTGCTAGCGTTCCTTGTAAATTCTGAATATTAGATCTTTGTCAAATGCATAGTTTGCAAATATTTTCTCCCATTCTATAGGTTGTCTGTTTCCTCTGTTGACTGTTTCTTTTACTGTGCAGAACCTTTTTAGTTTAAGTCCCATTTGTCTATTTTTGTTTTTGCTGCATTTGCTTTTGAGATCTTAGTCATGAATTCCTTGCGTCGGCCAATGTTGTGAAGAGTTTTTTCTAGTTCCCTCCCCCCACCCAGGAATTTTTATTTTTTCAGGTCTTACGTTTAAGTCTTAAATCTGTCTTAATTTTTGCATATGATAAGAGATAGGTCTCCAGTTTCTCTGTTCCAATTTTCCCAGCACCATTTATTGAATAGGGTGTCCTTTCCCCATTGTATGTATTTTTGCTGACTTTGTCAAAGATCAATTAGCTGTAAGCATGTGGCTTTATTTCTGGGTTCTCTGTTCTCTTCCACTGATCTATGTGTCTATTTTTAGACCAGTGCCATGCTTTTTTGGTTGCTATAGGAGAGAGGCAATGCCTTCTTAAAAGTACTTCTGAATGTGGTGAATTTATATTAACTCTTCTTTGAGTTAGGAGTCCATTTTAGGTACATAAGAGTATGAGAAATTTGGTTTTTTCCTGCCAGCTATATGGAAAATAGTTTAGGGCAAGTTTGGACTGTTGCTTCAGGAAAAATTTTATAAGCGTAATTAACCCAAACAGGAATTTTTTATATGAATATGCTTTCTATTCTCGAATATGCTTTCTATTCTCTAATCTGCTTTTAATGTGAAGAAAAGAAGTAGAACCCTTTTTGATATAATATGAGCTATTGCAACGAATTCTACCAATATAGTAATGAAAAGTTTAAATGGTGAGGCATCCTAAATCCTCCTCCCTCCCCCTACAAATAATTGGGCTTGGCTTGGGGTTTTTTGTTTGTTTGTTTGTTTGTTTTTGAGAACGGAGTCTTGCTCTGTCACCCAGGCTGGAGTGCAGTGGCGTGATCTCGGCTCACTGGAACTTCCACCTCCCGGATTCAAGTGATTCTCCTGCCTCAGCCTCCCGAGTAGCTGGGAGTACAGGCAGGTGCCACCACACCCAGCTAACTTTTTGTATTTTTAGTCGAGATGGGGTTTCACTGTGTTAGCCAGAATGGTCTCAATCACGTGACTTTGTGATCTGCCCGCCTTGGCCTCCCAAAATGTTGGGATTACAGGTGTGAGCCACCGCACCCGGCCTGGCTTGGGTAATTCTAAATGTCTAAACACTGTGCTTTGCTGAGCTTAAAATTTTCCATTTTCAGTAAATGCCATGTCTACCTAGAAATAGAAAAATATTATATGTAAATAGAAAAATATATGTCTCCTAAATTATTACTGTTAACTCTTTTAGAGTAAACAGCTAATGAACACTAGAAAACTTTATACAAACATAAACTAATAATTGACATGAATGGTAACTTTAAAAAACTGTATGTAAGATTGCATAGGCAGGATAAGCACCTGCCACCAGATGCTGGGGAAACTGACTGAAAGAACTTCTGTGTCAGTGTCCCTGTGAGGGCTTTTAGATGTGTACGATTAGATTAAGGCAGAAAAAAGGGAATTTTCTGTCTGTCCATGCCGCTAGCAGAGAGAGACCTCTCACTAGCTTCTGAGTTCATAACCTATGTTTTGTCAACCCACAAACATCGGTTTTTAATGCAATATGTTGTAGAAAGGACTTACCATCCAGTCAGTGACTGTCACCTTTTTACAGATAGGTTGAGATTTGGAGTTGAAGAGCTGAGCACTAGGGAAACATGAGTCAGCAGAGATCTTTGGTGTCTTTGTGCCTCTCTGAGCAATACCACCCTCTTATGTGATACTTCTCCTGTCCCCGCAAAGCACCAGGGCAGGTGCACACCCACCACAGCAGTGCCCTCATGGTAGATTTTAATAAATATATTTCATGAGTGAGTGAGTAGGTCAGTGAGTATACACAAAAGTGGACAACGTTCGTTTCCAAATTCTGTGTTTAGTTTGTGTTTCACGGAACCCAAGGCAAACTCCCTCAGTAGGTCTGGTCTCTAACTTGATTTTAATAATTGGAAAAGCCAGCAGATTGAGGAAATGTGTGGCTTCTTCAGCCTAGAATGAATGTGTCCTCAGCTGCTAGTATGTGGTTACGGTTAGTCCATGTCTTAATGGTTAGGTTTTTCTCTCAAAATTGTTTTTGGTCTTGGGATTTGGAGGTCTATTTGCCTAAGTGATTTGAGCCTGAGAAATGGGCATCTTCCTCATTAACCAACTACTTTCTTTAAGAAGATGATACATGACTTCATTGCACTAGTTTTAAATCTTATTAAATTGAGGTTTCTGAATAGAAAGAACAAAGATAGCCAACAGGGTCATCCAGCTGCTTTCCAAATGAGCAAATGTCTTTGGTTCTGGCCTTCGTTTTCCTGATGGAGGCTGCCATTTCATTAGAATGAGTCCCAGTAAGGCTGGATCACAGCTGATGGTGGTAATTATCTTGTTGAGATAAATCTGAATCGATATAGAAGTTGACGTTTAATTTTAAGGTTTCTGATTAAATTGGCCCTTTAAAATCAGAACATGTTCTGTTAATAGGTACAGTAAACAAAATAATTTATACTTCTGTATAAAACCTTTGTTATCAAAACAGTAACATGCTAATAAGCAAGGGTAAGGGCAAAGTTTGGCTGATAATATGCTAATTTCACGTTAGTAATGAATCCTGCAGGATTTAAGGGAACCCCTGGCTTTTCAGTACTGTGAAGTACGTATTGATGAGCCTTGGGGTTTTGAGCGTCATTGGAGATTTTTGCATCATCTCTGATCTTCAGCTGAGCCAGGAGTGCTGAGAGTGGGAAGCATGTGGAAACTGGGTCATCGGCTGCCATGCGGTCACACTTCATCCTTAGGGAGCACAGTATATGGAGCGGAAGATGGTGACTGCACAGCACGAGTTTCCAGCGCCACGGAGAGGGCAGTCTGTTGGCTCATTTGCTCTCATTTTAAAATTTGAAGACACGTACTCTTAGACGAATACATCAATGTGTTCTTTCCTCCTTAATCATAAAGCTATCCTGAGTAATCACTTACAAACCCTGCGTAATGTTTAGATTCCTGTGTAGTTTCCCCAAGGAAAAATTCTGCATAGACTATTTCCTTCATAGCTAAGTATTATATAAAAAATGTATGTCCTCGAATTTCACTTTAACTGTCTGTTAAAAGTGATTTTATTTACTTCTTATATTTAACTTTTGAATAGGTAATATATTTACCCCATGGTTAAAAAGTATAAAAAATGCTTCAGGATACTTTTTAGCTGTCTGATTCCTATTACCTTCCCTTCAAAAGTAAACATTGTTAGTACAATTACATGTATTCTGTGATATTTTTGTTACGGATTTATAAGCAAAAAGCAAGAATCTTGAAGAATATTTTCTCCAAAATATTAATATAAAAGACTCACCTCTCAGATTTTGTAAATAATTATAAACCAACAGTTTTAAAGCTCTGAAATTGTGTTAAAAATAGCGTTGATTAGCATAGAAATTCTAGAAAGAGAGGCAAATGTTACTCAGGACTCAGGAAATGATAAAGGAGTTATCAATAAATGAATTTTTAAGTAAGTTTCGGTAGGACATATACAAATGATATCAGGAGAATGAACTGTGTCTATATTTGTTACAGTAAATTCTAGATAGTGAAAGAATTTGAACATTTTTGTTTATAAAGTTATATAACACATAGATGTTTATATGTAGGTTTGTTAAAATGAGTTATCAGATAATGGGCTTATATGTATTATAGCAAGATATTATTACATTTGTTGCATAAATATTTATTTTTATGTATGTCATATATTACATCACCACCTAATCCGCTTTCCAAAATGTGTGGGAACAGAAGAGGCTTAGCATCAGAGGCCTGGGTTCTGACTTTGAATCTGGATTCCCATAGAAGTTGTCTACATCCAGGGAAGACATTCACACCTGTGAGCCTTCTCTTCCCTATCTGGGGTTATTGGGAGGATGAAAAGAAAGGGAAAGTGAGAGCACACTGTGATGAGCGAAACACTGTGGAATTGTTATGTGTTATGTGACAATTTCTAAAAACATTTAGGAAATGACATGAAAGAATGCTAATCTCATGGTCAAATATTTAGATTATTTTTCATTAGTATGTAACTAATAATTTGTTCTTCCTTCAGGGCTGTAATATTACGATATTAACTTGGCTATTTTCTACATCTATGCAAGTGACAATTATTCATAAGCTACTACTAATAATTGCTAATAATAAAGAGTAATGGATAAATACTTCCTCTCATCAAGTATTACAGAGACACAGTGGGACAATGGATATTTTAGTGATTTTAGAACTGAGAATTATCAAGTATTAATACAAATATGACTTATTTAACCATGTAATGCAGCCATAGAAAATAAGAGCCTTTTTTTCCCTGTTTTTAACTTAGTTTATTCAATATATTTAGCCATTTGTTCTTAGAAAGTGAGTACTGATGTTTCTTTAAGCAATCACTGTAGTAGCTTGCCTTTTCCTGAAAAATTAGAGACAGTAATTACTAAATTTCTTTAAAAGTTGTTTCAGATTTGCTACCACAGAACGTGGATGCTGTAATGAAAGACTGTTAGAATAAGGAAACTTTTTTTTTTTTTTAGTTTCTTGTGTCTTTTTTCCAGATTTACATTTGTTTGGATTACTTGGCTTGTTTATTTCAAGAACCTAAGCAATTGATGTCCTGTTTTTCCAATTCTGTTTGATATTCAAAATGACACATTTGGAATGGTTCCAAGACTGAACAGTTTTTTATTTAAAACAGAGTAATACCCAGGGCACCATTGCACAGGAAGGGAATAATCACTTAGCGTGGCATTTTGGGTGGATTTGGAGTGTTAGCATGTGCTTTAAAAAAAAACTGTGTAAGCCGTTATTACTACTTGGGAAAAAAGACCAACAAAGCTTGTGTTCGATAGAAAATGGAATAGTATAGTCAACAGTATAGTACTCCTAACAGTGAACTTAAAGAGGCAAAATCTGAGTATATTTTCGATGTATGTTATGATTTATTAGAGATTAGGAAATGACTCATCTGCGGTATAAATCTGTGTAATGGCTAGGCCATCATCAGGGAAAAGGTAAAAGATTTGTAGAAAATGTATGGGAGGAGAGAAAGGCATTTAATTTAAAGTCCAGTGATTTGTGTGTTCCTTTCAGCATATGAGATCAGAAAAGTCAGGCTTCTCTTCAGTCAAGGTTTCTCTACCAATTTAACTGGAAAATGAGAAACGAGGAGAACAACATTTTGCACCCAGTTTTTGTGTTTCTGGGTTGCCAAATCCATTTGTGTCATGTTCCTAATTCTCTGTTCCCCATAAATCTTTTAAAGTCATAAATGAAGCCACGGTCCCTGTTCATGAATTCCAACCGTCTAGATCTCCGATTCATTCCAGTTCTCATCCATATGCATTCCTTACAGCAACATAACTTAAATGGATTTCTGTGGCTTATCTGGTTGTTTTTGAATCCTTGTGGTGGTGATTTTAAAAATTAACCTCACCTATCTTTGTACCTATGTTAATTCGTTTTGCAGTTGAAAAGAGCAGGCAAAAGAATCCTCGAAGCTTATGTATCCAGCCACAGACAGCTCCCGATGCGCTGCCCCCTGAGAAAACACTTGAATTGACGCAATATAAAACAAAATGTGAAAACCAAAGTGGATTTATCCTGCAGCTCAAGCAGCTTCTTGCCTGTGGTAATACCAAGTTTGAGGCATTGACAGTTGTGATTCAGCACCTGCTGTCTGAGGTAAGGAGGTGCATCCTAGAAAGAGCCTTTCTACTTGAGGTCGGGGGAGCACGGGGAGGACTTGCTCACACGCTGGCCTTGGGAATATCTAGGTAAATGATGGGAAAGATCAGGTGTCATTCATCCCATTACATTTTTGTCACTTCACCAGATACTTGAGTCGGTCTCTAGCAATTTGGGATGGAAACATTTTCTCACTTCCTTTTTTTCCCCTAGAGTCTGTTGGTTAGAATGGCAACAGCAAAAAACATAATTGCCTCTTACGCCGGTGTATGCCTCTAGACCTAAACTAGCATTAGCATTTTTTTCACTTAATTTGTGTGTTTGTCTGTGTGTAGCTTTTCATATCACACTTAGTTTAATGCTTTGAAAAATGACGTTAGTTATATTTATGGATTAAAGAGCACTTTTGAGTTAACTCCCTGAATCATATCTGGGGATTCTTTCTGAAAGTTCTGTTTATTCCTAAAACAATCTCTGTGGTGCAACAAAAGCAAAGCAGATTTGCCGTGTTGTTACTTTTCCCTAATATTCTTCAGGGATGTTATTTCAGGAACTGGCTAAAATTCATTGAGAAAACCAAGTTTATATCAACATGTTACTGACATAGCAATAAAAGCTGTAATTATCTCAGGGGGCAACTGATAAGAATACAACTTGAGCTCTTCAGACATTTTTTAAATCACAGTTTTAAAGATGGCTATACATGATAATGCAAAGGGGAAAAAAAAAGACTGGCTCAGTACTGTGGCTCATGCCTGGAATCCCAGCATTTTGGGAAGACGAGGAGGGAGGATCGCTTGTGGTCAGGAGTTCAAGACCAGCCTGAGCAACATAGGGAAAAAATAAAAATTAAAAGCAAAAAGAAAACTGTTCAGTTTGGTTGTTCTGTAGTTTTGTTCAGATCAACAAACCTGTCCTGGTTTCATACAGAGGCCCCTGTAATATGGCTGCCTTTTTAGGGAGTGGGGAGAGAGAGAAGTGGATGAGACTTGGTCTGTGCCTTGGAGAAACTACCAGACTAGTAGACAGTTTCAATGAATTCTCTTTTTTTTTGAGACAGACTCTCACTCTGTCGCCCAGGCTGGAGTGCAGTGGCGCCATCTCAGCTCACTACAAGCTCTATCTCCCGGGTTCATGCCATTCTCCTGCCTCAGCCTCCCGAGTAGCTGGGACTGCAGGCACCCGCCACCACGCCCGGCTAGTTTTTTGTATTTTTAGTAGAGACGGGGTTTCACTGTGTTAGGCAGGATGGTCTCGATCTCCTGACCCTGTGATCTGTCTGCCTCGGCCTCCCAAAGTCCTGGGATTACAGGCATGCGCCACTGCGCCCAGCCTTAATGATTTCTTGATGAGTATTTTACAGCTTTCTCCAGATTTTTTTGTTTTTGTTTTTGTTTTTGTTTTTTTTGAGGGGAAGTTGGAGACTACTTAGGGTTTTAGTAACGGTAATAGTATATGGTATTTTTGTTTCTCTTTCATTTGTAAGAAAGGAATCAAGAGTGTGTTTATATAACCAAGTAAGCTAACTAGAAACTGTATACTATCAAATGTGGGGAACAATTAGTTTTTATGTTTAGAAATAAACCAATTATTTTATTTTATTATATCTAGCCTAATAGCCCCCATCCTCAACTGTTTTCTCTCCTTTCATCCTCCTCATGACGTCAGTCAAGTCCTGTGAACTCTCATTTCACAGTGCTTTTCCCCTTCCTATGTCTTTGCTGTCCCCATTCATGCCATCCTTGCTCAGACCCTGGATAGCTTCCACTAGATCATGATAGCAACTTTTTTTTTTTTTTTTTTTTTTGGGATGGAGTCTTGCTCTGTCACTCAGACTGGTATGCAATGGCGTGATCTGGGCTCACTGCAACCTCCACCTCCCGGGTTCAAGTGATTCTCCTTCCTCAGCCTCCCGAATAGCTGGGATTACAGGCACCCGCCACCATGCCCGACTAGTTTTTGTAATTTTCTAGTAGAGACAGGGTTTCACCATGTGGGCCAGGCTGGTCTTGAACTCCTGACCTCAGGTGATCCGCTCACCTCGGCCTCCCAAAGTGCTGCAATTACAGGCGTGAGCCACTGCGCCCAACCTGTGATAGCACCTTTTTAACCAATCATTAGGCTTGTACTGTTTCTCACCTATAATCCATCCCAAGCACTGCTGACAGCGTCCTCTTACCAAAGCATCCCACGCTGCTGATTAAATCTTCCAGTGGTTCTCCCTTATCTACAGCTGATGTGTCCAGTGTGGTAGCCACTAGCCATATGAGACTGAGCATTCGAAATGTAAATCCGTTGAATTGAGATGTGTGGTAAGTGTACAATACACTTGGATTCCAAAAACTTAGAATGAAAACAAAGGATGTAAAATATCTCATTAACAACTTTTATATTGAATATATTGAAATATTATTTTATATATATATTTGGGTTAAATAAAATACGTTATTAAAATTAGCTTCATCTTTTTCAACTTTTCTCAGCGTGGCTACTAGGAAATTTATAATTACGTAACTCATGTTATTTTGTTTTGGGGAGTCTGGTTTTCAACTGGTACTATAAGGCTCTTTATCATTTGGCAACAACTGCCCCTTTTAATGTTATTATCATGCCCAGATGCTGTAGCCGTACATAAAGAGATGGAGGAGAAGCAAGAGGGATTTATTGAATACTAGGTTTGAGCAAAAGTAATTGCGGTTTTGCCATCATGCCAAAAGCTACAGTTACTTTTGCACCAGCCTAATATTTACTAAGTGCCAGATATTCTTACTTACCTTATTTAAATCCTCACCAAAGACACGAGTTGGAATTTACAAATATGAAAATTGAGGCATAGAGTTAGGTAATTTGCCTGCTATCAGACAGCTAGCAAGAGGAGAACCAGGACGTAAACCTAGGTCTAGGAAGCTATCAACTAAAAATGTCCTGTAAACTTCCTGTACGTCATCCATTGTTCACGTATCATTACTGGGTTGCTGTCCTTGCCCACAATACCTACATGTTCAGGTCGGTTTTACAGCAGCATCACATCACCACTTGCATTTAATTTACATAGATTCAGTACACAAACAACTGAAGGAAGAAAAATGCAGGCCGGGCGCTGTGGCTCACACCTGTAATCCCAGCACTTGGGGAGGCCAAGGCGGGTGGATCACCTGAGGTCAGAAGTTCGAGACCAGCCTGACCAATATGGTAAAACCCCATCTCCCCTAAAACTACAAAAATTAGCCATGTGTGGTGGCATGTGCCTGTAGTCCCAGCTACTCGGGAGGCTAAGGTAGAAGAATCACTTTACTTTGAGAGGTGGAGGTGGCAGTGAGCCAAGATCGCACCACTACACTCCATCCTGGGCAACAGAGCGAGATTCCAACTTAAAAAAAAAAGAAAAAAAGCAAATTAAATGAAGAACACAAGTCCACCTTGTATTCCCCCCAGTGAACGAAGGCCCGGGAGTCAATTTGAGATGAAGGTCAGGAGTCCACCCTTCCTTCATGTGTCTGCTCAGTCCCCGAACACCTCTTGTGGCGTGAGCATTCTATACTCTCTGCTATCTTAGTGTTTAAAGATACTTTTCCCTCATGCAACCTGGCCTCTAAACACAAGCCGAGGCCTTTATCAGGTGCTCAGTTATAGAGAGAGTTGATCCAACGCTAGAGGAAAAAAATTCACTGGGTTGGATCTACAGAGAGATGCATTGTCCACAAACATGGCAAGCTCCTAGTGAATTTCCCAGACAATTGTACTGTGTGTGAATTTCACCTTATACTTAAATTTAGGTCCTGACAGCCAAGGAATTGTGACTGCACTGAATACAGCTCCAGAACCCGCTTTTTTTTTTTTTTTTTTTTTTTTTTTTTTTTGCGACAGTGGCCTTGCTCTGTCACCCAGTCTGGAGTGCAGTGGCGCAATCTCAGCTCACTGCAACCTCCGCCACCTGGGTTCAACCAGTTCTCCTGACTCAGCCTCCTGAGTAGCTGGGATTACGGATGCCCACCACCATACCCAGATAATTTTTGTATTTTTAGTAGAGATGAGGTTTCACCATGTTGGCCAGGCTGGTCTTAAAGTCCTCACCTCAAGTGATCCACCTGCCTCGGCCTTCCAAAGTGCTGGGATTACAGGCATGATCCACCACTCCCAGTCCAGAACCCACTCAGGAATGATTTCCTGGCCTTCTAGATCTACGTTCTGTTCCCGTCTGGATTCCAGGAGCATATATGCTTCTCTTTCATTGTCTGTGTTATATTAGAGATACCGGTTTAATGCTTGTTTTTGCTTTTTAAGACAGGAAATTTACTGAAGGCAGGATCTGCATCTAGTTCTTTCTTATGAAACCACCCCAGCAGCTTTAATAGTCAACACAGTATATATGTGAGTGAACATATGAACGGAGAGGATGGAATTCCAGATGTAGGATGAGCATAAAGTCTTATGTAAATGTTCTTTGCTCTCTTTATTTTATAATCAGCAAATATTTACTGATTGTGTAATGTATACTGAGCACTATTATAAAACAGTTGGAGGCTAGGCATGGTGGCTCACACCTGTAATCCCAGCACTTTGGGAGGCTGAGGCGGGTGGATCGCTTGAGGTCCAGAGTTTGAGACCAGTCTGGCCAACATGGCGAAACCCTGTCTCTACCAAAAAATACAAAAATTAGCCAGGCATGGTGGCATGTGCCTGTAGTCCCAGCTACTCAAGAGACTGAGGCATACGAATCGCTTGAACCCAATAGGTGGAGGTTGCAGTGAGCCAAGATCGCACCACCGCACTCCAGCCTGGGTGACAGTGAGACCCTGTCTCAAAAAATAAATAAATAAATAAATAAATAAATAAAATAAAAATAGTTGGAGAAAAAAAATCATGGGTAAAGTTAAACAATTTTAAAAACTCCCTTAACCTTTTAGTTCCCATTCCCATTACAGAAGTATATATACTGTGTTTATACACACACACACACACACACACGCGCGCGCACACATGCATATGTATATAAAATAGATACAGATACACATTGTATACATATACATTATGTATGTTTTTTATATACATGATATACCTATACATTGTATGTCTATGTATTTTTATATATGTATAATATATAGGTATTTGTGTGTGTGTGTGTATATATATTTTTTGTTATTGCTAACCTTTTCTAAATGGCTTTAGAGCCTTCGATTATGGGTGAAAATGGTTAAGAGAATCTTGCAACTACCATGCTTTTGTTGCAAGTCTACTTAGTAACTATAAGTTTCCCACTGTAGTGGCAGACATATTTCATTACATATCAGACATTCTTATATCTCATGAATCTGAGAACTAATGTCACACTCTGTTTCGCAGAAGACACACTAAAGTTATTTTAGTTTTTTTCTAATTCTTGGTTTATCCTTGCTTAGTTAGACGGTATTCTGCACAGACAGCCAAAGTGAACAACAGTATTGATGGTAGTAATTAAGCTTCTTCCTAAAAGGGTCTATTGGGTGGCTTTCTAGGTAAACTTGAACAGGGCTGAGGTCACCCTCCCCAAACCTCTAATTCTTCAAAATGCCTCCACATCTTTTTTTTTTTTTTTTGCAAGTGGAATTTAACCTAAAGTAGCACCTGAACAAAGGTGAATTTTGAATGGCACTAGCAGTAAAGTTGACTTGGAACAAAAAAACATAGATGCATTGAGCAAATTCACTGTGTGGGTGATGGGGAGGAGGTCAGATGCAGCACACGTCTGAGCCATCTGATGTGGCTATTCTCTGCAAGATGCTCTATGCTGTTGATGCTACTCAGTGGCTAGCAAAAATGCAGGCACACCGATGGGACCACAGCCAGAGACTAAGTGCCTGTGTCCCAGGGACTCCTAATTCAATTATGGTGAATCCATTTTTTTTTTCTTGAGCATTTCATATATTTAATGCCTGAGCATAAAGGCATCTTTATATCCAGATTTCCACCTTTCTCTTTTTTCACATTGTGTGTAATTCTGCATGTTACAATACAAAGAGAATTGAATCAACCTGTTATCTAGACGGTTAAGAGTTTATCATCTAAGAGAGAAACACTGATCTAGGAGCAGCTGAGTAAAAAGAAACAGTAAATCAGTATCTAAAGGACATAATGCATTTTATCATCTACAAGTAAAGGGTAAGTACATGTAAAGGCCAAGCTACCAGGGAGAGTCAGGCAGAAACTAACCCTTAGTATGTGTCTTTTACAGTATGGGCACTGGGGTCAGCATTTCATCTATGGATGGTATTTAAAGCCCTTGGTTTTTTTCATTACTGCTTCCCATCCGATGAGGTCATCTGCCTTGATAGATGACCAAAAGAATTGAGCCTGGATGTTCTAGTTCTAGGTAGGCCCCATGCTTCTTGAAGGCAGGGACCATGTCTTAAATTTCTTTTATATTTTCACAGCATCTGCTATGAAAAATGCTTAGTTAATTAGTTTGAAGTAATAAGTTACCAACCAATTTAGAAGGGTAAATGGTCTATGCATTTGGAGGAGGGGAATGGTGTCACATTACAAGGGAAGAACCAACTGACTTTTGCACAACCCATTTAGACAAAGAGTGAAAGATGACCTCAAGGTTTTCCTGTTACTGTTACTGTGCCTGACAGAGGTTGGAAGATGTCAGTAGTTTCTGAGGCATTAAGGACAGGAACGTGGAGTGCAGTGGAGTTGAAGTTTGGGGAAATGTCGACATGCTTGGTGAAACTCCCTTTCCCAAAACCTCCCTTAATAAGCAAAAATATCACCTGGTGTATTTTTGCAGTAGAACATAATGATTTCACACAATTTTTCTTTGCAGTTATACTAACTGTAATTTTTAATTTCTTTCATCCTCCCATTAGTTTCCATAAATTTGAAAAATGATTGAATTTTCTTGCCATCTCTTCCTTCTGTTAGTAACTTGGTTACTACTGAAAAGTGAATTTTAAGCAAGTTCACCAAATGAGTTTCAGGATTGTTTGTGGGCATTTAGTAAAGCTGTCTTGTTTTTCCTGTTACTTGAGTGGTAAAGCTTCCTGGTGTTTACTTGAAGTAGATTACTAAACAAAATTCAGGCTTAAATTTGATATTACGAGAAGTATTTATGATACATATTTTTATGTTTTTCTTCCATTATTATGCGGGCTGATTTTCCTCAGGCTTTAATTTCTACATTAGAAAACCAATTACTTATTATTTTAAGAAACTCTGACTCACTGGTGATTTCAGAACAACTTAATGCCATATTTTTAAAAACCAAGCATTTAGAATACCATTGAAGCCAGAAAGGTACTCAGTGAAAAGTGGGTCTTAAATCCCAGTCCCTGCTGACCACGTTTCAGTGCTGGCGTTTAGACTTGACTTCCGTAGCTCTTACTGAGAGGTGAGAACAAAGTAAAAGTTAAAAATATATGGGATCTCCAACTCTCAGATCAGCACTTCAGACTTATTTTGAAACACCTCTCATTTCATAATGTCATTTAAATTTGTAAACGACAGCATGCCCCTTTCCTTGCTCTTCACCTAGTTCATAACCTCATTTAGTATATGGGCTTCGAAGAACAAGTTTCCCTTTTCTATTAGTAAGTGTGATCAAATAATGACCACAATTAGAGAGGGGAAGAAAAAGGCTCACAAGTCTAAAAATAACTCCATTATCCATGCAGAGGGGGTCAGTTTTTTCTTTCCTCCGTTGCAGCTGATATTTAACTAAATGGCAATCGATCAGTCTAATGCCTGCCTCTCGTTTTTCATAAATGAAAGGCTGTGGCTTTAAGTAATCACAGGCTGCCTGTGCCAAAGGCAGAAGCTGCAGTATCAGCTTCTGTGAGTGAGGAATCCGAGGCACACGGTAACCTGCAGGACATGAAGTAAGACGCCCGAGGGCCAATGGCGCGCCTCCTGCTAGAGCTTTGAATGTAGACAGACCCGACTGGTGGGTGGCGCGGCCACCTGTATGCTTCTTGCACAGTGCGAGGGGTGGGGGGACTTGGAGACAGAAGCTGGAAAATGGGCTGCCCCAGCAGCAAACTGTGCCTCTATTCTCCATGTGCAGCAACAAGGGTAATTAGTATTTGTTTATAGTGCTTTTCTGGAAGAATGTCAGGACTACTGCAGAGGCTGTCTGGAATTCAGGGAAAATGCTTTGAATGACAAGCAACTCTTGCCTGCAAAGGCCGGGTCTCATGATCTCTGCAACGCTGTGATCAGGATGTGGTGGGAGCTCCGTCTTGGGTGATCCTCGTGAGGGCATTTTTCAGCGAGCTTTGAAATTCTTCATTTTTTTTTTAGTTACTCCCTGGTGCTAGGGAATCTACCTTTTAAGGAACTGTATGTAATTACTGTATTTGTGTAAGTATGTGTGTATGTGTGATTGCCGGGAGTTGCTGGTAACTTGAACATTATTCTTCAGCTCAAGGTTGATACTTGCTTCTCTGATACTAAAAACAGCCATCCGGTTTTCTTTGGTTTGTTTCTCTAACATCGATTTAGAATTATCACTGATCCAAAATATCATAATCCTTAGAAAATGGTATGTAGCTGAAAAAAATTAATTTAATTTTGTCTTTAAAGGATTATCTTTCTGCTATAGCTTTCTAACAAACTTTTTGTCTTTCTTTTAGAAGGATTGGCATTGTAACGAAACTTTTTTATGTGCAAATATAGGACAAAGTGCATATATGTGCTTATGTTTAGAACATTAAATATTTATCTTAAACTGATTAGATGTTTATTGCCCTTGGAGGAGGAGAACGCATTACATCTTAAGTACAGTATGCATTAGCCGAAAGGTTCTATGGATCAGCAGTGAAGCACTGGCTCAAAGTAAATATTTCTAAATGGGCCATTCACTGCGTCAAACCAAAGTTTCACTGGGACCTGCAAAAATACAGATTTTTGAATTACGAATTTCCTTAACAGCTAAGGGACAACTGTGTTTCTTTTAACAACACAAATTGTTAGCCTAAATGATTCATATCTTGGCTTCCCAATACTGGGTCTCATTTTCCTAGTGATAACAAATGTGTACCTTACTGAAAGGGACCCTCTTGAAAGCATGAGTAACTTGATGTGTGTTTTCCGCAGCGGGAGGAAGCACTGAAACAACACAAAACCCTATCTCAAGAACTTGTTAACCTCCGGGGAGAGCTAGGTAAGAGCTTTTTGTTGTTGTTGTTAAATTTTATGGGACAAGGGGAACACTGGAAAATGTGGTTGTCCTGTCTGCGTTGTGGCTGGAGTTGCATGCTGGGAGCTGTTGGCACTCCCTGTCTAGTATCTGGGCAAACACTTACTATCGACATTTCTTTTGAATCTTGGCAGCTTGACCTTCAGTTCACAGAATTCCTGGCACTGATCTGACTAAGCCTAGCAGAACTTCTGATGAGCAAAATATTTCTCTTGCTGAAGAGAGGGACAGAGTTATTTTTGTAATTGTGTGAATTCCTGTTAAATAATGTTGTCATTTTTTTTTCTGAAGCACTTTTCATATGAGAATAGTGAAAGTTTCCCCTCTTGATAAACAGTAAATCCGTTGTACTTCCAAGGGTTGGTTTGTGAGTAGTGAGTATGAAGTTGAAAGGATGCTGTCCATGAAGGCAACTTGGCTGAAAAAGGCACGTTCTATGCTAATCTTACTATTTGGAGGGGGGCTGATGGTTCACCACCTCCCCGCTCCACAGGGAGCCCCACGTCTCAACACCTACCACCCAGCCCTGCAGTTTACATGTCTCAACACCCACCACCCAGCCCTGCAGTTTCCAGGTCTCAACACCCACCACCCAGCCCTCCAGTTTCCAGGCTACGCTGTTATTTTAGTTCCATTCTCTCCTGGAAGCCCTTAGGGTTCATGGAACAGACACGACACTGCCTTTGCTTTGTTTTGCTTTTCTCTTTTCTGTTTCTTTTTCTTTTTTTTTTGAGACGGAATCTTGCTCTGTCACCAGACTGGAGTGCAGTGGTGCGATCTCGACTCACTGCAACCTCCGCCTCCCGGGTTCAAGCAATTCTCCTGCCTCAGCCTTCCGAGTAGCTGGGACAACAGGAGCACACCACCACACCCAGCTAATTTTTGTATTTTTAGTAGAGATGGGGTTTCGCCATGTTGGCCAGGAGGGTCTCCATCTCTTGACCTTGGCCTCCCAAAGTACTGGGATTATAGGTGTGAGCCACCGCACCCAGCCGACACTCCCTTTTCTACGTCAACTCGTATCTTGGAGTGATCTGACCGCTTTGGGGTTCTTCTCTCTGCCCTGGGCTCCTCAACCTAGAGAATCAACTTCCTGCTTCAGCTTCAGCCAGATCTGGAGCTGACCATTCTAGGGCTTATTTCCTTGCCCTTTGCAGTTTTCTGTGTGTGTTACAGTCTCCACCAAAATATGCCCAGGTATGTTGTATGAATAATGCAAGGTAACATCCAGAGAAGCAAATTGTGTTCACCCAACTCTAGGAGAAACTGCCCTTTTTTCTTTTGGACAAGACCACACTGCCAACCTGATTTGCTGGATTTGAACACTCTTAATTCTCCCACCTTCACCACAGCAGAAATCAAACGGCAGTGAACGTGGGGTCAAGACTTTGTCTGGGCTGGGTGTGGTAGCTCACACCTGTAATCCCAGCGCTTTGGGAGGCTGAGGTGGGAGGATCACTTGAGGCCAGCAGTTTGAGACCAGCTTGAGCAATATAGCAAGACCCTGACTCTACAAAAAATAATTTAAAAATCAGCCAAGCATGGTGGTGTGTGCCTGTTGTCCCAGCTACTCTGGAGTGTGAGGTGGGAAGATTGCTTGAGCCCAGGAGTTCGAGACTGCAGTGAGCTGTCATTGTGCTGCTGCCCTCCAGTCTGGCCAACAGAGCAAGACTCTGTAAAAGACTTCTCTGCATTCATCTTCCCTTTTCCCCTTCCAGTGGGAGGTGAGGCCAAATCCCTGACTAACCGTCCAGATTCTTAATACCTAGCCAAGACATCAGTCCTCACTTTATTTTAGGCTGTGGAAATGAAGGCCTCTTTATGGAAAAGTAATTTTAAGACAGATGGAAACTTCAGAATCCCAAAGACTTGAGAGTTCTGGTGAAACAGTTCAAGGAAATCCCAGCTGAGAGACAGCCCAGCTCTCAGACTTTGCAGGCTTTCTGCCATGTTACTTAACTTGACAGCAGCCCTTATGATTACCTAAATGACCAACCCAACTTGCTTTTGTCCATGCCTTAAATAACATAATTAACAGAGTTAGAAGATCAGGAAAGAGGCCTTTTTGTGTGTGTTTCAGAGTTCATTATAACCCAGTGGAAGTGGAGGTGAGCCTACCTAGAGGTTCACATTTCAGCCTCTCTCCGAAGACAAGGCAGCAATGAGAATGGAACACTGTGCCCATTCGCTCTGCTTCAATGAAGGATGCTCTTTTTACATTTTAGTGGACAGCACAATTAAGCAACCGCAGTTGGGGCCCAGGGATTCAGCACCTCCAGTGAGTCAGGTAGCCTGACAGGAAATAGCTGTAACAGTCTGTGCCCACTGTCACCTTCCTATCCTTGATAAGGAAGCTGTCCTGGTGCACTGCTTCTCCTGCCTCCCGAGTGTTGGTACAGTGGGTGGCCTATCCAGATCCCCAGTCACCCAGTGCTGGCTTCTTAGGGAATGTGTCATTGCTGCTGTTGCAGCAGGCATACATCTGATGGTAACCGTTCTCCGTTTGGAGAAGGGTTTTGGTTCTGTAAGTGGAGGGAAGCGAAACCTGTAAACACTTGTGATGAAGCGGTCCAGGAAGAACACTCTCAAGGCTGCCAGTGGGATTGTTAGTTTCAGCATGAAACTAACTTTGACATTGACATAGCAAAGTTGGGAACCCAGTTTTAAATTTTGAGGCAGTAAAGTGGTTAGGCTGATGTTGTCACACTGTCCGGGGCCACATTTGTGGTAACTGAGTGACTTAGGACAAGTCACTTTGTATCTCTTCTGTCCCAATTTCATCCTCGGTAAAAATGGCGATGCTAATTGTCTGCCCCAAGGGTGGGTGTGAGGATTACATGAGGTAATGCATTGTAAAGCATCTAGCACCAAGTGTTAACTGCTATTAAATAATAGGTATTAGGATGTATGCAGCTTGACAGCTGTGTAGTAATTAACCACACTGGCTGTTTTGTGAGGGCATCATCTATGCTACAGAAAGGAATAATCATTAGACTAAATATTCCTAGAAATCCCAAACGACAGGCTCTTCAAACTCAAGTGGAAATGAGACCTCATCAGAGTATTCTCCTGATCCAGTAGAGTGTGGTGTGTGGAGTCAAAGCCTAGGTTTTTGTCCATCCACTCCTAGTTGGATGTTACCTAACTTCTTTGAGTATGGTTTTTTCGCTGGTGATATGAAATCAGTATGTATTTTGCTGCGTTATTGTGGAGCTTGAATAAAATAGTAATGCATATAAAGCAGTGGTGTAGTGCCTGGCCCATCACAGCAACTCAAGAAAAGAGAGCTGCCACTATCGCCGTCATCAAAGCACCCACTTCTTCCCTCCAAAATAATGGGGGTGGGGCGATGGGAGTTGGTGTCACTCTCCCATTGGGTAATTTTTCTTCACCTTCTCAATGAAAGTTGAGACAAGGTACCCAAACTACTAAGAACTGCAAAGAAAAAGGACAGTTCATAAACTCAGGAGCACTGAAACCCAGGTAGAGTCTGTGCTTTCCACCTTCCGCATCTAACAGCCTCCAGCTGTCCCAGCATCCACTGACTTTCCCGTTGTTCCCTCAGTCTCACTGTGGCAGTGTCCAAAGCAGCCTGTGTGTTTCCACTGTCTGAGCCACACTCCCTTCATGGAAGCACTGGTTCTTTGCTTCTGCAGAAACTCTTAAAAGTGTCCCTTTGGTCCAGTGATTTTTTGATACTCTACGTTGATGTCTTTACTGTCTCGTGTTTTCTTGTTACCTTCAGGTATAAAGTCCATAATTGTAGGGATTCTTTTCTGTTTCCTATGGAAAAATAATATAATATGCTTTCTGTTTTCTTGGGTACTCGATAAATATTTTTGGGTATTTTAAGTTTTAAAGTTTTTTTTTTTTTTAGAACAATGTATGAAAATTAAGATTTTTAAGTGAAAAGAAAACAGCCGGCAGCTCCACTGCCCTGACATAACTTTATTTGCATATTCCCTTTTCTTAGTTTATATGAATATATACAACTTCATACTACGATTTTTTAAATTAAGGTGTAATTTTCATACAGCGGAATGCTAATTATTCCATCAGTTTGACAGACATATACTCCTAAAACCTACATCCTTATCAAGCATAGACTATTTCTGTCAATCCAGTAAATTCCCTCATGCCATTTCACAGTGGAACACCCCTCCCCCTAGAAGCAAACACTGATTTAACCTTTATTATCAAAGGTTTTGTCTGAACTAGATTCTCATTTAAATGGAAAGATATAGTATGCTGTTTTTTGTCTCTGGCTTGTTTCATAATACTTTTGAGATTTGTGTATGTTAAGTGTCTGCTCCAATCTTTTTTTTTTAAAGACAGGGTCTTGCTCTGTTGCCAGGCTGGAGTGCACTGGCACTATCTCGGCTCACTGTGACCTCTGCCTTCCGGGTTCAAGCAGTTCTCCTGCCTCAGCCTCCCGAATAGCTGGGATTATAGGTGCATACCACCATGCTGGGCTAATTTTTGTATTTTTAGTAGAGACAGGGATTCACCATATTGGTCAGGCTGGTCTCTAACACTTGCCTCAAGTGATCCGCCCGTCTCGGCCTCCCAAAGTGCTGGGATTACAGATGTGAGCCATGGCACCTGGTCAGATGTCTGCTGTGATCTTTTTCACTGGATAGGTCAAGCACTTTTCCACATTGCCTCATAGTGTTCATTATGATCACCTTTAATGGGCTGGGGGAAAGTCTGTCAAGTGGCTGTCCCATACGTTCACTTACCCCTTAAATAGTGTCATAGTATATAGCAAGGGTTTCATTGCCAGCTGTTTTCTCATCCATTCCCATGGTTTCCGCTACTACCTATACAACAGTGACACAGATTTATTTTTCTAGTTCTCTCCTTCCCAAGCTGCAGATGCTTCCCAGTGAGGGGCTGCCCCCAGGTGAGCCAGTCCAGTATAATCAGACCTTCCTGATGGTCCAGCCCCTTCCTTCCTGAGCGCCATGCAGCGTCTCCTCATTCACCCCTGTTCCTCAGCTTTGGCAGGGTCGATATGATTCACTTACCACCCAAGCTAACAACTGAAATCATACTCCTGTTCCCCCATCCTCCACGTGCATGTCAGTCTGTGTCCTAAATGCCACTTGGATCCATCCCTGCTCAGCATTCTGGCTGCTGCTGTTTTAAGTCCCACAATTTCTCACCTGGAAGATACTGCAACAGCTACCCAATGGGTCACCTTGCCTCCAGGCCTGCGCCCCCAACTCCACTTGCGGCCAGGATCTGTACTTAGAGTCAGGCTGACATGTGTCTCTACTGGACATTTTGTTTTTTTTGTTTTTTAGAAGGAGTTTTCTACCCTGTCACCCATGCTGGAGTGCAGTGGCATGATCTTGGGTCACTGCAACCTCCACCTCCTGGATTCATGTGACTGTCCTGCCTCAGCGTCCCGAGTAGCTGGGAATACAGGTGCGCACCACCACGGCCGGCTAATTTTTGTATTTTAGTAGAGACGAGGTTTCACCATGTTGGCCAGGCTGGTCTCGAACTCCTGACCTCAGGTGATCCACCTGCTGCGGCCTCCCAAAGTGTTGGGATTATAGGCTTGAGCCACCACTCCTGGCCTGTACTGGACATTTTTAACAAACACAAAAGACTCTATTTTGGCCTTGGGGGAAAAAATCCAGACATACTAAGCACACCATTTATGATTTGACTGATTGAAATCTTCCAGTCCAAATTCACGTCTAGGCACTCTTTCCCCTTTGTTCAGACCTCCTTTCCCCTCCCAGGCCCCGGCCATGGGTTCATTTGCACCTCTTGTCCACATCTTTTGCACGGTATCCTCTCTGCCTGGAGTGCACTCTCCTCTTTCCACTCCCCTCCCGTCGCGGACCCCTCATGCTCCTTCTCTTTTACTCAGTTTTTAAGTCTTAGCTAAAATATCTTCAATTGAATTTCACCCAAATCTTTCAAGTAAGTTAACTGTGCCTTCTAGTGTGCTTTTCAAAGCACCCTGTACACATTTAAGATTTTGTTCTTACAGAGATTTGTTTATAGACCTCTTCTTGCCATCTAGAATTAGGAACTCTTCAAGGGCAAGGCCAATAGCTCCTTAATTTTTGTAGTTCTCCCACCTTGTGCTTGGCACTTAGCAGGTGCTTAGACTTCAATCAATGAATGATTTTATTACCAACAGTGGTAGCTAGGGAAAGGTAGTTTTCTTCTTAAAATATGCTAATACTCAGTGTTTTTTATGCACAAATGTTTTTCTATAAACCGTTTAACATTTCTATGACAAACACATATGGACACAAAGAGGGGAACAGCAGACACTGGGGCCTGCCTGAGGGTGGAGGGCGGGAGGAGGGAGAGGAGCAGAAAAAATAACTATCGGGTACTGGGCTTAGTACCGGGGTGATGAAATATTCTGTACAACAAGCCCCTGTGATTCAAGTTGACCCAAATAACAAACCTGCACATGTGCCCCTGAACCTAAAATAAAAGTTTAAAGCAGAGTCAGAATAATTAAAAAATGAAATCCACATCTTGAAAAGAAAAGATAATTGTCCTTTAGGAATGCATAGTCATAAAGGAGAGCTGTAACTCTCTTGGATACATTTTATATTATGTCCGACAATCCCAGTTAATCAGATCATTTTGAAAGTGTCAGCCTTGGAAATAGATTACAGTTAAATGGTCTACATCTGCAGCAGACATTTTGCCTCTAGGATAAGATTCTTTCCAGAGTCATGTTGAATAACAGCTGGTGCAATAGAGGGCCATGATTATGATCTTTAGAGTTCTTTTTGCTTTTCATTAATGTTAATCCTTGGAATCAGACTTTTCATCTAAATCAGGGGTGTCCAATCTTTTGGCTTCCCCGGGCCACGTTGGAAGAAGAATTGTCTAGTGCCACACATAAAATGCACTAACACTAGCAAATAGCTGATGACGAAAAGAAAAAAATTCACACATCTCATAATGTTCTAAGAAAGTTTACAAATTTGTGTTGGGCCGCATTCAAAGCTGTCCTGGGCCACGTGCAGGCTGTGAGTTGGACAAGCTTGATCTAAATTAATGAAGATTATTTTGTATTTCAAAATTATTTTTGAGCCATCACAATTAACAGCTAACTCTCATCTTTTTATACATTAGTCCTGATTATTTCTATTTTGTGAAACAAGATTTTAATCCTTAATTCACTAAAAATGCTTGCCCTTCCTATAATAGTGTAAAAAGACCAGTTGATTTTTGTGCATGAAAATTATGAGCTAGGTATAACAACATCGTGTGTTTGGTGCCTACTCATCCCTAACAAACAATGTTCAGCTCTCAGTCTACTTCTCTGCATTGTATTTATAAAAAATAAATTGTGGCTCAGAGGTTAAGTAACTTCCCAAGGGAAGCTGGAAAGCAAAGAGCTTGCATAAGAACCCAAGATGGCTAGACCACCAATCTTCTGGTAGTCACCACAGGGAAAGTTTGATGAAATGATTTAAAAGATTGGAAAACTATTTGAAATAAACGCTCGTTTGCATTGATAGCTACTTTTGGAATATTTTTCTTCTAATCAAGAGTTTAAGAAATATTGTTAAAATGTATCTTACTGAGGAAAGTAACTTGCAAAAAACAGTACATTGCCAAAAGCAGTATACACATTGCCTAATCAACACTTAACCCAGTGTCTATGAACTTCACATTGCCTCACGCCATATGGAATGTGTTGATTCATTCACTGTTCCGTTTTTATCTACAATTTTGGTTTAACAAGGCTATGTATTTAAAATAATTTTTAAACTCTTTACAGGTAAGTCACTTTTGAGTTGTAAAATTCCAGAAGTGACTTTTCTTGAAGTAGGCTTTAATGAAAAATCTATTAATATACTGAAAACCAACTGTACACCAAAACAGGGCTGTTTATCTCCCTGACTTGTTTGAAGACTGAGTTGATAGCCACCTCAGACTTAGCTCATTCTCTTCCTATCCACATCTGCCCTCAATTTGGACTTTGGTTGGCTGTATTTATAAGTAAAAGGCCATGTTCTTTCACCTGCAGATATGCAGTTTTACCAGTGGTACCTGTGTTTGAAACCCACTGACTGTTCCTCCTTGTCCTGTTCCTTGTCCTAACTCCAGTCTCTCAACTTGGGATTTTCCTAATTTAATACCTTATTGTGTAGAATAGTGGCTCCCAAACTTTATTGTGTACGAAAATAGACCTGGTTGAAATGCAGATCCTCAGTTCTCATGCCCATTGCTTCTGACTTGGTTGGCTGGGGATGAAGTCCAGGAATCTGCACTTTGTTTTTTTTAAACCCCAACGTCTCCTATACCCATCATCCTACTAACCCCTCTTTGGGCTTTAAGGAATAGTAATAGGTGCTTCCCAATTACAGAAGGAGAGGCAGCACTTCTAAAAAGATGTTGTGTTGATGGGGAAGGTGATCCCTCTTCCTGACCTCTGGCCCTAGTGTCCTCAGGTTAACAGGAGACCAGTTTTTCTTCCTTATTAGCAATATCTGAGTACAGCTTTGGCTACCTGCAAAGAAAAATAAAGCAAAACCTTTCCCTTAATGGAAATTGAGGAGGAATCTGCACTTTTAATGATCATCCAGGTGGTTCTCATGTAGGTGCCCCAGGACTACCCTTTGACACTGCTCTAGCTGCCTAGAATGTTGTTTCTTTTATGTAAAAAAATACATACATATCTCAAGCATAGTAAGAATAATATGAAGTAACTCCGAGTGAATTGAGTCCATTCTTATAAATAAGCTTTTAAATTTTACACATGCCAAGGACTTTTAGCAGCCTTTTTGACCCTCGTGCTCTAAAAATGATCCGTCAGTGAGGAGAAGAGGCAGAATGAATAGTCCCTGACTTAAAATCATCCTTTTTTTTTTTTTTACATTGAAACTCTTGATTGAAACAGGATTCCTTTAAAGTCAGCCTCACTTTTTCTCAGGCCTGAATCTTAGAACATATTGTCAGATATTCAGCTGTGCTCTCGCCTCCAACCCACTTTTATTCCTAAATGTGTTCGTTTATACACGGAGTGTTTGCTGTTGTGATTTAAAAAAAAAAAAAAAAAAAAAAAAGCATCTGTTCTGCAGCATGCTGGCCAGTGAATGAGCTGAAAAACAGCAAATGGCCTTTGCAGGCTTCTCTTCAAGGGTGGGAGGAGGAACACTGGCAGGGAGAGGCTAGAACCTTAGGGGAGGCCCGGCTGGTACCTAGGCACCAAGATGGAGATGGAAGACAGGCTGGCTGGGTGGAATTGTCTTCCCACCTGTGAGTCACACTTTGTCAGCACTACCCAGTATAGGGGGGGAAAGGTCATTTTTTTACCTGCCTTATCTTGGAATCTTTTCAGCAGTGCTTCCACAAGAGAATTAAGCCCTACTACCCTGAGGCATCCATGGTACGTGTGAATTAACTTTGTCTTCTACATCTCAGGCTGGGAAAAATAGCCAGTCAGATCCCGCTGGGTGTTCTGTGGTTAGGCTCTCAAAGAGGCTGGAGTTCTAGGGCCGGGCATAGTGGCTCAAGCCAGTAATTCCAGCACTTTGGGAGGCTGAGGTGGACAGATCGCTTGATGCCCGGAGTTTGAGACCAGCCTTGCCAACATGGTGAAACCCCATATCTACTCAAAACACAACAACAACAAAGAGGCTGGAGTTGTAGATCCAGCTCCGTTATTTCCATTCTTCTTTGGTAAAATGAGATGTCTGATAATACCTATTTTATTCGTTCAGAGCATTGTTACATTAAATGAAACAAATGTGAGAGCACCTTGTAAAGTATGAACTGAGTTTTAAAGGTGAAGTGGCATTTATGGGAGGATTGATTTGATTGTGCAGGCCTTTTGTAAAAAGCAAGTTCCTAATAATTTATGATTTATGGAAGACTTTGAAATGAGCTCTTAGTGATTTGTTGATTTAATGCCCAGGAGTAATCAGAAAGGCATTTGGAGATAATTTGGAAATGTAGAAAAAGAACCTGGTCTACCACTTGTCTGCAAAATTTCTTGGTCATTTGACAAAGTATCTTTAGAGAGGCAAACCCTGGCACTATGTGAGTAGGGGATTATTCCACAGGCTGGGAAGACTTTCTACAAAGCATAAGAGTAACTCTGTTTCACTTTACTATCACCAATCTATACTGTTGGCAGAACAGGTGGTATTTGTTCCTACCTTCCATATCAGGACACGGAGGCCCAGGAAACTGGACATGCCTATTTGTGGGATAGTCTGGGTCCCACCTTTTTTTTCTTCTTTAGGCCACTGCCTGTCCACAAAGCATCAATTTGATGTTTAAAAATGACTTCTTGGTTACTTGTTCAGTGATGTTACTACCTCCAGTTTCAAACCAGATCAGACCTTGGCTTAAGGGGGTCACCTACATAGTCGCTTGCCATGGACGTGTGTCAGGATCGGATTTCCTCGGATTTCCCTTAGTAGAATGTTATGACATCATCACACTCCTACGGTAGAATGTAGTGTCCCCTCCTGCTTCTGGGGGTGGGGCACAAGAGAAGTGACAGTTCTGTTTACCCCGAGAAGTGTAATGGGTATGTACTGTTGAAGAAAGAAGTGAAGGAGCCCAGAACTGAGAGGAGGAGGCCGGTTTCCCAGGCGGCCAAGAGAGAGTGAGGGGCCCACTGCAGGCAGAGCTGGAGGCAGGCTGCTCTTCTCCATCCTAGATGGTGCAGAGAGGGGGATTTCGGGGTGGGGTGGGGGAGAGTCGCCACCCACAGCAGGCTGGCCAGAGCGTCTGGGAAAGGAGTATGTGTGCAGTTTGGGAATGGAATCATCTCTTTTTCCTGTTCGTCTCTTCTTTCTATGGTATTCTCTTATGTGGCGCTATGAAAATTTGCCTGGCACTTTTCTTTTTTATATTTTAGTTCTGATTTACATAAAATCTCCTCCAAATTAGGAAAATTCTATTGCGTATAATGTCAAGAACAATAGTAGCGGAAGGGAAAGACTTGAAGTGAGTGTACACTCCACCATAATAGCTACGTCTGTGTGTTCATATGCATCAAATTTGAATACGAGGCCAGCAATGCTGCTTTTTAACTGTTATATTTCTGTTATGGAACCCTAAGCCTGTCTTCCAGGAGTCTTCAAACACACTGGAATCAATGGACTCTTGCAAGCCGTAACAGTTATACAATTTATCTGCAAAGTTACTGTGGTCAGGCACTGGGGTGAGTGCTTCACCTGTGCTATTTCATCTTCTAGAGAAGGGACTAATAATATCTCCACTTTAAAAATGAAGAAATGTAGGCTTAGGCCAGGTGCGGTGGCTCATGCCTGTAATCCCAGCACTTTGGGAGGCCGAGGCAGGCAGATCATTTGAGGTCAGGAGTTCGAGACCAGCCTGGCCAACGTAGTGAAACCCTGTCTCCACTAAAAATACAAAAATTAGCCGGGTATGGTGGTGCATGCCTGTAATCCCAGCTACTCAGGGGGCTGAGGCAGGAGAATCGCTTAAACCTGGGAGGCCGAGGTTGCAGTGAGCTGAGATTGTGCCACTACACTCCAGCCTGGGTGATAGAGGAAGCCTCTGTCTCAAAAAAAACAAAACAAAACAAAACAAAAAGTAGGCTTAGAAAGTTTAAGTAATTTGCTCAAGTGATGTAGCAGCTGAGTGGTGTGACTGAGATTTGAACCCAAGTAATTTTGGCTCTATCCTATTAGGACATTTATTTATGTTCTTGAGCATTAAAATATTTTTGGTCGTCTCATAATGAACCATGCTACTCAGATATAAAAACTAGGAAAGCACTGTATCATTTCAAAAGAATATTAACAATGTCGGGCCATGGCTGTGTAATGCTTTTCTCTGTAAACAGTACATTTATCAATCAACAAAGGGAAATGAGTCTCTGTGAGATGGAAATAATAAAAGTCTGACCTTCCCCTCTGAGAAAAAGCCATGAGGACTAATTAAGTAATGGCTCCACTCCAGTTCTGCAGGGCTAAGTAATGAAGGACCTGGGAGGACTCCAGCTCTGTTTTCCAGAGATTATGTTTGACTGTGGCACTGGGCATTTTCCACATATCATCTTGATAATTACTTGAAAAGCAAAACTTAAAGCATTTCACTGATTACGATTTTTTTTTCTTGCTGAGATATCCATGATTTAAACTGTCAGGGAGGGTCACTGGCCTAGAATTCTTCTTGGGTGATTCATTGCAGAGTGAAAATACTGACTTCTAATCTCAATGTGGCCTTACATTTTAGAGATGTTTTTGTACATGAGTTTGCCTTCCTTTCCTTCTTCTCCTTCCTCCCCTTCCCTCCCTTCCTCCTTTCTTCCTTTTTCTTTTTTTTTTTTTCTCTTTTTCCTTAAATCCTGAGAACTGTATTTCCTCTTTTAAGCTAGATTGCTGGAGATAGCTTTCATGGTTTACAAACATGTATACAAAAGTTGCCCAGCAGTTCTCCTACAGATGGTGGTCTGTTGGTGTTCCTAATCATATATGTGCTTTTTTAAAAAATAGACTAATGGAATGATTAAAACAACAGAGGCCAGGCACAGTGGCTCACACCTGTAATTCCAGCACTTTGGGATGCTGAGGTGGGCGGATCATGAGGCCAGAAGTTCGAGACCAGTCTTACCCACATAGTGAAACCCCATCTCTACTAAAAAACAAAAAATTAGCCAAGTGTGGTGGTGTGCACCTGTAGTCCCAGCTACTCGGGAGGCTGTGGCAAGAGAATCGCATGAACCCGGGAGGTGGAGGTTGCAGTGAGCCGAGATCGTGCCACTGCATTCTAGCCCAGGTGACAGTGCGAGACTCTATCTCAAAAAAAAAAAAAAAAAAAAAAAATAGGGACAAAAAGACTACTTTGACTTTGTGTTTGTCTAATACCTTCTTTCAAACATTCGCATGTCCATGCTTGCTTGTTGCAAATTCGAAACAATTTTATGTTTGGTTTTGGCTTTGTGGGGTGTCTGATTAATTGAAAGTGAGTGGAATTCTGGAGAATGAGCAAGAAGAGACTAGGCTGAGGATAGGAGTGAGAGCACACACAGGTGGCACCATAAATCTCTCCTAAGCTGTAGTCAGTGCACAGGAAAGTCCATGGCCTAAAATCGGGGTTATGCACGCCCCCCACCGCCACACACACACGTTTATGTCACAGCTGCCGAGGAGCACTCTGAGAACCTTTAATACAGCGTTTACATGTGCATCCTTTAAAAAATACTTCATGAGTCTTTATGCCAAATAAATGTTTCCTTCGCAGCCCAGGCCACTTCCTTCAAACGAAAGCCATTAGTGTGAGCGATTACTGCAGCCCAGCTGTTCCCCAGCAGCACACCGGGCCAGTAAACAGAGCAAAGGTCTGTGCACAGCTGCAGGCTGATGTCACTGTCTGGGGCTGGGCCTGCTGCTTTGGACTATTACAATAACAGCAGTGAACCTCCTGTTCCCCCATCTGACCCATTTTCTCCCTTTCTCTTTCCCGTTTCTTCCCATGTGTCCTCTCTTCACCTCACTTATCAAAACGTCAGAGCTGCCTTTTTTTTTTTTGGTGAATAGAGGGAAACAGCCCTGTCCCATGGCTAATAGGAAAGGACTTCTGTGTATCCTATTTGGTTTTAAAGGCTGATGTGCCACAATTACATATTCAAAGCGACAGTATTTTTATCATAAACAGATGTGTTAAAATCAGCCAGGGTAGTCTGCTATTAACGTCAGCTTCGAAGCTCTTCTAGCCCAGGGCTTGGAGGCAGTCTCTTGTTTATTGCTGAGTCCCTGAGTTCACTTAGATGTTTCTGTCCCAGATATGAGCTTCCAGATGGGTTCAGATCTTGTTCCTGCTTTTTTATTTTTTAACTTTGGAAATACCGGAAATTTTAAGAGAAGCAAGTGAAAAGCCTGCGTGAAACTAGAATTTCTCTGACTAGAAGCTATTTGATACCTTCACCAACGGCTTGCAAAGTATGTTTCTGTTGTAGGTTTTCATAGAAAGTTCTAATACGAGATTCACACGAGGAGCCTTCAGAGTCGGAAAGTTACTTGGCAGAAGCTAATGCAGTGTTTACTCGTTTGACTAACATTGGACTTCTTGAGTCATTTTTTCTTCTGTGGTTACTAGTGTAATAGAAGGAAAAGTGAATGTGCAGAGAATGTTCTCCAGCAGTCAAGACCATCACTATCTTTCACTAAATTCTTTTAAAGGAGAAAAGAAACTTTTAATATTCAGTCCCAAAGGCTTGAGTTGCGTGCGATGGCCCCTGTAATCTGGCCTCCGTCTGTCTTTTTGGGTTCTATCTTCTCTGCTTTGTGAGTTTCTTAATCACCAAGGCTCACCGTTCTGTCGCCCATCATTGCTCATGCTGGGATAGGATTTTCATCCTTGATGCCTCAATTTTATTTCTATCATATGGCTTAATTTGAAAATCTACTGACCAAATCATAACCACAGTGATGTACTCATTAGGATGGCTGTTACATATATTTGAAAAAATCAAATAGGTTCTGGTGAGCATGTGGAGAAATTGGAACCCTTGTGTGTAGTACTGCTGATGGGAATGTAGAATGGTTCAACCACTATGGAAAAGAGTACCATAGTCCTTCAAATAATTAATAATAGAATTGCCATATGAGTCAGCAATTCCTTCTGGGTATATACACCAAAGAATTGAAAGCAGGGACTCGGGCATGTATTTGTCCCCCGGTGTTCATAGCAGCATTATTCACAGTAGCCAAAGGTGGAGGCAACCCAAGTGTCCGTGGATGGTAAGTGGATACACAAATGTCATCTGTACGTGCAATGGAATATTATCATTATTATTATTTGACACGGAGTCTTGCTCTGTCACCCAGGCTGGAGTGCAGTGGCGTTATCTTGGCTCACTGCAACCTGCACTGCTTGGGTTCAAGCGATTCTCCTGCCTCAGCCTCCCGAGTAGCTGGGACTACAGACGTGCGCCATCATGCCCCGCTAATTTTTGTATTTTTACTAGAGATGGGGTTTCACCATGTTGGCCAGGCTGGTCTCGAACTCCTGAACTCAAGCGATCTGCTTGCCTTGGCCTCCCAAAATGCTGGGATTACAGGCGTGAGCCACTGCACCCGGCCAACAATGGAATAATATTGAGCCTTCAAAAGGAAGGAAATTGTGACACATCCCACAGCTTGGATGAGCCTTGAGGACATACGCTAAATGAAATAAACAGTCACAACAGGACAAGTACTATTTGAGTCCAGGTATATGAGGTACTGAATGGTCAGATTCATAGAGAAAGAAAGTAAAATGGTCGCTGCCAGGGCCTTGGGGAAGGGGAGGGGATGGGTTGTTACTGTTTAATTGGTACGAAGTTTCAGGTTGGGGGGAAACGTTCTGGAGAATGGATGATGACAAAGCTTACACAACGATGTAAGTGTATTCAATGCCACTGAATCATACACCTAAAAATAATTAAAATGGTTAATTTGGTATCTGCTTCATCACAGTTTTTTTGTTTTTGTTTTTGAGATGAAGTCTTTCCCTGTCGCCAGGCTGGAGTGCGGTAGTGCGATCTTGGCTCACTGTAACCTCTGCCTCCCGGGTTCAAGCGATTCTCCTGCCTCACTCAGCCTGCTGAGTAGCTGGGACTACAGGCACACACCACCACGCCCAGCTAATTTTGTATTTTTAGTAGAGATGGGGTTTCACCATGTTGGCCAGGATGGTCTGGATATTTTGACCTCATGATCTGCACGCTTCGGCCTTCCAAAGTGCTGGGATTACAGGCGTGAGCCACTGTGCCCAGCCCTCATCACAGTTTTTATTTATTTATTTTTTAATTGTTTTAAAAATCTGACCAAACCTTTGGTCCACCCTGACTGGACGTAAACTATCCTGAGTGCCACTCCCTGGGCCCCAAGGTCTGGCCTGGTCCTGCCACTTCTCCTCTGTCTGTTGTCTCTTCCAGTAGAGGCCCCATCATGCGCCTTGCCAGCCCCAGCACAAGAAACAGCTTGGTAGAAAAGAAGGGGCACGGGCTTTGGGTGCAGGCAGAATCAGAATTCAGACTGCTCACCGAAACCCATCCTCTCACGCTTGCCAGCTCTGTGCCCCTGGGCAGATGATTTAGCCTCTCTGTGGCGGTTTCCTTATCTATATGTTTAGGAGGGTCCTCTGTGAGGGTTAAACAAGATAAAGAGCCCCATTCTGTGCCAGGCAACGAGAAATAGTTTTTGTTTTGGGGATTTTTTTTTAATGTTAAATCTTTGCCCTTCAATAAACATTTGTAGATTGATTTAATTTTTAAGGGTTCTCTTTGGCAGACACTATTCCTGCCATTATTTCAATGTGGCCTCCTTTTCCTCTGAAAGAATACTGACTGGGGGCAAGTGACTTGGGTATTTCTACCACCACATGGCAGGTTCCTGAGATAACAAGTTGACACCATTGTAGGAAATCTTCCTAAGAACCTGCCATTTTCACGTTCCTTAGGCCAAATAATTATTGATCTAAATTGTCCTTTTCTGTGCCCTAAAATAATCTTCTTCCTTCAACTCCTGATATGTTATTCCTTTCCAAAGAGAGGTAAGGGTTAATTTAACAGATTTGCCAGCAACCCTGTCGTATTAATCCACGAGTACTCTGGGGATGTGGACAGCATGTGTATCCCTGACAGTTACAGTAGTACCCTGTCTGCCTGTATTTACACATCGGTGACAGAAGACTGGGAATGTCCAAAGTCAGGCTTCCTAAGGAATTCAAGATTTTCTAGGATTTATTGTAGTGTGTGTACATATATCTTTGGTTGTGTTCTGCCATGTATTATATTGTTAGTCATTCTATTTTTGGTAGTTGTAGGGAAGAGCTAAGATGTTCTGATTTTCAATTATGTGTATCAGATTACTTTGCCCTTTTAAAATATATTAACTGGGAGGCCGAGGCAGGCGCATCACGAGGTCAGGAGTTAGAGAACAGCCTGACCAACATGGTAAAACCATGTGTCTACTAAAATACAAAAATTAGCTGGTCGTGGTGGCATGTGCCGTAATCCCAGCTACTGAGGAGGCTGAGGCAGGAGAATCGCTTGAACCTGGGAGTTGGAGGTTGCAGTGAGCCAAGATTGTGTCATTGCACTTCAGCCTGGGCAATACAGCAAGACTCTGTGTGTGTGTGTGTGTGTGTGTGTGTGTGTGTGTGTCTATATATATAGTGTATATATGTGTATATATGTATTATATATGTATATGTATATGCATGTATATATGCATACATATATGTACATATATACACATGTACACATAGATATATACATATATGCATGCATACATATGTATGCATATATACGTGCACATATGTACCTATGTATACATATATAAATTTTTTTAACCTTTCATTTTATATTGCTTTTTTTTTTTTTTTTTTTGAGATAGGGTCTTGCTCTGTTGCCCAACAGTTGCAGCCTCAATCTCCTGAGCTCAAGTGATCCTCCCACCTCAGCCTCCTCAGTAGCAGGGACTACAGGCCCACACCATCATGCCTGGATAATTTTTTTTTTTTTTTTTTAATTTTAAGAGATGGGTTTCCCTATGTTGTCCAGGCTGGTCATGAACTCCTAGGTGCAAATGATTCTCCTGCATCAGCTTCTTTTTTTTTTTGAGACGGAGTCTCTCTCTGTCGCCCAGGCTGGAGTGCAGTGGCGGGATCTCGGCTCACTGCAAGCTCCGCCTCCCGGGTTCACGCCATTCTCCTGCCTCAGCCTCCCAAGTAGCTGGGACTACAGGCGCCCGTCACTACGCCCGGCTAATTTTTTGTATTTTTAGTAGAGACGGGGTTTCACCGTTTTAGCCGGGATGGTCTCGATCTCCTGACCTCGTGATCCGCCCGCCTCGGCCTCCCAAAGTGCTGGGATTACAGGCGTGAGCCACCGCGCCCGGTCTCAGCTTCTTAAAATACTTGAATTATAGCACAAACCACCGTGCCTGGCCTATGTGGGTGCTTTTAAGATGTGTTTTTTTTTCCCTAAGATATTTGTGCTCTGGTGATTTGCGTTTAATAGAGGCTAATATTTTATTTTTATTAGTTTTGAAATAACAAATTATAATCAACTCAAATTAACTACAAGTTTAAGGTCCACTTGTTTCTTTTTTTTTTTTTTTTTTTTTTTGAGACAGAATCTCACTCTGTCGCCCAGGCTGGAGTGCAGTGGCGCAATCTCGGCTCACTGGAAGCTCCGCCTCCTGGGTTCACGCCATTCTCCTGCCTCAACTTCCCGAGTAGCTGGGACTACAGGCGCCCACCACCACACCCGGCTAATTTTTTGTATTTTTAGTAGAGACAGGGTTTCACCGTGGTCTCGATCTCCTGACCTCATGATCCACCTGCCTCGGCCTCCCAAAGTGCTGGGATTACAGGCGTGAGCCACCGCGCCCGGCCGGTCCACTTGTTTCTTATCCCTCGTCTTTCCTGCTCTTGTGTGAGCTTCTACCACACTGGCTGGCTGGGAGAGGGAGGAGTCGCTTGTCCTAAGAAATGTCTCTGCCTGGCCAAGGCTCTTTTCTTGACCACTGCATTGACTGGTCACCACATGAGAGGGGATCTTCTCTTAGAAACCTGGGTCTTCTGAAGTACTTCTCTTACTGCTTGGGAGTCAGTTTTTTGAATGTGGGGTGGGGGGGGGTTTTGTTTGTTTGTTTTTGAGATGGAGTCTCAGTCTGTCACCCCGGCTATAGTGCAGTGGCGTGATCTTGGCTCACTACAACCTCCGCCTCCCGGGTTCAAGCAATTCTCCTGCCTCACCCTCCCGAGTAGCTGGGATTACAGGCACCTGCTACCATGCCCGGCTAATTTTTGTATTTTTAAGATAGACAGGGTTTTACCATGTTGACCAGGCCGGTCTTGAACTCCTGACCTCAGGTGATTCCCCCACCTCAGCCTCCCAAAGTGCTGGGATTACAGGTGTGAGCCACTGCGCCCTGCCCTCGTGTTCCTTTTTACAGTTCACTTCCATACTGTTATATTTGAAGACATGGTCACTAGAGACCCAAGACATCATGGGTGTATGCTTCAGGTGTCATCACAGCTGTGTGTGACTGTAATGAATATAGGACATTTCACAAATAAAATGACCTCTTCCCTCTTCTTTCTCCTCTGTTTTCAGTCACTGCTTCAACCACCTGTGAGAAATTAGAAAAAGCCAGGAATGAGTTACAAACAGTGTATGAAGCATTCGTCCAGCAGCACCAGGCTGAAAAAACAGAACGAGAGAATCGGCTTAAAGAGTTTTACACCAGGGAGTATGAAAAGCTTCGGGACACTTACATTGAAGAAGCAGAGAAGTACAAAATGCAATTGCAAGAGCAGGTCTGTGCTTTTGCAGCCAGAGCTTGTCTGAGGCCTCTGCTGCTTACTTGAATCCTGGTTGCTCTTCACATCTTGATGAGCTTCTCTTTTTTAGTCTAATAGGTATAAAAAGCATGTTGTTGTTGTTTATTTAAGACAGAGTCCCACTCTGTCTCCCAGGCTGGAGGCTGGAGTACAGTGGCTTGATCTTGGCTCACTGCAGCCTCTGCCTCCCGGGTTCAAGTGATTCTCCTTCCTCAACCTCCTGAGTAGCTGGGACTATAGGCACCCATCACCATGCCCAGCTAATTTTTGTATTTTTAGTAGAGACGGGGTTTCACCATGTTGGCCAGGCTGGTCTCAAACTCCCAACCTCAGGTGATCCGCCTGCCTTGGAAACAGTATCTTTTTAATTGAATAGTTTTCTTATGACCAAAGGAATGTATTATGTTAAGTGAAAGAAGGGAAGAAAAGGAGGAGGAAAAGATAAAATTGAAAAAACAACCCTTTCTTTCTACCCAGAAATAATCCCTTGTAAACATCCTGGTGGTGTGTTGCCAAACTATTGTTTTGCATTTCTTTCTTTTTTTTTTTTTTAGTGGCATCTGTTTAAATATCCCATTTTTTTTTTCACTGAATAAAATATCAAACCTTTTTAATTTTGTAGCTCCCTTTTTAACTCAGTTTTTCATTTAGTAAATATCTACAGAGTGCCTACTCCAGGCCAGGCACATGCTAGGGCCTGAGTGGTCAAGTGACAGGCGCAGAGCATGTGGCCCTGTCACTGTGAAACATATCCTCGTTCCTGGTCATTCCTTGTGACTGATGCAGCCATTTCCATCTGTCACCCTGGAGAGCCTCTGTGTCTGTGTTCCTGAGGGTAGGGAAGGAGACAGAGGAGAGTTGAGCGGTGAATCCCAGTTGCGTTGCTCTTCATGCATTCTTTGTGTGTGCACATGTGGGGACAGAGTCTCGCGACATTGCCCAGGCTGGACTTGAACTGCTGGGCTCCAAGTGATCCTCCACCTCTGCCTCCCAGAGTGCTGAGGTTACAAGTGTGAACCACTGCCCTGACCTTTGTATGTGTTGAGGAGCCTTTAAACTAGAGCCCACGCTTACCTGTGAAGCTGTGACGTCTCCTAATGTGGTTGCTTTGCGTATTCAACTTAGGACATTTGGTTTTACTGTTAAACCACGGTTTTGTTTGTTGCTTACAGTTTGACAACTTAAATGCTGCGCATGAAACCTCTAAGTTGGAAATTGAAGCTAGCCACTCAGAGAAACTTGAATTGCTAAAGAAGGCCTATGAAGCCTCCCTTTCAGGCAAGGATGCTTTTTTTCCTCTTTAAACAGAATAAAATCTGAAGGAACCACATGATGTTTTAAGATGGAAATGATTCATAACTTCCTGCTTCAGCGAATGCCCTGTGGCCTTCAGGCTGGGGTGTTCTTGGTTCCTTTTTGCGTGGTTTATTGTTAACAGATGCCTTTTCCCACTAAGGATGCAAATAATAGTTACAAATGCCAGCCTTGTGTTAAATAGGATGGGCTTTGGAAGACTGTAAAGGCCATTTTGGCGGTGGTGGTTGCCAGCTTAGGTCCCTGGGAAGTGGCAAGTACAAGTTTCTATCTTGTAATCCACAGTAAAGGATCCACCCCAAGTGCTCCTGCACAGCAGTGTTGCTGTGAAATGTCGATGCCACTTATTGAATAGAAAAATAGTCTTTTCTATTTTTCATCTGTCATCAGTGGGAGGGTGTAAGCCATTGCTTTCAGAACAGAATCGGCAGTGTCGCTCACAGTCTTTCTACTAAACCAGTTGCATCTTACAGAGCAGCGTGGATGAGTGCTAAGAACCGGCTGTGTGACCTTCAGCAAGGACTTTCTCACCACAAAAATAGAGTTGCCCAAAGTCAGGCAGAGGTGATAATGTGTAAAAGTGACTGGCTCCAGGCAGACTTGTAGTGAACATTGTTTTTCTTCCTTCCTGCTAGAAATGAGTATAATTTTAGACTTATGTTTAGGTTATGAAGAGCAAATTGAAAAGAGCACAGGGTTTCCAGACCAGGAGTCTGGAGTGGCATTTATGAGAGCCTGCCCTGAAATGGCACTCAGTGTTGTCCTAAGGTCGCATGGCCTCTGTGGGCCATGGTGGGCTTCAGTGGGCCTCAGGGCTCTCAGTCATAAAATGGGAATGTCTACCCTAACCACCTCTCAAGGCCATTTTGAGAACAGATGGCCAATTTACATAAAAGCATACTATAGATGTAAAGTAACGTCATACGGCTTCATCATCAACCCCTACATCTATATGCTTTAACTGTTTTAGAGTACATTGATCTCATAGAATGTTATTGCCTCAAAAATATCCGTTTATTTTCCCAGAAATTAAGAAAGGCCATGAAATAGAAAAGAAATCGCTTGAAGATTTACTTTCTGAGAAGCAGGAATCGCTAGAGGTGGGTGAATGTCAATATCCCAGTATCCCCCACAAAAAAAAATATCATTTTTGATTTTGTTTGGTTTTAATGTTTCTGTGTACGTATGCTGAGTTTCTGGGGTTTTCTTGTTAACTTAAGTTCCACATTTCATTGTGTTTTAGAAGCAAATCAATGATCTGAAGAGTGAAAATGATGCTTTAAATGAAAAATTGAAATCAGAAGAACAAAAAAGAAGAGCAAGAGAAAAAGCAAATTTGGTAAGTTGTGTGTGCTCCTTTATCAGTATGGAATTTTTCTTCTCAGTTGCCTTTTAGAGTCATTCAAGTACTCAGCAGCCAGAGAAATAACACAGGTTGGGAATCCTTCTCATGTCTGGCAATGTGCTTTCTAAGGTGTGTAAAACAACTGCTTTGCTTACTGGCGTCTTGTTTTACCATCCTAAAATCTGACATACGGATGAAGTCCAGGATGTTTCTGGTGGTCTAAGCTAAAAAGAAGGAAACTACCAATTAGGATTAGAGTTTTATGTGAAGACTTTATTTAAAAAAAAAATCACTGTATTGAGATAAAACAAACTACAAAGTTCACTCTTTCTTTTTTTTTTTTTGAGAGGGAGTCTCACTCTGTCACTCAGGCTGGAGTGTAGTGGCGTGATCTCGGCTCACTGCAACGTCCACCTCCTGGGTTCAAGCGAGTCTCCTGCCTCACCCTCCCGAGTAGCTGGGATTACAGGCACGCATCACCATGGCCAGCTAATTTTTGTATTTTTAGTAGAGATGGGATTTTACCATGTTGCCCAGGAAAAGTTCACTCTTTTAACATGTAAAATTCAGTGGCTTTTAGTATATTCATAAAGTTGTCCATTGGTCACCAGTACCTCTTTCTAGAACATTTTTATCACCCCCAAAAGGAACCCTGGACCCATTAGCAGTCACTCCCCATTCCCCCAAATTCCCCAGCACCAGGCTCTCCCCCGTCTACTTTCTATCTCTATGGATTTACTTATTCTGAGGAATGAATAGAAAAGGTTGATTGTAGAACATGTGGTCCTTTTAAGACTGGCGTCGTTTACTTAGTATAAAGTTTCCAAGGTTCATCCGTGGTGTAGCCTATGTTAGTATTTCATTTCTTTTTATGGATGAATAATATTTCGCCGTATGGATAAATGTCAATTCTGAAAAGTACAAATCTCTTGGAAGCTGAAATTTCTTGTGGCACATTTGTCCTTTTTCCCCAGCCTTACCCCAACCTTTGTCTTTTTGAAAAAAATTTGTTTCCTTGCTGCTTCTGCCTTTAGTACCACTGTTTTCATTTCATGTTTATACTCTGAGACTGCAGAAGCAAAGCTTTTCTCCACTTCAAATCTCTGGCCAGCTCTAGAAAGTACATGTGTGGATCTCTCAGTGAGACCTTCTGCAAATAATGTCATTGGGAGACCCTCTAGCTATTTGATAACATTAGATGAGCTTATATTCAAAGAAACTTCAAAGCTATTTATTCTAGAAGATTCTTAGGAAGAGTCAGTGATTTCAAAAGAAATCTAGACTTACATGCAGGGATATGCAGGGTATAAACTTTATTGATGGCTCAGGAAACAGGTTTGAAAGAGCTTCCGGTACACAAAGGGGATTCTTCTACTGCAGCCGCTTTTGAAAAGCTAAGGCAGAGTCAGAGTGAGGAACACAGAAGCATCCAACCGCTTCTGTCACGTAAGCATGCTGAGGCTGCGGAAAAAGAGTGCGTCTGACTGTAGTCCGGGAGAAAGGGATGGGCTGGCAGAGGAGGAGGAGAAAATGCAGAGGGTACAAGTCTTGTAAATGCTCTAATTTTAAAACTGACGGTAAGTTATGCCATTTCCCTCTAACAAAAATGAGGTAGGATTCGCTATTTTCAAGGTAAAAAAAAAAAAAAAAATCCTGCGTACAAGGGTAACACTGTATAAAATGTATGAAATTTAAAAATTGATACTTAGTATTTGCATGTACTTATGGGGTACGTGTGATGTGTTGAGACAATCATAGACTGTGTAATGCCCAAGTCAGGGTATTTAGGGTATCCGTCATCATTATCATTTCTTTGTGTTTGGAACATTTTATATCTTCTCTTGTAGCTATTTTGAAGTACGCAATATATTATTATTAACTATAGTCACCCTACTATGTTCTTGAACACTAGAACCTATTCCTTCTGTCTAACTGTATGTTTGTATGCATTAACCAACCTCTCCTCATCCCACCCCACCCCACCTCCCACCATACACACGCATACCTCTCCTAGCCTCAGGGAACTATCTAAAGAACCTAGAATTAAAGATGTATTAGTCCCTGCCCTGACCCTTTCCAGCTCTGGAAGCTTTCCTGATCTTTCCTGAGTAGGGCGCTTAACCCGTGGAACACGTTTCCTCTTTCTGTGTGAAGTAAGGGGTTTGGATTAAGTAATCCCCGAGGCCCCTTCCTGGATTCTCCCTAAGGATTGGTCCAGAGCAGAAACCAATGCCCCGGAAGATAAGCTTGATGACCACACCACCGACTCTTACCTAAGACGTTGCTTCATTAAACATATCTGATCAGTGGACCATATGCTGTTCTTCTGTAGCATAAATTTTGAATGGTTTAGTTGAATTTCCGAATAAAGCAAGGAGTGGGTGGGCGGTGGTGGGAAATCCACACTGATGGTGTGCTCTCAGAGGACGCCTCCCCTGATGTAGCATTTATTTTGGAGAGTTTTGTGTTTTTGAGACAGGATCTTGTTCTGCCACCAGGTTAGAATGCAGTGGTGCATTCACAGTTCACTGCAGCCTTGACCTCCTGGCTCAGTTGATCCTCCCGCCTCAGCCTCCTGAGTAGCTGGGACTGTAGGCATATGCCACTATGCCTGGCAAACTTGTAATTTTTGGAGAGAAATTTAAATAGGCTGTGTACTCCATGCCGTGTAGGTACTGGGGTGTCACAATAGAAAATGATAGTATTATGTCTGCCCTAGAAGTATGGCCCAGTCAACGTAGCCCCATCATAACAAAAATCCAAACACTCAGGACATTGTTATCCCTGTTGTTTTCCAGAGAGCCGTATAATGCACTGCTTTTTCTTTCCTGATCAGTTTGTTTGGTAGGAGAGAACTGTTGTTCCCTGTTCTCCCAGAAAATGCCAATAACTGACTCACAGATTGCCTCATCTCCAGCCAAGATTCTGTTTTGTATGTAAGCAAAGTTTTTCTCTTGATACAATAACATGTTTGATGCAACTCACATTTTTGCATATTAAGTTACTGATAAATAAGTGAAATGTTTGCTTTCAGTATTAGGACCAGTCTTCGACATTAAGGTGCTCTTGTTTTTCACCTCTTTCTTTGAAATTGCTCTAAGATGATGAACATCTGTCGCTTGCTACTTGTCTAATGTCTCAATCTAATCAAAGATTCTTTCTGTTAAGAATTTGAACTATGTGGAATAAGAGCAGTATCTTGCTGTGTCCTTTCCAGAAAAATCCTCAGATCATGTATCTAGAACAGGAGTTAGAAAGCCTGAAAGCTGTGTTAGAGATCAAGAATGAGAAACTGCATCAACAGGACATCAAGTTAATGAAAATGGAGAAACTGGTATGTTTCCTTCAGAATGAAAGAGGATCTTACAAATGGGGTAATATGTGTGAAATTGAGCCCTGCATTTTAGAACTGTGGAGTTGGGTTAACTGCTCCTAAAGATATTTAGAAATTATACAAAAGATAAAGTTCACATTTTCTTTCCAAGTTTGTTCCATATTTATTCATTGCTGCCTCCTAGAATGTTTTCTTTTTCAAGGAACATGTAAAACAGCACCCAGTCCTTGGAAAAACTACAAACAAATCAGGCTTATATTTCAGTGGTATTTTGGATCTTCACCTGCATAAGAAAAATGTTTAAATATCTATGTAAAATCAGTACTTTAATATACCAGCCACCCTGGACAGGTTTCTTAGATCCAAAACAGTTGGATACGTTTAATAGAAATGAATAGAAATGAATTTAATAGAAATGAATAGCAATACTATTTATCAAAATTCTTCATCTTGCTTCTTGTGAATTAGCATGTGATAAAAGAATCGTGGGCTGGGCGCAGTGGCTCATTCCTCTAATGCCAGCAGTTTAGGGAGGTTGAGATGGGTGGGTCACTTGAGGTCAGGAGTTCGAGACCAGCCTGGCCAACATGGTGAAACCCTGTCTCTACTAAAAATATAAAACTTAGCCGGGTGTGGTGGTGGGTGCCTGTAATCCCAAGTACTGGGAAGGTGGAGGTTCCATTGAGGTGAGATGGCACCAGTGCATTCCAGCCTGGGCGACATAGCAAGACTCCATCTCAAAAAAAAAATTGTGCTATAATAAGATTAATCCATTTGGACAAGTAGCAGGTGTTACCAAAAATATGAATTAACATTCACTTTGCAGTGTCTAGAACAGAGAACGATGTTAGTGTGAGTGGCATGTTCAGTGTTCAGCGTCAGTCTTGGCCCGGCCCTGAAATACAGCTGCTGCCAGCCAGGACTCTAACCAAGTTGGCAGAGTTTGGCAAGGCAGCTTAAGTGATCCCCGCCCTCGCGGTGCCTTGCTGTTGACTGTCCAGCTGCCGCATGCTACTGGCCTCTTCTCCCCACAGTGATGAGTGACTCAGGCTTCTACAAGTGCCTCATTCAAACCCAAACCAGCCCTGGACAGTAGGGGACATGGGGGACCTCTCTGCTGCTTGGTTTGTGTTGGTTTGGCGTTTGGTTTTCTTCTGGAGACTATGACTTCTGTTGAGGGAGATAACGGCCAAGCCCCTGTGTGGATATACCAGCATTTTGAATTATCAGGAAATTTTTGTAAAGGAAGGAAAGGAACTCATGGTTGTTAATGGGCCAACCTAGTATACATACCAGTTCCTGCCAAAGGTCGTCCTGTTCGACTGAGTCTGGTATCTTCTAATCTGGTAGTCAGGGATGACTCAGATGATCCTGTTAATAGGACTGCTCCATATGCCATTCATGCATCAAAACTTTCAAAAAATCATGTGCAATAAATCAGACTTTGCTGTAAACTTACCAACACATTTAATTTCTGATGATCTACTATTTGTTTCTTGCCATGCCCCAGAGGTATCCTGATAATATCCTTCAGCCTTGCATTGTGTATGTGTGCAAGAATGAGTTGATACAATGAGAGGGAGACCCACTGTTCCCTTCATATTTGTAAATTACAGGCCTCTGATGAAATTAAGAGACTTAGAAGCACAGGAAGTTTTCTAAGAAAGACAGCTTTCCCATGAAACCGGCACTGCCCATAATCAGCTCTGTGACATTATTAGGACTAGTTTCCCTAGGATGAGATATTTAAAGGACAATACCTCCCAATCTCAAATTCCAGGTTTTTTTCCACGTTGTTTTATCTGGGAATCCTTCATAATTACTGAACGTAGACTCCTTTTCTGGAAAGTGATTTAACCTGAACAGGTTGTCCTGAGCTGCTTCTGGATAACAGGATGTCTTAAGAACAATCAGGTTCCAAACTAAGCAACATACTCAAAGCGCGTTAGTCCTGCTACAAGGACAAGGACTTAGACTTAATCCTGACGGAGCTATAATATTGCCTCTTCATAAAGCCTTACCTTTAGAAAGTGAGTGGGGGATGGAATCAGGTCTTCATCATGTTAAGTGATTAAATGTCCTCAGGCATCTTATCCTTTCATCTCTCCGCTGATCAGTTTGTTTGCCTTGAAAGTTCAGCCTGCACAGGGCAGCAAGAGAACAGACCTATCTATCTTCAGCTGACCTGAGGAGACTCGTGGCATGTTACTTCTTTGATGGCATGCTCTAAGAGCTCTATCGAATTGAAGCTTTGTATGGCCACTCAGACGCAAATGCTGAAAACTTACCATGAAACTGAGTTCAAGTCCATAGTAAACGTTGCCAGGGACTGTGAATTGCTGGCCTGTGAGTTTTCATCAGATGTGGGAATCTTTTTTTTTTTTTTTCCAGCAAAATTCACCGTAAGGAGATAGATAAGCTTTGATAAGTGTGGGCAGTGTGTCTGCAGGGTTTATTTCACATTGAAACAGAAAGAGGCACCAATTCTTAGAGAATTCCAAAACAACATGACCTGGAACAAATCTGTTACCCACTCGTATCAATATTTAAGTGTCCTGGCATACATGTTTTAAAAATACCCAGCCGCTCTGTTTTGCTGTTTTAAAATCTTTTTCAGTATGTTTGTTAGTGTATAAATATTTTAATATGGAATTGCATTTTCCTTAATTAAATCTCCAAAGTGTGCTTGTGTCGTGAGGTGCCTTAAGAAATGAGGGGTTTTTTTTTTAATATTGTATAAATGTTGGAATTCTTGTTTATGCCAAGGTGGACAACAACACAGCATTGGTTGACAAATTGAAGCGTTTCCAGCAGGAGAATGAAGAATTGAAAGCTCGGATGGACAAGCACATGGCAATCTCAAGGTAAAAATAAAACAGTGCTGTTTCTCCCGAGCTCCCCGCTCCCTTGGACATCCAGTGTACTTTCTGGACACGCTCTACCCCTGCACCTCCTGGAAATATGATGGAAGCAGATGGTTAAAAGGGCATTGATTTCTCTGTGGAAAATATGATTGTAGTAGTTCATGCTTTTACCAAAGCGGCCTGAAAACTGTACACTGAGACCCAGGCCAGCAAGCCTGCTCCCACGGCCTCTGGCTGCCTCTGAGAATGCTTTCAGACAAAGAGCAACACAAAACCAAATAGAAAACAGCCTGCAACATAAGGTAGTCATAAAACATGTCGAATATTTGCAAAAGTGGCTCTCAGCCTACTATGAAATTGCCCAAAAAGTACAGTTATTATTATATATTTTTTTGAGATGAGGTCTCACTCTTCTGCCCAGGCTGGAGTACAGTGGTGTGATCTTAGCTTACTGCAGCCTCCACCTCCTAGGCTCGAGCAGTCCTCCCACCTCAGCCTCCTGAGTAGCTGGGACTACAGGCACATGTCACCATGCGTGACTAATTTTTGTATTTTTAATAGAGACAGAGTTTCGCCATGTTGCCCAAGTTGATCTTGAACTCCTGGCCTCAAGTTATCCACCCACCTTGGCCTCCCAAGGTGCCAGGATTATGAGCTTGAGCCACCACGCCCGGCCTGTGTTTGGGTTTTCTTAGCCAGCCAAATACCTGTGACCTTGTGCAGGATTCTGTTTTATCCCAAAGGAATAATTTTGGACTTTAAAGTTTCAAACGCTAAGAAAAATTTTTCAAGTTTTTTTTTTTTTTACATAGATCTCATGGTTTCTGGCCTTTTTCTTCAAGGCAGCTTTCCACGGAGCAGGCTGTTCTGCAAGAGTCGCTGGAGAAGGAGTCGAAAGTCAACAAGCGACTCTCTATGGAAAACGAGGAGCTTCTGTGGAAACTGCACAATGGGGACCTGTGTAGCCCCAAGAGATCCCCCACATCCTCCGCCATCCCTTTGCAGTCACCAAGGAATTCGGGCTCCTTCCCTAGCCCCAGCATTTCACCCAGATGACACCTCCCCAAAGTCCACAGACTCTCTGAAAGCATTTTGATGCAGGTCTGCAGGACTGACCCCAAGGAGGAACGTGGGCACAAGAGGTATATCAGCACACGTGTGATCACCGTAGGGTAACTGGAGCGTCACCACCGGCGGAATCGCAGCTTCTGAGACTGGAACTCTGGAGGAAGACTTTTGCCTCCGTCCAAAAGATTCCTCCAAAAAAAGATTTAAAAAAAGATTTCGGCATCGACACGGACGTTGTTGCACAAAGCACTTAAAGAACGAGAGCATCTTGTTCATTGCCTTTTTCACCTAAGCATAGGGGGAAAAACTCTCAGGGCCCTATTAAGATTTATAACCTTTGTAATGTTCTTCACCACAGACACCTTCTTGTGAGTTTTCAGTCTGACTGTGGGGGTGGGGGGTGTGAATGAAATGGATGTCACAGAGTGTCATGTGTCTGATGCAGCCTCCTCTGCTGTGTATTAAATGTCAAAATCTGAATATATCTGGATATGTACTAATCAAATAATAATCAATCAATCAGCATATACATTTCAGCCAAAGCCATAGAAGAAAAAGCAATAGTTGCTTGAATTATGATCATCTACCACCAACTCTGCTCAGCCCTGTAACAGGGTAGGGAGAGGGTATAACAGGAAGAGCTTTGACTTGTCCCTGTCTATACATTCTCTGTATCTTTTGGGGGTAACTTCTTGGCAGTTTTTCAGTGTTCAGCCATGTCAGTTGAAACTAGATTTTTCTGTAGATTTTTTACTTACCCATGTGAGCCTAACACTATCCTGTAATTCATTTTCTCAGGCTATGTGTAAATGTAGAACCCTAATTTTTCTATAAAAAAACAAACTAACTAACTAACTGTGTAAAGAAAGAAAAAGGGAAGTACCAATGGGTTTTTCCACCTTATTTTTACCTTTGATCTACCCTTGCAGATTTAACCTGTCTTCTTCCCTCCCATTATTCTCATTTTCCTTTTACCTTTCTCCACCATCCAGAGCCACAAAAGCAAACCTTCTACCTCCTACCTACTTTTCTCTGGGACAAGGATAAAGGAATATGATTTTCCAGAGCCCCAGAGCCAGCTCATCTTCCAGGTGCTGAAACCACTTTCCAAATAAACTAAAGCCTGGATTTGATATTACAAATTTTGGGAAATCTTAGAATAAAGAACGAGAACAAGGAAGTCATTGGCTAGTATAATTAAGAAAGGTAGGATTCAGTGCTTACCGATGATGCAGTACTTGATAGAAGAAAACAGTCTGGGAGGATAGCGCTCATTTTTCAGTTACCCTTTAAGGAGTCCCTTTGTCTTTGGGAAAGTAGCAGAATGGTCCGCTTCTTTCCCATGAGTGGAAAATGTGGCTTGTCCAACTCTCCTCCAGGTTGCATTTCAGTTTCTTTCCAAAACTTATTACCTCCCCTAATCCTGAGACTTTGGAAAAGGTGGAAGGAAGAACTGTTGCTTTATCTCCCCCTCCCTGCATGTGTCAACATTGTGATGTCAGTATTTACTAATCTACATTCAGTGGCTGTACAAATAACAGCTGTAGTAAGAAGAGATTCAGGATGCTAGAGGTGAATATTTGGGTCATTTACATGTACACTACATAGCAAGTTGATACTCATGTTGCATGTTCTTTTAAATTAGTGATTTTGTGTCTTAAGTCTTTAACTTCCAATACTTCATCATGTATGTAACCTTCCATGTTTGCTTCTGATAAATGGAAATGTAGGTTCACTGCCACTTCATGAGATATCTCTGCTCACGCTTCCAAGTTGTTCTCAATGACATTAGCCAAAGTTGGGTTTGCCATTCATCCCCTAGGCATGGTAAATCTTGTGTTGTTCCCTGCTGTCCTCCGTATTACGTGACCGGCAAATAAATCTCATAGCAGTTAATATAAAACATCTTTGGAGGATGGGAGAGAACAGGAGGGAAGATGGGAAACAAAATAGAGAATTCTTAAGATTTTGTTTAAACCAAATGTTTCATGTAGAATGCAAAATGTTGGCACGTCAAAAATATGAATGTGTAGACAACTGTAGTTGTGCTCAGTTTGTAGTGATGGGAAGTGTATTTTACTCTGATCAAATAAATAATGCTGGAATACTCAAGAATTGCATCCTCTGACCTACTTCATTCTTCAAATTCTTCATTTTTACAGCCCTGTGACAGCACAGTAAAGGTCGTATCTCCTCTTAGTTTATATTTCCCAGGAATTTCCACTGCAACCGCAGAGTTGGTCATGGGCTCACAGAGCTAGAGTGAGAGGTAAGCTCTTCTTCTCTAAATTCAAAGCTATCTATGTTTGACAAATAAATTTTGGCTGGCTGTAACAATTTCTGCTGTATAAGAAAATTGGACAAACTTGGTAAATATTTTTGAATATCGTAAAAAATGTCTAAACAAAGTTGAATGTTCTTAATCTATGCATCTATTTCATATTGAAAGCTAAACTTCTAAAAACTTGTTCTAGTTATTGAATAGACTAATCTACAATTACACCTTTGAGTGCAGCAGTTTAAAAAAATGAAGTGTCCTTGAATTTTTTCAGTACCTTCATAAATTAACTCACATTTGTTAAAGTTGCTACTAAGACAAAATGACATTTCTAAGCATTTGAGTCTGGAGTTGTTGCTTGTGGGTAAGTAGTTGAACTGTATCTAGTACATTTTAAAATTCTAATATATTGCGGTGATATAAAAGAGAATACTTGGTATTGACCCACGTATCACCACCACCAAGTCTTTCTGGATGTATTTTAAGTCAACTTAACTTAAAAAACACTTATCCCACTTTTTATTTTTTACAAAAACGTGCTCATTTAATAGAAATGATTGATTATATAAAATTGTTTACACATGTATAAAAACTAGGAACACGTATGTAGGTAAGCAATCAAAATCATGCTTTCTGTTAGAAAAGTTAACACTTCTGTGAATAGACTGGATGACTTCCTTTTAGTTTGGATGTCTGGGTCGGACTCACGAGACGCTGGGGTTGGGGTGTGGTGCTTGACATCAGCCTCTGGCAAAGCACTAATAAAAGGAACCCCAAAGCTGACTGTGTACACAAATGGGCTTTCCATAAGTTCATTACATTTCCTTTTCCAAGTCAGGAAAACTCAACAGTGGTAGCTACTGTGGTCTGTCCTTGAAGATTCTGAGCAGTGCAAATGTAATATCCTGCATCAATCGTCTCAAAGTCTTCCACTGTAATGACACTCTGGGAGATTCTCGTGGTGTGTCCCAGTCCTCTGTGGATCAACCTCCAAGTGTCTTGGATCGTCACAGGCCTTTCATCCTGTTTAACGACACCCACAAAGACTGAAGCAAGAGGGACAAGCTGCTATAAAGAGCTCCCACTCACCCAACACTGTTGAGCGTTCCTTTCAGAGAGCAAAGCACATGCTTATAAAAGACTGTTTAGTATGCGTAGCTCATAAGCTGTGGAAGCTTCTACACTGGAATCATTTTAGGTTGCATTTTTTCCAAACAGCCCTTGAATTTCATTACGTTGTTTGGCACTGTCTTTCTGCCCTTTTCTTCTGTAAGGTTTTACTTAATCTAAAATGTATGCTTTTAGAACTCCAAGGAAGTGGAACTGGTATTAAGCATAAGCAGGGACAAAATTTTCCACTGGCCCCGTTCTTCACATTGCCCACTTTCTTTTCCTAGCTAAGTGGTTCTTACCTACAGAACTGAAAGTCAGTAGCCTGAAAAAGCACCCACTGTATAAATGACTAAGAGCTCCCAATTGCTCAGATTTGAGAGAGGGAGAAGTATGATTAGGCCAGTGTGCCTTAGGACTCTAGTGGGAGAAAAGTTGTACCAAGGATGGGTAAGATAATGTACTACATGACAGGACCCCTATTTCTACAAAGTGCGATGGTCACTTTTGAGATGTCCACCCAACTCCAGTGATAAGAACATAGTATTTTCTGAATTCATGTAACAGAACTAATATATCACTAAGTGAATACCTTTTCTCATAAAATACCAAATAGCAATGTGGCGGGGACCTCTATTGAAAATCATCAATGTCCTGTAAGTATGACCAACACGTTTGATAATCAAGTGCCTGGTACCAGGATGCCGGAAAACACTATTCCCCAGAGACAGTTATTTTCTACCAATCACAGCCCATAGGCCAGAAGGATGTCAGCTACTTAATGTGTCTTGTGGAGGCCAAATCTCTTCTGGCAACAAAGGGATTATTCCGTGCTGGGAGCAGAGCTGTTATTTTAGCAAGCAGAACATGCACAAGGGCTAAATACGCTGCAATTGCTTTTATGAGAAGTCTACTTTAAAATTATCTCTGGCCTCACAGCACCTTTTTGGCGTGGTCTATGTCCACTTGGTGGATGTCTGCTCACAGCAGCTTGCCATGGGCACAGCTTGTATAGAGAACACTCTAGCCAAGTGAAACACAGGAATAGAAAGGAGCAGCAGAAAGAGCCCTATGGGCTCTCTCAGTCCCCAAGGAAGCCATTTCTGACTTTGTCTCACAGAGATCCCTGGAGAGGGCTACCAGAGAAACTGGGAAAAGACCACAGGGAGAAGGAAACTTCTAGCTGAACTTTGTAACAATTTTGACCAAACACAGTTTCCTGGACAGAACTCGGGTGAGGGGGTGAAGCAGGAGTGCAGACACAGCACAGAAACCGTGGCAGGTAGGAGATGTGAAATCTGAAAACCCTGTTTGCTTTCTTATCCAAGAGGCTGGTAGCCTGGGACAAGTTCTCAACCCTGCTCATCCACTGCCTAGAAACAAACTCGGTGCTGTTGGCAGGGACAGAGGGAGTGAGACCGGCCCTTTGGGCTACGTGGGAGCTGGGTGAGGCCTGTAACTGCTGGCTTTCCCCCACTTCCCTGGTGACCTGCATGACACAGCAGAGCAGCCATAATCCCCTGAGGAACATAACCCCATTGGCCTGAGAACCACACCGCCAGTCCCAACAGCAGCCATAGCAAGACCCGCCCAAGGAGAGTGTCTGAGCTCAGACACGCCTAGCCCACCCCCAACTAATGGTCTTTTTCTACCCACCCTGGTAGCCGAAGACAAAGGACATAATCTCTTGGGAGCTCTAGGGTCCTGCCCACCACCTGATCCTCCCTATACTACTGCAGCTAATGCTGTCTTTAAAGTGCCACCTCCTGGCAGAAGACCAACACAAAACTAGTGCAATAAACGAAACTACAACTAAGGACCCTCACAGAGTTCATCCATTTCACTCCCCTGCCACCTCCATTAGAGCAGCTGCTGGCATCCATGGCTGAGAGACCTGAGACATCAAAGGACTCTGTACAGGCACCACTAAGTACCAGCCCAGAGCCCAGTAACTCTGCTGGGTGGCTAGATACAGAAGAGAAATAACAATCACTGCAGTTTGGCTCTCAGGAAGCCACACACATAGGGGAAGGGGGAGAGCACTGTATCAAGAGAGCACCCCATGGGACAAAAGAATATGAAGAGCAGCCCTTGAGCCCCAGATCTTCCCTCTACCATAGTCTACCCAAATAAGAAGGAACCAGTAAAACAATTCTGGTAGTATTTCAAAACAAGTTTCTTTAACACCCCAGAAGATCACACTAGCTCACCAGCAATTTATCCAATCCAAAAAGAAATCCCTGAATTGCCAGAAAAAGAATTCAGAAGGTCAGTTATTAAGCTACTCAAGGAGGCATCAGAGAAAGGTGAACTCCAACTTAATTAAATCAAAAAAGATACAGGATATGAAGGGAAAAATCTTCAGTGAAATAGATAGCAAAAATAGAAAACAATCATAATTTCTGGAAATGAAGAACACACTTAGAGAAATGCAAAATACATTGGAAAGTCTTAGCAATAGAACTGAACAACCAGAAGAAAGAACTTCAGAACTCGAACATCAGATTTTTGGATTAACCCAATCGAACAAAGACAAACAAAAAAGAATTTAAAAGAATGAACAAAGCCTCCAAGATGTTTGGGATTATATTAAACAAACAAACCTAAGAATAATTGGTGTTCCTGAGGAAGAGGAGAAATCTAAAAGTTTGAAAGACATATTTGAGGGAGTAATCAAAGAAAACTTCCCTGGCCTTGCTAGAGAGCTACACATCTGAATACAAGAAGCTCAAAGAACACCTGAGAAATTCATTGCAAAAAGATCGTCACCTAGGCACAGAGTCATCAGGTTATCTAAAGCGAAGATGAAGGAAAGAATCTTAAGAGCTGTGAGGCAAAAGCACCAGATAACTTATAAAGGAAAACATGTCAGATTAACAGCAGATTCCTCAGCAGAAACCCTACAAGCTAGAAGAAATTGAGGCCCTACCTTCAGCCTCCTTAAACAAAAGAATCATCATCTAAGAATTTTGTGTACAGCAAAACTAAGCTTCATAAATGAAGGAGAGATACAGTCTTTTTCAGACAAACAAATGCTGAGAAAATTCGCCACTACAAACCCAGCACTGTAAGAAATGCTAAAAGGAGCACTAAATATTGAAACAAATCCTTGAAATACACCAAAATAGAACCTTCTTAAAGCATAAATCTCATAGGACCTATAAAACAAAAACACAATAAATAAATAAATAAATAAAAACCAAGGTATTCGGGCAACAAATAGCAAGATGAATAGAATAGTACCTCACATCTGAATACTAATGTTGAATGTAAATGGCCTAAATGCTCCATTTAAAAGATTCAGAATGGCAGAATGGGTAAGAAGTCACCAACCAAGTATCTGCTGTTTTGAAGAGACTCACCTAACAAATAGGACTAACATAAACTTATGGTAAAGGGCTGGGAAAAGATATTCCATGCAAAGGGACACCAAAGTGAGCAGGAGTAGCTATTCTTTTTGTTTGTTTTGTTTTGTTTGAGACAGAGTCTCACTCTGTCGGCCAGACTGGAGTGCAATGGCTCAATCTTGGCTCAATGCAACCTCCACCTCCCAGGTTCAAGTGATTCTTGTGCCTCAGCCTCCTTAGTAGCTGGGATTACAGGTGCAGGCCTGTCTTATAGAGGAGTAGCTGTTCTTATATCAGACAGAACAAACGTTAAAGAAACAGCAGTTAAAAAAGAGAAAGACGGACATTATGTAATGATAAAAGGACTTGCCCAACAGGAAAATATCACAATTATATATATATATATATATATATATATATATATATATATATATATATATGCACCTAATGCCAGAGCTCCCAAATTTATAAAACAATTACTGTTACACCTAAGAAATGAGATAGACTGCAACACAGTAATAGTGGGGAACTTCAATACTCCACTGTCAGCAATAGATAGGTAATCAAGACAGAACATCAACAAAGAAACAATGGATTTAAACTATAACCTAGAACAAATGGACTTAAGGGCTATTTGTAGAACATTCGACCCAACAACTGCAGAATATACATTCTATTCATCAGCACATGGAACATTCTCCAAGAGAGACCATATCATAAGCCACAAAACAAGTTTCAATAAATTTAAGAAAACTGAAATTATATCAAGTACTCTCTCAGACCACGGTGGAATAAAATTGGAACTCAATTCCAAAAGCAACCCTCAAAACATACAAACACATGGAAATTAAATAACCTGCTCCTGAATGATCACTGGGTCAAGAATGAAATCACGATGGAAGTTAAAAAATTATTTGAACTGAATGAAAATAGTAGCACAACCTATCAAAACCTCTGGTATACAGCAAAGGCAGTGCTAAGAGGAAAGTTCATAGCATTAAATGACTACATCAAAAAGTCTGAAAGAGCACAAATAGACAATCTAAGGTCACACCTCAAGGACTGGAAAAACCAGAACAAACCAAACCCAAACATAGCAGAACAAAAGAAATAAAGATCTGAGCAGAACTGAATGAAATTGAACCAAAAAAATACAAAAGATAAACAAAAAGCTGATTCTTTGAAAAGATAAATAAAACTGATAGACTATTAACAAAATTAACCAAGAAGATCCAAATAAGCTTCAGTTAGAAATGAAACAAGATATTACAACCAATACCACAGAAATACAAAAGATAATTCAAGGCTACTGTGAACAGCTTTACATACTCAAGCTAGAAAACCTAGAAGAGATGGATAAATTCCTGGAATTATACCACCCTCCTAGATTAAACCAGGAAGAAAGAGAAACTCTGAACAGACCAATAACAAGCAGTGAGATTGAAATGGTAATTTAAAAAACTGCCAACAAAAATAAGCCCAGAATCAGATGGATTCACAAATGAATTCTATCAGACATTCTAAGAACTGGTATCAATCCTATCAACATTATTTCACAAGACAGAGAAAGAAGGAATCCTCCCTAAATCATTCTGTGAAGCCAGTATCACCCTAATACCAAAACCAGGAAAGGACATAACAAAAAAGAGAAAACTATAGACCAACATGTTTGATGAATATAGATGCAAAAATCCTTAACAAAATACTAGCTAACCAAATCCAACAGCATATCAAATAGATAGTCCACCATGATCAAATGGGTTTCATACTGGGGTGGTTTAACATACACAAGACATTAATGGGATACACCACATAGAATTAAAAACAAAAAATCACATGATCATCTCAACAGACACACAAAAAACATTTGACAAAATCCAGCATCCCTTTATGATTAAAACCCTCAGCAAAATTGGCATAGAAGGGACATACCTTAAGGTAATGAAAACTGTCTATACTGAATGGGAAAAAGTTGAAAGCATTTCCCCTGAGAACTGCAACAAGACAAGGATGCCCACTTGCATTCAACATAGTACTGGAAGTCCTCGCCAGAGCAATCAGACAAGAGAAAGAAATAAAGGGCATCCAAATCAATAAAGCGAAGTCAAACTGTCGCTGTTTGCTGATGATGTAATCATATACCTAGAAAACCCTAAAGACTCCTCCAAAAAGCTGCTAGAACTGATAGATGAATTTAGCAAAGTTTCAGGATACAAAATTAATGTAAACAAATCAGTAGCTCTGCTATAAACCAACAGCAACCAAGCTGAGAATCAAATCAATAACTCAACCCCTTTTATAATAGCTGCAAAAAATATATATACTCAGAAATATACCTAATCAAGGAGGTGAAAGACCTCTGCAAGGAAAACTACAAAACACTGCTGAAAGAAATCATAGATGACACAAACAAATGGAAACACATCGCATGCTCATGGATGGGTAGAATCAATATTGTGAAAATGACCATACTGCGAAAAGCAATCCACAGATTCAATGCAATTCCCACCAAAACACCACCATCATTCTTCACAGAACTAGAAAAAACAATCCTAAAATTCATGTGGAACCAAAAAAGAATCTGCAGAGCCAAAACAAGACTAAGCAAAAAAAAAAAACAAATCTAGAGGCATCCCATTACCTGACTTCAAACTATACTATAAGGCCATAGTCACCAAAACAGCATGGTACTGGTATAAAAATAGCACATAGACCAGTGGAACAGAATAGAGAACCCAGAAATAAACCCAAATACTTACACTGATCTTTGACAAAGCAAACAAAAGCATAAAATGGGGAAAGGACACCCTATTCACCAAATGGTGCTGGGATAATTGGCAAGCCAAATGTAGATGATGAATAAGACTGAATCCTTATCTTTCACCTTATACAAAAATCAACTCAAGGTGGATCAAATACTTAAATCTAAGACCTGAAACCATAAAAATTCTAGAAGATAACAGTGGAAAAACCTTTCTAGACATTGGCTTAGGCAAAGAGTTCATGACCAAGAACCAAAAAGCAAATGCAACAAAAACAAAGATAGATCGGGCTTAATTAAACTAAAAAACTTCTGCACAGCAAAAGAAATAATCAGTAGAATAAACACACAACCCACAGAGTGGGAGAAAATTTTTGCAATCCATACATCTGAAAAAGGACTAACACCCAGAATCTACAAGGAACTCAAACAAATCAGCAAGAAAATAACAATCCCATCAAAAATTGGGCTTAGGACATGAATAGACAATTCTCAAAAGACATACCAAAGTCCAACAAACATATGAAAACGTACTCAACATCACTAATGATTAGGGAAATGCAAATCAAAACCACAATGTGATACCACCTTACTCCTGCAAGAATGGCCATAATTTAAAAATTAAAAAATAATCGATGTTGGCATGGATGTGGTGAAAAGGCAACACTGTTACACTGCTGGTGGGAATGTAAACTAGTACAACCACTATGGAAAACTGTGGAGATTCCTTAAAGAACTAAAAGTAGAACCACCATTTGATCCAGCAATCCCATTACTGGGTATCTACCCAGAGGAAAAGAAGTCATAATATGAAAAAGATATTTGAACACATGTTTACAGCAGTACAATTCACAAGTGCAAAAATATGGAACCAGCTCAAATGCCCATCAATCAATGAGTGGATAAAGAAATGTAGTATATATACCATGGAATACTACTCAGCCATAAAAAGGAATTAAATAATGGCATTTGCAGCAACCTGGATGGAGACCATTATTCTAATTGAAGTAATTCACAAATGGAAAACCAAACATGGTATGTTCTTACTGTTAAATGCGAGCTAAGCTATGAGGATGCAGACATAAGAATGACACAATGAACTTTGGGGATTCAGGGGAAAGGGTTGGGGGGAGGGGTGAGAGATAAAAGCCTATACATTGGGTATAGTGTACACTGCTCAAGTGATGGATACACCGAAATCTCAGAAATCATCTAAGGAACTTATTCACGTAACACACACCTACTGTTCTTAAAAACCGATTGAAATCAAAAATGACAAAATATATTAAAAACAAAGAGAACACTCTGAAGGACCCCAGGAGGAGGTTAGATTAGACTCTAGTTGGCCCAGAAGATGGGATTGAAAGACTGAGGTGGGGGCAGGAGGAAAGAGGGAGATCCTTCATTTCCCTTTCCTCCCAATGTCCTTTTTTTTAAAAAAAAACCTTTTATTTTAGGTTCAGGGGTATATGTGCAAGTCTGTTATATAGGTAAACTCGTGTCATGAAATGACAGATCATTTCCTCACCCAGGTATTAATATTCAGCCTAGTACCCATTAGTTATTTTGCCCGATCTTCTCCCTCCTCCCACCCTCCACCCCCAGGTAGGCCCCAGTGTGTGTTCCCCTCTATATGTCCATGTAGTCTAATCATTTAGCTCCCACTTAAAAGTGAGAACATGAGGTATTTGGTTTTCTGTTTCTGTGTTAGTTTGCTAAGGATAATGGCCTCCAGCTCCATTTGTGTTCCTGCAAAGGACATGATCTCATTCTTTTTCATGGCTGCATAGTATTCTTTGGTGTATATGTACTATGTTTTCTTTATCCAGTCTACCATTGAAGGGCATTTAGGTTGATTCCATGTCTTTGGTATTGTGAATGGCGCTGCAATGAGCATTACTGTCCTTTCTTACTTAAGGGTTTAAAAAAAAAAAAACCTGCATATGAAGAGGGTACATTGAGCAAACTGACTAATGAAACTCAATCTCTTATTTCCTGTCCTTAAAAGAAATTCATTTTTAAATATACCGAAACATCTTCAAAAAAAACAAACAATACCTGGCCCCCAACATAGCCCCACATGTTTCTTGCACTTCTGAAGTTATGGCATATAGCACTGGGTGGGGACGAAGCTGTGAATTAAAATGGCTGGCTGAGATGCAGAGGCTGAGACGCAGGGGCTGAGATGCAGGTACAACACTTACCTTCTGCCCTGGGAAGATCCAGGTGAACTCCACCTCCACATCGGGCTCCCCCAGGACAGTGCAGAGCACACTGATGTCGTCCCCACTTTTCACTTTGTTTGAAGAAGCCAAGATGGTTGTTGAGGGAGGGCCACTGGGAACTGGAAGCAAGCACGAAACAGGCAGAGTGAGACCCCGAGTGTAACCTTGAAAACAAACCTACAGATGCATTCTTTTCCATGGAGAGAGATGGAATTTTCTGCCTTTCTCACAGCTCCCTGACCAGTGCGAGGACAGTGTGAGCCCACAACTTGGGGCTTCCTTTGAAGCCACCTTTATCTGTTGACCTTGGTGGTCTGGAATGGGGTAGGCACCAGGACTCCCAGGACAGCCTCCAAGACTGTGATTAGGAGAGGAAGCTCAGAGGTCCATCAGTGGTCATGTGAAGAGAATGAAGAGGTGAGGGGGAAGAAGTCCCTAGGGAAGAAGCAGGGAGGAAGTACTGGGTGGTGGTGTCCACAGGGGTGGCAGGGAGCAGATAGGTGTGTGGCTGACCATCCGCAGAAGACGAACAGAAAATCTAAATGTACAGATGTGAAAGATGTTTGGGCATGAGTGCTACCTGGGTCTGCAGTGCCTTTGCCTCATCATGTTTCAGAAACAAATTTCTTCATTATGGGGAATTCACTCAACAAGCTGTCTATTTATTTAGAAATGGGGTCTCTGTCACCCAGGCTGGAGTGCAGCTGCGCGATCTCGGCTCACTGCAAGTTCTGCCTCCCGGGTTCACACCATTCTCCTGCCTCAGCCTCCAGAGTAGCTGGGACTACAGGCGCCTGCCAACAGTGGTGCAATCTTAACTCTCTGCAGCCTCAAACTCCTGCATCCTGGAGGAAAGCTCAAGCCATCCTCCCACCTGTGCCTTCTGAGTAGCTAGGATTAAGGTATGAGCCACTGCACCTGGCTAGTTTTTCAGTTTTTTTGGTCTATGTTGCCCAAGCTGATCTGCAACTCATGGCCTCAAGCAATTCTCATGCCTTGACCTCCCATAGTGCTGGGATTACAGGTGTGTTAATGAGCAATTTTGATGGCAGCCTTGAGAAATGCTATGTGCTAGCAGGTGGGCCTAGAGCAGGGAGGGTGATGGACCTGATCTCTGAGCCCTTGGAATCTGTATTCTAGCAAAGGGGCGGGACACTGAGTGAGTCATCGTATGGTTAATTTAAAATGCTGTGTTAAAAGCTATGAAGCAGAAGCCCAGAGTACTCCAAAAGGCCAGAATAGAACAGTCTGAGAGCCAGGAAGGGCTTCCTTGAGGAAGCGCTGTTTGAACTAAAATCTCAAGGCCGAGCTTCAGAGACAGGAACAGGAGAAGCAGGGAGACACCAGCAGGCTGGGAATGCCCATGTTCATGGCCCTGGGTGAGAGGCAGTGGCGGAGTGGAGGAGGGCTGGGGAGAGGAGGGGAGGGAGGAGTGAGACCTGGATGGGGAGGAGGACAGAGGTGAGTCCATGTGAGGCCATTCAGGCCACGCAAAGGATTTGGACTTTGTTTCTGGGAGAAGTGGGAACCTACTGATTGGTTTAATTAAAATCAGGGAACGGGCACAGTGGCTCACTCCTGTAATCCCAGCACTTTGGGAGGCTGAGGTGGGCAGATCACCTGAGGTCAGGAGTTCGAGGCCAGCCTGGCCAACATGGTAAAACCCCATCTCTACTAAAAGTACAAAATTAGCTGGGCATGGTGGCGCATGCCTGTAATCCCAGATACTGAGCCTGAGACAGGAGAATCCCTCGAGCCCAGGAGGTGGAGGTTGCAGTGAGCCGAGATCACACCACTGCACTCCAGCCTGGGCAACAGAGCCAAGACTCTGTATTAAAAAAAAAAAAAATCAGCTACAGTGTGGAAAATGGAGTGGAGAAAGAAAAGGTGGACATAGGGGAAATGAGAAGGTATTCACATAAGTCTAGGGCAGAGACAATGCTAGCTTGATCCCTTTTTTGCAGTGAGGATGGAGAGAAACAGTAGGATTTGAAAGTGATTTAATGAAAAAAGTAGAAAGGATCGGGAGGAGGAGGGAGGTTAGCTTGGCTTCCAGCCGCAGGCCTGACCCGTGGGTGAAGGTAGTGCCATCACCAAGGCAGAGGAGGAGGAAGAACCAGGTCCAGGGAGGATGGCACTGAGGCCAGGGATGGCACGCGGAGGATGGAGGACCCCGAAGCATCTCATTGCACACCTGAGGTGGACGGCGGACACGTGGACCTGATGCTCCTAGATCCGGCCACTTCCGTTCACTTGGGAGTTACCAGTGTACAGATGTGAAGCTGGCCCAGGGACAGAACAAGGAGTGGGAAAGAAGGGTGCCTGGGGGAGCACCAGCATTTCAAAGTTGATAGAAGGCTAAGAGCTGACCAAGAAGAGTGAGAAAGCTGTGGGGGAGGTGGGGGAAGCTGGGAAAAATGGAGCCAGGGCAGAGGCTGTTCCCTGCAGGTGAGGTGGAATCCAGGAGGACAGGGACAGACTTTAATGGCATGGGGGTCCCCGAGTACCTTGGCAATAGCCGTTTTGGTGGAAGTCAAGGGAGAAGGCCAGATGGGAGTGGGCAAAGGAGTGTGTGGGAGGAAAGGAAGTGGAGAGGGACATGGAGAGCTCTTTCATTCAGGGACTTGGTTCTAGTGGGGAAGAGTGGTGGGCTCAGCAAAACACTGGGGGAGGTGGAGCAGGGCTGTGAGAGGGATTTGGTAACAGGGTGTAAGGGGCATGGCCTGCTGAATAAGCACCATGGCTGAGAACACGAGGCATGACAGAACCCAAATTCTAACTTCAGAGAGCAGCTCACTCTCGGGGCTACTGATCCCCCCGACAGGGTGGCTGAGAAGCTCCACTGCAGGGGATGGACTCTGCCCACACGTACCACTCTCCCCTGGTCAAGGTGAGAGTTCTCGGAGAGACTAAAGTCACCTTTGAGGGACTACAGTGCCAGAAGAGAAACTATTTCCCCTCCTCCCTTGCAAGGCTGGCAAGAGGGTGCTTCACTCCAGAAAGGCGAGGGAGCGGCCTCAGAGAACTGCTTGCCAAGGAATGTGGGGGGTGTTGCAGCGTTCTGCAACGCAACTGCTCCTAGCCTGCCCCTATGCCATCAGCCCGGGGCAAAAGAGCTCTGGACAAGATGGCAGGGTGGGGGACTTCGAGAAGTAAAGAGGGCCCAGACTGTGTCTCCACTGTATGTTCTGGTGGCCACGTGCTCTGGAGTCAGGTGATCAGGTAGACACAGAGATGTCAGGACTCCAGGCTCTTTCAGCCATGCTGCAGCTCAGAGCAAAGAAGTTCATACAAGCAGAGGCAGCCTCCAGCTGAGGGTCCAGGAGAAGGCGAGGCTGCATGGGACAGGGCCTAGGACACCAAGGGGGCTTGTGACAGGTGAGTCCCTATCACCTGTGACAAACCACTGGAGTCACTATCTGTTCCCATCAGGCTAACAGACAACAAGCCAGGTCAGCATTTATTACCAGGGACTGCCAGCTCTCACTTACTTCCTCTGACCTCTCTCACTTACTTCCCCTAACCTGGTGCCCCAGCAGGGAGGGGAGGGGAGGGGAGGGGAGCGGAGGGAACTGTGGCCTCCGACTCAGAGCTGCTGCACTCACCATGGAGCCTGCATGTGACAGGAAGAGCAGAAAGCAGGCTTGGATGAATTGTTGGGACTGAAGATTTTAAACAAACAGTCTTAGAAACCAGAATGAGGCTGTCTTACTCACCCAGCAAGCCTGTTGGATATCAAAGGGAAACTCGACATGACCAACAGATCTCCCTACCCTCAGGAAAAGGGGGATTCAACACAATGGAACGGATGGCAGTTACCAGGGAAAAAAGTATTTCATGTATAAATGCTATGAAATGAAACTCCTCACTAAAATGGCCACATTGAAAGAAGTAGTTCCAATTTTAATTGAGAGACTGATCATGTTTCAGTTCTGTCAAGAGTAAGGGAGTAAGGCCAACTGGAAGAGAATGAGGCGGGAATTTGAGAACTCCAAGTGTTCTGTGCACATTGGGGAAAACAGAAGAAAGACGGGACAAAATGCAGAGGACACCAGGCAGGGTAGACGAGAGATGGGGGATTCATGGCCATGCCCTCTACCCTCCCATGGGAGTGTCCCAACAGCTCTTAACTCTCTGAGTACAGGCATGGGGAGAAGGTTAGTTGTGTTCATCCGGGGTGGTTCTTTCCTGGACAGGAGAGGGGAGTACAGAGAGGAGGGCGTGCCGGGTGTGGGTAGTGAGTACTGATGTGGTGGGACCCAGGATCTAAGCCTCATGGGTGGGGAGGGCAGAAAGCCCTCAAGAACAGGGTGGGTGCAGGTGAGGACTGTGGCTGAGGGAGTCATTGAACACAGAATCCTGGGAAAGTACAAGCCTGTGTCACTGGAGCTGGGGTCAGCCCCGGTGGTTGCTGTCACAGTGGTTGTGGTTGACATGTTCACATTGTGATGAGGGTGGGAATATCTGAGGTGGAACGGATGAGGGGTCCATGAACCTGGCCAGTGGGTACCAAGTCGATATCAAAGTCACCCTAAAAATGGAGTGACAAGCAGGGCCATGAACCAAGTGCCAAAATGTTCGATGAATGCATGGGAGTGACAGGAAAGGAAATGAGAATGCTGGTAGAGCCCCCAAAGAGCAGAGGTTCCCAACAGAAGGGCAGAGAATGAGGGTTGGCAGGTGGCAATGGGTACAAGAAGGATGCCAGCCTTGACGTGGGAATGAATGATGTCCTTAGGAGACAGCAGATTTGGGTTTAGACCAAGAGGCTGGGAGGATGCTCTAAAGGAGTTTGGGGACATAGAAGACCTGATCCAACACAGAGGCAGCACCAGAGTGAACGATGGAAGGATTTGGCTGGAATGGAGAAGAGGGGTTTTCGGTCAGGGTCATAACAAGGAAGGAGAACATCCATCCTAGAAGTGGTGGGGCAGAAGGGAAGCCTTTAAGAACGGCATAAGTGGGCCGAGCATGGTGGCTCACACTTGTAATCTCGGCACTCTGGGAAGCTAAGATCAAAGGATTGTTTAAGCCCAGGAGGTCGAGACCAGCCCAGGCAAGGTAGGGAGACCTCTTCTCTATGAGACAAAAAAAAAAAAAAAAAAAAGTTAGCAGGGCATGGTGGCTCATACCTGTGGTTCCAGCTACTCAGGAGGCTAAGGAGGGAGGGTTGCTTGAGCCCAGGGCTTTAATGCTGCAGTGAGAAAATGGTTGTGCCACTGCATTCCAGCCTGGGCAACAAAACGGGACCCTGTCTCAAGAAAAAAGAGAAAAAAAAACAACAACAACCCAACAACAATGAAACAAAAGGCACTCATGGAGCTTCCTTATTCCATCTGCAGGCAGGGAACAGCAGTACCTGAAACTGACCAGGGGACTAACTAGAATCTAGGCAGGGGTGGCCAGGCTTACCCGCCACATAGAGCAGCTGGTACTTGACGGAGATCTGAGATCTGCCCCCGGCCTCCGCCCTGCAGTAAACCACACCCTGGTGCTCGGAATGAGGTTGCAGATACACAAAGCCCCGCTTCATGTCATAAACAATGTCCGTTCCATTGGCTGGGATCTCCTTGGCTGGGAATTCCCTGTGGAGCGTGACTTTGGCCGACAGCACGGTCACCCGACAAGGAACCACAGCCTGTCTGTCCGGGTTCAAGTAGACAACATCGAAGTAGCTGGGAGAAGGTACAAAGAGTTCTCCTTTCTCTGCAAAGGGAAGGAAGACACAGGCTTATTCACTCCGGAGACGCAAAGTAAAAGCACCCTTAAGGATTTTGGCAGCATACTCTGAATACTGAGTCCTTAGGAGTAGGAAAGGCCGGGTTTTCTTTTTTTACTTTAATGCTTTTCATTTTTTGGAAGAATGATTTAACTTCCTGTCTCCTTAAAGAAAACAGAAGGCTGGGCGCGGTAGCTCACACCTGTAATCCCAGCACTTTGGGAGGCTGAGGCGGGCAGATCACGAGGTCAGGAGATCGAGACCATCCTGGCTAACACGGTGAAACCCCATCTGTACTAAAAAAAACAAAAAATGAGCCGGGCATGGTGGCGGGCGCCTGTAGTCCCAGCTACTCGGGAGGCTGAGGCAGGAAAATGGCGTGAACCCGGGAGGCGGAGCTTGCAGTGAGCCGAGATAGCGCCACTGCACTCCAGCCTGGGCGACAGAGCCAGACTCCGTCTCAAAAAAAAAAAAAAAAAAAAAAGAAAGAAAGAAAACAGAAAAGGTATCAGTACAAGCCCAGATGACGCCCATGGATCACCACCATGAGGAAGCAAGGAACAAGATTTAAATTAAGATTTAACATATTAACCTTTAACAAGTTAAAGTTTAACATGCCCAGCCTTACTTCTTATACTATAATATATAGTTTGAAGTAAGTGACCACACTAGTTGCTTTAAAAATATATTTGCAATCTGGCCAGGCGTGGTGGCTCATGCCTGTAATCCTAGCACTTTGGGAGGCCGAGGCGGGTGGATCTCCTGAGCTCAGGAGTTCAAGACCAGCCTGGGCAACATGGTGAAACCCCGTCTCAACTAAAAATAAAAAAAAAAAAATTAGCTGAGTGTGGTGGTGCGCGCCTGTAGTCCCAGCTACATGGGAGGCTGAAGCATGAGAATTGCTTGAACCCAGGAGGCAGCAGAGGTTGCTGTGAGCTGAGATCATGCCACTGCACTCCAGCCTGGGCAACAGAGCAAGATTGCGTCTCAAAAAAAAAAAAAATTGCAATCGGTAGCTTCCATCAACAAAAAAATGTGTTAAAGCTCATTTGAATAATTATAGATTACATATGTCCCCTGAAAATGTATTTACATCCACTCATGTAGATGACACACGTATTACTTAAAGTAGACAAGCACATTGGATTTTAGATTTCCACAAAAAATCAAGCTAATAAGCTGTAAACTACATCCAAATTACAGCAAACTCAATATTTAGGAAAGCACTTACTAATGTGATTTTATGATTGTAAGTTTTAAACCCTTAGCAGTTGTAAAACCTTGAAACCATCTGCTGCTTGTGGGTGGAGAAATCAGCCCCACAGCCACAGTCAGTAACTGCCAGCCAGGAAGCATTTCCCAGTACATCAGAGCTCCCCTGGGAGCCCCAGCACGGTGACAGTGTCCTCAGCCTGTCCTCACACAGCCCAGAGGATCTGGCGCCTGCCAAGGTTAGCGGAGGGGAATGGCGTCGGCTTGAAGGAGGAACCCATCAGTCTCAGGTCTGCTCTCGGCTTGGCCAGCACCTGGCTGGGAATCCTCAGCCAGTCTCTTATCTCCCCCCATTTCCTCTGAAATTACTCTGCCTGGTTCTTTAAGCTCAGATGATGGCATTTTTATCTTACTGAAATGGGAGAAACGAGGACTGGCCTACCAATTCTGTCCTTAGGACAGGCAAGAAACTCTGGACTGGGCTTTTGGGGGTATTTTTGTTGGTGCTGGTGGCTTTTCTTTTTTGGCATGGTACATTGAATCCTTTGTTTTTCTGGATCATTCTGTGAGGGAATATTACAGTATTTGCAAAGAGAAATCTTCAGAGCTAGTGATACCCCAATACGTATTACATGCTTTCTTGTGTTTTCCCCACAGTGTTCCTGAAATAAATAATTTTTCTTGGCTTTCTTCCCCACTTGCCTTCTTTGTGTCACAGTTAGATGGTGTTTTAGGTTGGGGGCAGAATTCCTGGACACATCATCAAATGGTTCATGAGCCAAGAGTTCTTGGGCTGTAAGTACCAAGTTCACTAACACGGAGATCCTTCCTCCTGACTCTAAGACGAGGGAAGAGTATATCATGGCTCAGAGAGTCTCCGTCTTTTACATGGGTTTCCATCAGGCTGGGAGGTCTGTGCAACTTCATAAGAAATTGGCTTTCAGGCTTAGGTAAGGGGTACCTTTGTCAACGTCATGCCTAATGTTCATGAGTTCACACAGAGTCCATCTACATGGCCTCAAAGGCATTATTTTATTTCCTCATGCTTCAATGTCCACATTTGTCAAGAGAAGAATCTGGAGTGGATAATATTGAAGATGTTTTCTTAGCAACAACACTTTAGGATTTTATGATTGCAAGATTTAGAGGCAACTTTTGTTTTAAAAGTGTGTAGAATAATCTGAAGCGATAAGCAGAGCCATTAGTCGAATAAGTGAACCGTGTGAATTTAAGAACACAAAAATATCTTCTTGTATTTTTATTTTTTGAGACAGGGTCTCACGCTGTTGCCCAGGCTGGAGTGCAGTGGCACCATCATGACTTACTGCAGTTTCAACCTCCAGGGCTCAAATGATCCTCCCACCTCAGCCTCCTGAGTAGCTGGGACTACAGGCACGTGCCACCATGCCTGTCTAATTTTTTATTTTTTAGTTTTTCTAGAGTCAGGGTCTCACTATGTTGCCCAGGCTGGTCTCAAACTCCTGGACTCAAGCAGTCCTCCTGCCTTGGCCTCCCAAAGTGCTGAGATTACAGGCATGAGCCAATGTTCCCAGCCTTACTTCTTATACTATAATATATACTTTACTTCTTATACTATAATACATACTTTGAAATGTGACCAAACCAGTTGCTTTAAAAATATATTTGCAATCCGTAGCTTCCATCAACAATAACAAAGTGTTGAAGTTTGTTTTAATAATTATAGATTACACATGTCCCCTGCAAATGTATTTATATCCACTTATCTAGAAGACAAATGTTTTACTTAAAGAAAACTAAACACATGGGATTTTAGATTAAAAAAAAAAACTCGACCAGGTGCAGTGGCTCACGCCTGTAATCCCGGCACTTTGGGAGGCCAAGGCAGGCGGATCATGAGGTCAGGAGACCGAGACCCTCCTGGACAACATGGTGAAACCCCATCTCTGCTAAAAATACAAAGATTCGTTGGGCACTGTGGCGCATGCCTGTAATCCCAGCTACTCGGGAGGCTGAGGCAGGAGAATCGCTCGAACCGGGGAGTCGGAGGTTGCAGTGAGCTGAGATGGTGCCACTGCACTCCAATCTGGCAACAGAGGGAGACTCCATCTCAAAAAAGACAAAAAAACAAAAAAATGCGGGGGGGGGAGGGATAGCTTTAGGAGATATACCTAATGCTAAATGACGAGTTAATGGGTGCAGCACACCAGCATGGCACATGTATACATATGTAACTAACCTGCACATTGTGCACATGTACCCTAAAACTTAAAGTATAATAATAATAAATAAAAATAAAAATAAAAAAATAAATAAATGCAAGTTAACAAGCTATAAACTAAATCCAAATTACAACAAATTCAGTATTTTGAGACAGTCTCACTCCGTCACCCAGGCTGGAATGCAGTGGTGCCATCTCGGCTCACTGCAACTTTGACTCGCTGCCTCCTGGGTGTAAGCAATTCTTGTGCCTCAGCCTCCCGAGTAGCTGGAATTACAGGCGTGTGCCACCATGCCCACCTAATTTTTGCATTTTAGTACAGAGGGAGTTTCGCCATGTTGGTTAGGCTGGTCTTGAACTCCTGACCTCAAGTGATCCGCCTGCCTCGGCTTCCCAAAGTGCTAGGGGATTATAGGCATGAGCCACTGCACCCAGCCAGGAAAGTACTTATTAATGTGGTTTTCCTACGTATAAAAATTAGAGCCTCAGCCTTTTACTATGAGAAAGCTCTGCTGCTGGTAATGTTCTCATCCTTGATCTGGGTGGGAGTTACATGTGCCTGTTTGCTTAAGGATAATTTATTGAGCTGTATTCTGAGAATTTGAATGTTTTTCTTTACATATGTTATACTACAATAAGAAGTGAAAGAGAAGCAGGGAAAACCTTCCAAGATCCTCCTGGATCAAGATGAAAGAGGAAATACATACGGCAATTATTTAATCACAAACTGCACACTAACAACAGTCAGTCCCCCAAAAGAAGCTTCAGTGTTTTTAATCAAACTCTAGGAAACATACAAACATAATGAATGACAAACATTTCTCCACATGGGTAGCCAGGAAACACATGTTCTGAAAGAATCCTGAGCCAGCAGTGAGAACCTCAGCTTCTGTAACAGCCCATCTTGGTTTCTCAAAGCCATCCATGCTTGAAAAGACAAATTGCCAAACCCTATAGTAAAAATCCAACTGGACTCCTAGCTTAGTGTTGACAAATAAGAAAAAATAAATGATGTATAACACATTAGGTCAAATGTGTTACAGCATTTATTTTTTTTGATCAAAGTTTCTTGATAGTTGGAATGAATATATTTTAGCTTTTCTTTGGTTCCCAAAATTAGTTCAGTTAAAAAAAAAACAAAAAGGTTCCGCCTCCAAAACTCAAAGAGAGCCCGTATTTTTTTTTTTTGAGGTAAAGTCTTGCTCTGTCGCCCAGGTTGGAGTGCAGTGGCGCAATCTTGACTCACTGCAACCACCAACTCCGAGATTCAGGCGATCCTCCTGCTTCAGCCTCCTGAGCAGCTGGGAGCACAACTGTGCACCACCACGCCCAGCTAACTTTTGTATTTTTGTAGAGATGGGATTTCTCCATGTTGGCCAGGCTGTTCTCGAACTCCTGACCTCAGGTGATCCGCCCGCCGTGGCCTCCCAAAGTGCTGGATTACAGGTATGAGCTACCATGCCTGGCCAAGAGCCCATAATATTAATAGGATATTCTGCCCAAGCTAAGCCTGCAGTTCAAAACCTCGACCAATACTTTGGGAAGACACAACAGTGCTAATCTTGGCAAAGAATCTTCCTTCTGCAACTTGAAATGTGGAATCAGTCATTGACTTGAATAACAGACTTTTATTCATCTTAGTTGGTTGCTTTTTCCACTGTTGCTTCACAGCATGGTATAATACAAAGGGCACATTTACAATCTTGTGTAGCGAGTTCCAAAATGAAGATCCAAAGAGATTGCCTATGAACAATTATTAGCAATTCTCCTGACAACACCAGTTATGCTAGCTAGAATCTGGCTATCAGTCCATCCTTCACCTTGTCCTACAAAAGGTTCAAGGCAGTAAAAACACTGGATCCTGGGTCAGAAAAACAGGTTTGGCTCCTTATTGTGCCACTACAGGTCCTGGAACATTGAGGCTCAGCATGAGCATTAGTACTTCTAGTATTTTGGAGATAATAAAATAGCTTTTGCTTATTTCCCAGGGATGTTGTGGAATGAAACTGATAGAGGCAGGAGGCAGAGAACTCTCCTAAGCAGATACGGGAATGTCCTTAGAGAACCTCTGACCTACCAAGGTCATTGTGCACAGGGGTCTTGCCTAAACATACCCCCAGTGAAAAATTCCATCCCTTAACACACATGCAGTAAGGGAAATAAATCAACGTGGAGTGACTCAGATTAAGGGCCTGCAGGTACACTGAAAGGATGGGGTGGAGCCGCCAGGAATTCACGCCTCTTACAAACAGGGAACCCAGCCCTACCGAGGGAACATAGAAGCCCTTGTATTCAATTGTGTGGAGAGCAACCTGCAACCTGCTTTCAGGACCCCTCTTTTTGCTGAGAGCTTTCCTTTTCGCATAATAAATTCTACTCCACGCACTCTTTTAAGTGTCTGTGTGCCTAAGTTTTCCTGGCATGAGACAAGAACTTGGATCTCTGAACTAAGGAGTAAAAAGTCTGCATCAAAATGAGATACATGTGCTTCCAGAACTGCAGCATACCCTACTAATGCATCTCCTTGCCAGAGAGGAGCTATTTGGGCAGGAAAGGACAAATACATAAGATTGTACTAAAACATTCTTTAATGGTCAGGGCATAACATCCTTTGGGTCATAGGCCTATGTCTAGGTCTAGGCCTATGTCTAGGTCTACGTCTGAAAGGTAGGTGGATTCAAGGCATGGAGAAATTTCATGAAAGTCCCTGCCCAGGCACTAACAAAGGATTCTGGTTTCACCTGAAATGTCTTGGACGACAATAGGACGAGGGTGGCTTTGTAAGATTCCTGAAAGCTCTTACTGACTTCTGAACCTTGCTGGAGAACTTCATCCCCTAAACTTCAGAACTTAGAGAACATTACAGAAGAAAGAGGCTGAGCAGTTATTCTGCACACGTGTTTCTCAAAATGCAAGCTCCATCTTCCAGAAACATACTTTGCACTGCAGAGAAGAGTTCTCCACTCTGACCTGAACATTTTGAGGCAGTCCACTGAGGCTTAGGGACAGGGACTGGAGACACAACAGCCACAATCTTTGGGAATCTTGCCCCCGAAATCTCAGCTCATAGTATTCACAAGAACAAACAGGGCTGAGCAGAATGGCTCATGCCTGTAACTACAGCAATTTGGGAGACCGAAGCAGGAGGATAGCTTGAGTTCAGGAGTTCGAGACCAGCCTGGGCAACACAGTGAGACCTCACTTCTACCGAAAAATCAAAAAACAAAATAATAAAAAGGACAAATGGGAGGTCTTTAGTGAAGCATCCTATGGAGTTTCCAAAAAGAAGATGGTCATAGGTTCTGAGAAGACAGTGATGAAAGTCAACAGCAGCACTGTCCAATAGAACTTTCTGTGATAAAGGGAATGTTCTCTCTCTGTGCTGTCTAGTACAATAGCCATTAGCCACATGCTACAGTTGAGCACTTGAAATGTGGCAAGTGCACTGAGAACTTGTTCTTAATTTTATTTCATTTTAATTTTCATTTAAGTAGCCACACATGTTTAGTGGTCACCGTATTGGGGAGTGCAGGGACAGACCCTGGAACCAAATGGTTTGTGTTGAAATCCTGTTACCACCACTTACTTTCTGTGTGACCTTAAGGACTTATTTAATCACTCTAAACCTCAACTTTCCCATCTGAAAAAAAAAAAAACAGGAATAATATTAGTATTTGCCCTGAAGGGTTACGGTAAGACTTACATGAAATAACTGATGTAAAGCATTTAGCCCAGAGCCTGGCAAACAGGAAGTGCTCTGATTGTCATTATTTGCTATTCAGCATGCAGTGGGGGAACCTTCAGCTCTCAGCCCGGTCCAGAAGTTTGAAGAGTTCCATTAATGCACCAAGTATTTTACCTGTAAAAAAGATGTAGGTGGAGCCCGTTTTGGCCTCGTCCTTCCTGCAGATGTAGCCGCTGCAGAGCTGCACCCAGCAGCTGAATTCACCTGTGTCTGCCGAGGTGGAGTTGACCAGAGTCAACTGGCCGTAGCGCTCATTCTGCTTGACGCTAGGAATAAAAGACACATGAACTCAAAGCAAGTCAGACCTGGCTGGGGCCCTCCAGCTGTCACACTCGGCTCCACTGTTCTCTGGGCAGACTTGCCCCAATCTTTCTCCGATGTCATAGAGTAATATAAGAATGTGTTTGACTTGTCAAACACCCCTAGAACTTAAAGTATAATAAAAAAAAAAAAATGATAAAAACTGAAAAAAAAGAAATCAGGAAAAAAATGACATTTTTACCTTTTAAAGTTCATTCTAAAACAATTTGAGCAACATGATGGATTATTCGGCTTTTCAGCGTAATACAATGAGGTAAATATTTTTTGCAACAATTCAAAAAATTTTATTCATAACCGTATTTCTGGATTTTACTACTGTTTTCATATTTTATGCAGTGATCAAATACATAGAAATGTTAATCGTGAAAATGCAATATTATACATTTGTCAAAACTCAAGGAATGAGCAATACAAGATGTGAACCCTAACTTAAACTACGGACTTTAGCTAATAATGATGTATAAATATTGGTACATCGGTTGTCAAAAATGTACCACATTAACGTAAGAAATTAATAATGGGAAAACTGTGTGCAGGAGGGGAGGAGGTAAATGGCCACCCTGTATCTTTTTCTCCATTTCTCTGCAACCTAAAACCACCCTAAAAAGCAAAATCTATCACTAAAAACTGAAATATTCTGTTTTAAGAAAATATGAATATTATTTTCACCATACATTGCTACATATTTTAATAAACCAATGTGTCACCACTAAAATAAATTTCAAAAAAAAGAATGTGTTTGGCAGTGGTTCATGCCTATAATCCCAGTGTTTTGAGAGGCCAAGATGGGAAGATAACTTGAGGCCAGGAGTTTGAGACCAACCTGAGCAACATAGCAAGACCCCATTTTTACAAAAATTAAACAATGAGCCTGGCATGATGGCTGACTCCTGTAGTCCTAGCTACTTGGTAGGCTAAGGCAGGAAGATGGCTTGAGCACAAGAATTTGAGATTCCAGTGAGTCATGATCACGCCACTGCACTCCAGCCTGGGTGACAGAGCAAGACCCTGTCTCTAAAAAATAAAGAGTACGTTTCTGATAAATGGGTGTGTGGGGGAAGCAGAGAGAAAAGCCTCTCCTCAAAGGAAATAATAAATGTCAAAGAGAATTCCTCTTCTTGGAGAATGTAATTGTCCTCAGACCTGCGGTTTCCTTAAGTAAAACCATTGGTGCAATAGCTATGCAGCCTCAGAAGTTCAGCCAGAAAGCCTTGGCCTGGTGTTTTGCTTTCAGCCTGTGTCTCATGAATCGTTTGTAAGCAGTCAACATAAATGAAAGCACACAGCATTATGCAATATCCAAAATCCCTTTCATCAATAAAGATAAGTCTCTGCATTAACTCTTAGAATCTTACACATGCTACATTATCATGTTAAAACCAAAAACTTTCTTTTAGGAAGAAAACGCATTGGCTGATAAGGTCCTGAGCCCAAAGTATGCATACAGCCCACTTCTAATAAAGTATTTAAAGGGTTTGGGCATTTCGACTTTTCCTCTGACCTTACTCTATTATTTCTTCTTTTATTTTTCTTCCTTATCTTTTGTATTTTGTAACTTGTTGCATGGCAAATATATTTGCAAACCCCTTCAGTTTCTTTCTGAAATGAAGAGGGGCATACATATTTATTATTAAACACTAGCATTAGCCAATTTCAATGGTAATTAATTCTATTATATTGTGGCACAAATCCAGATGTATCAGATTTATCATCCTCACACTGGAGGTTCCCCTGAGGCTGAGAGCCTCAGCACATGGGGGCGCCAAAATAAGCAGTTTTAATCTGGGGACTCATCTCGAACATCCAAATGCTTCGCTCTTCTGAGATCCACATACTTTTATGATGTAGCTGAGATTCTGCAGTTTATCTTGCAGCAGAATCAATACCGTGACCAGTTTACATTTAGCATAGGGAAAATGTCAGGTGAGTTGGTCCTGAACGCAGCCCTGTTCTGGTTCACTGCGGAATAGCTTGTTTTGTCCACCAGTTCTGCCAAGTGGTGCTTCTGTACTCCCACGCCATCAACTGCCTCCCTTACCCTGAACGGAAATCTCTCCTCCTTCAGGAAGCTTCTAATTAGGATCGACTCTCAGGAATCTCCCCACTTTTGCCTGACATAATTGACTTCCTTGTTCTCTACCCCTCGGATACCCCTGGCTTCCTGTCATTACACTAGATGGTACAAGCTTTGAGGCAGGAACTGAACTGTATTTGTTTTATATTCTCTAAGCAACAAATCTGTGCAGAGTATGCAGTAAGGACTCCCTAAACATGAGCGAATTGAGTTAAACCAGTGATGGAAAAGGAAAGAATCTGGAGAGGCAGGCATCCAGCTCCCTATTTTGCAGAGGGGGAAAACTGAGTCTCAGACAGCAGAAATGACTTCCCTGAAACCCACAGCTTGTGAATCGCTTGTGAGCAAGTCTTCCTTAAGTCAATTAAGTATGTTCTGAATACCACTCATTAGATAAGAAAATACATACAAAGCCCCTTGTGCAATGCCTGATTCATTGTGTTATCCCAATTATATCTTAATTACAGATGAATAGTAGTAATCATGAAGATTACTATAGCCATGACAAATAGTACACATGCAGCACTGGGGATAGTTAGCACAGCAAATAAAAAATGGTCGACCCAGGCCAGGTGCGGTGGTTCATGCCTATAATCCCAACACTTTGGGAGGCTGAGGCAGGAGGATCGCTTGAGCTCAGGAGTTCATGACCAGATTGGGCAACATAGCAAAACCCCATATCTACAAAAAATTAAACATTAGCCAGGCATGGTAGTGTGCATGTAGTCCTAGCTATTCAGGAGGCTGATGTGGGAGGATCTCTTGAGTCCAGGAGGTCGAGGCTGCAATGAGCTATGATTCCCACCACTGTACTCCAGCCTAGGCGACAGAGCAAAACCCTGACTTAAAAAATAAAAAATAAAAATGGAAAGATCAATGCTAGTTTTAAGGATGAAGCTAGATTTCAGCAAATTAAAAAAAAAAGAAAAGAAAAGGGAAGGGAAAATGGAGGCGACAGTCTCCCCATGTGGACAATAATTTCTGGCCACATTCCCGTAGAGCTCAGAACCAGGGTACCAAATCAGCAGGCAATCAGTAAATTCACTGCGCATCTTCTCTGGGCCGAGCATTTGCTAGCACTGTAGTGATAGAAAGTATAAGATGCCATTCCTACTGGGAAAGTAATTAGGCACGTAAGAAATTAACACTTGGGAATAACCCTACCACCAGTGTGCAATCTGCATGCTGTATCTTTAGTAGGTTTGGGGGCGGAAGGAAGGAAACGCACTGGAAAACAGTTCTGCATTTTTCCACCCCCTCTTCTACGCAAACAATATAAAACAGGAAACAAATTATTTAGTGGGATTACAGTTTCAGGGCCTGGATTTAGAATGTCCATTTCTACCAATGGTATCTCATCGTCTAGGCAGCAGACTACGCAAGGGGTTGGAAGTGACCGAGGGCCTCTGCAGGCTGAGTCCGTGTCACGCAAGGGAGACAAGGATTCCCTGAGCCCTTCAGAGCCAGTGTCTGTACAGAGATGCTTCATCAAAGACCCTTCCTTTCTGTGTAACCGCTGAACACCATCCCCAGGGATGGAGAAAGTGGCGAATGGGGAGTTTAAGTGGAGCAAAAAGAAGGTGTCATGACCAAATGCCAGGAAAAAGCGTCCTAAGAGAAGCAGAATTCACATTAACAGGAAGCAGCTCTGAACACGCCAACACATCAGCTTGCCTCTGGCCTTTTCTTTCTAAACTAGGAGTTCTAGCCCTGACCCACAGAGATCTCAGTGATGGCCAAGTCCATGTTTCAAAGTGAAAGTGTTCAAATTTTAAGACCCCGTGTATGTGTATGTGTGTGCATGGCTTCCAACACGCTCCCCTGGCCTTAACACACACAGAGTCTTGCTCCCATCAGTGGAGGACTGAAGCTTCCTGTATTTAGCCCAGGCTGCTCTCTCCTGGGGGTGGCCTAAGTCATGAGATGGCACAGAGGAGGGAGCTGACAGTCCTCAGATATAGGGACCGGTGCATCTTACTTGGGGCAGTGGCCAGTTAATAGTAGTGGGGTCCATTTCCTGTCTGCCCCGGTGAAGACTCTGCAAGCCAAGGGCAAGGGTGAGCCTTGGGTTACAAGATAATGATTCATTGGTATTATACCCACACATACTTAGTAAGTACAAAATAAATGGGAGGTGCTGGAGAGGACAGGAGGGATGCAATGATGTCTAGAGAAGTCCCTGCTCCCGAGTTCTCCTACACAACATGCCATGAGAACTCCGAGGAGAGTAACCAGCAAGAGCCTCTAGGCCAAGAGGGTCTTGGTACAAAGGAAGGATGTCAACATGCGCAAATCGAGGGCATGCAGTCCCAGGGAAGGAGGTCTCCAGAGAGAAGAAAAAAGGCAAGTTTGTGCAGAACAAAGCGATGTTATTCTGGACGACAAGTTGGCTGAAGACTGTGGTGAAAGGCATAAAATCATGAACTTGGGCCAGGCGCAAGTGGTTCATGCCTGTAATCCCAGCATTTTGGGAGGCCGAGGTGGGTGGATCACGACGTCAAGAGATCGAGACCATCCTGGCCAACATGGTGAAACCGCATCTCTATTGAAAATACAAAAATTAGCTGGGCGCGGTGGTGCATGCCTGTAGTCCCAGCTACTGGGGAGGCTGACGCAGGACAATCGCTTGAACCCGGGAGGCGGAGGTTGCAGTGAGCTGAGATTGCGGCACTGCACTCCGGCCTGGTGACAGAGCAAGGCTCCCTCTCAGAAATAAATAAATAAATAAATAAATAAATAAATAAATAAATAATAACAATAATAAAATAAAATCATGGACTTTGGAACCCTACTGACCAGATTCAAATCCCAGCTCCACCATGACCTTCAGAGTCCTTAGCTACAGCTCGTCTTCCACAGTCTGGCTTCACCTACTCTTCAGACTTGTAGTAACAATAATGATAGCTAATGCTTGTTGAGTGCAGGCACGCTGCCAAGCTCCGTAAACAAGTTCAGGACTTAGAACAGCATCTGCCACAGAGAAGTGCTCAATACATCTTGTTTATTCGTTTAGAGATAGGGTCTCGCTCTCTTGCCCAGGCTTTGAGTACAGTGGTGCAATCATAGCTCACTACAGCCTCAAACTCCTAGGCTTAAGGGATCCTCCCACCTTGGCCTCCTGAGTAGCTGGCATGTGCCACCACATCCGGCTAATTTTTTTACATTTTTTTGTAGAGACAGGGTCTTGCTGCGTCGCCCAGGCTAGTCTTGAATTCCTGGCCTCAAGCAATCTCCCACCACAGCCTCCCCAAGTGCTGGGATTACAGGCATGAGCCACCACACCCAGACTCGAAACACTTTAGAAATTGTCATTATTATGGTCCCCCTGGTTCTCACAGCTACATTAAGTTGGAGGTACTATTTTTCCCCTTTTACTGCTTGAGGGCACCGAAACATAGAGAAGCAACTTGTCCAAGTTACTCAGCTATTGAGTGGCAGAGCATCTAATCTAGTGTCACACAGACTCAGGTTACAAACACTTATAAATTAAGAGGGCATGGATTTTCATCCTACAGAAATGAAATGAAATGAAGCAATTTTGACTGAGTGATGGCACCTCTAACAGCTTGTAAAATCTGCTAAGTATAGCTATGCACACACACACACTCCCAAATCACAAACAAAAATATGAGAGATCCAGTTAAATGAGCTCAGAATTTTAAATTCCATAGTAGAAACGGTACACTGTTTTCTATTAAGTCAACACTAAACCATCCGGTAATTAATTAAAGGAAACAAGAATGGGACACCCATCAGTTATTAAGCATCGACTTCATAACTGGCAATACGGAAGAGACACTTTACTTTTTCTCAATCCCGTGAGATGGCAATGATGAGACTTATAACAATAACTGAAACTTAAGCAGTGTTTAATATGTGCTAAGCAATGCTGTAAGCCCTTTACCCATTTTGACTCATTTGATCCTCATGAAGCCCTGAGAGATAAGTGCTATTATTAACCCCACGTGGCAGGTGAACAAACAGGCTGGAGAGGTTAGGTAACTTTCCCAAGGCTACACAGGAAGTGTTGGAGCTGCCAGAGAAGAATTTGAAGCTCAGTTCAAACAACTTTCCCAGGGTGCCTCAGGTAGATAAACAAAGATTTTCTGCTTTGAACGCTCTGTGCTGCCTCTGTTGGAAAAAGAGAGACCCCCATCTCTACAAAAATGTTAAAAATTAGCTGGATGTCACGATGCCAGCCTATAGTCCCAGCTACTTGGGAGGCTGAGGTGGGATGATCACTTGAGCCTGGGAGCTGGAGGCTGCAGTGACCTAGGATTGTGCCACTACACTCCAGCCTGGGCAACAGAGGGAGACCTTGTCTCTAAACAAGTTTACAAAATTAAAACATAAATATCCTCCTTATTCTACATTCATGTGAAAAACTGTTAGGCCTCTACCACATGCAAGGAACTGTGCCAAGAATCAAGAGCGATAAAGACTCGTGGGTATTTGCTTGTCTGTGTTTCAAGTGTTTACACAGGGCCTGTATTTCCTGTAAGTCTCCGTCTCAGAACGTGTCAGAGAAGAATGGCTGAATGATATGCAGGAAACGTGCCATATGAACAGAGTACAGATCCTGGGAAACAGACAGCTGGGTAAAACATACTGAAACTGTCACTGTTTATGTTTCTTTAAAAAAGAAAGAAAAAATATGCATGATGATCTCAGGGAAACAAATATGCAAACTAAAGGACTTCAAAGTGAATATAGTTCTTGTATCAGAAATTAGGCTGGAATAGCTCTATTCCTCTATCATCTATCAATCTATCTATTACGAATCAATCTATCATTTATCAGCCTATCATCTACTGATCTATCATCTATCAATCTATCATCTGTCAATCTGTCTGTTGCCCATCTACTATCTATCTATCATCTATCTCCACATTTGCATACTATCCAAGGAACTATTCAAAATCCTTGCAATGTGATACAATATTTCCACCTCAACAACCAGTTACGTTGTGAAATGTGGCTCAGGTCTCTCTACTGCAATCACTTATGCCAGATTCCTCTGTATTATTATCTTATTATTATTTTTAAGGTAGCTTTTCTTTTTTGAGATGGGGTCTCACTCTGTTACCCAGGCTGGAGGGCAGTGGTGTGACCTCCGTGGGGTTCACACCATCCTCCCACCTCAGCCTTCTGAGTAGCTTGGACTACAAGTGCACACTACCATGCCTGGCTAATTTTAGCATTTTTCTGTAGAGACAGGGGCTTCCTACGTTGCCCAGGCTGGCATCGAACTCCTGAGCTTGAGCAATCCACCTGCCTCGGCCTCCCAAAGTGCTGGGATTACAGGCATGAGCCACTGCGCCTGGGCTTCTCTGGATTATTGAAAAAGAAGTCACCCTAAGCACTTCCCCACTACTTCACGGGAGACTGCACACGCTACATCCCTCCAGCCCTGCCGGCATCACTCTCACCCCTGCAGGTCCTATTCTTGGCACTGCCTGGACTCTGCCCGCCATACTGCGAAGTCCCCCTTCCCTTTTCATTTCCCCTCTGTCACCTGCTGGGGTCATCATTCTTTTTGACCCTCTGTCCAGCATATCCAGGTCCTTTACAAAGGAAAAGCTCCTCTTCCTCCTTCAGATATTCTCTAGACTCTGAGAAAATGAGAAGCGTATATCCCCTTGACACCACAAACCAAAACCATACCTGACACACCAGCGATCCTCCCAACAGAAAATCCCCTCCAACCACCTGGAACAAAGGCCTTAAAATACGCCCAACAATTCCACCCAGAGGAAGAGATCCTTGCTACCTAGATGTTAGCTACCGCAATGACAGTGATCGTAAAAAATGGGGCATGATCTAAGAGATGGAGAGACCCAAGAGATTTAGCTAAACCTACTACAGTATTACAGCCATAACTCACAAAAAATATTCATGGTAGATTAGGTGCAAAGTTAATCATGAAAGAGTTTGAATATTTTGATAATTTTACACATAAAAATATTCACAATAGATTACGGGAAAAGTTAATCATAAAAGAGATAGAATATTTTGATAACTTTACACATAAAAAATATTCACAACAGATTAGGGGGAAAGTTAGTCATTAAAGAGTTTGCAGATTTTGATACCTTTTTTATACTAAATACAAAACTAGAAGATTCAACATTACTGTGTTAACCACGTTTCTTGGGGTTTTCAGTGATCTTTCTCCTTTTTGCTTATTTATAGTTTTTAAGTTTCTAGATCAAATAAGTATGTGTTATTTTATAATAAGAAAAGAAAAACTGGGCCAGGTGTGGTGGCTCACATCTGTAATCCCAGCACTTTGGGAGGCCGAGGTAGGTGGATCACCTGAGGTCAGGAGTTTGAGACCAGCCTGGCCAATATGGTGAAACCACATATCTACTAAAAATGCAAAAATTACCCGGGTATGGTGGCAGGTGCTTGTAATCTCAGCTACTCAGAAGGCTGAGGCAGGAGAATAGCTTGAACCCGGGAGGCAGAGGTGCAGTGAGCTGAGATCATGCCACTGCACTATGGCCTGGGCAACAGAGTGAGACACTGTCTCAAAAAAAGAAAAGAGAGGAGAAGAGAGGAGAAGGAAGAAGGAAGAGGGAAGAGAGAAAAGAAAAGAAAAGCTATAATAAAAGCAAAACAAGTAAAACTGCTTATAAAGTGTGAAACAGATACTGCATAAATGCGTAAGCACAAGGGCTCATGTGTATTTAAATACCTGGAGGTTAGTTTTACAAAGTGTTGCCTTTTTAAAATGTGAATTTCCAACAGGCAGGGCCACCAAGAATTCCTTTAGAGGCCTAAAACTACTGTGTATTATTTTGTTCTGATTAATGGAAACACTGCCAACTGGAGTATAACACATCATTTGGAGTGCAGCATGGCTGTTTCTTAGCCATTCTGCTCCCCTGCCTGTGTGGACCTGCCGAGGCTGTGCCACCTCCCCTGGAGTTTAACCCAGGCTCCCAGATCTTAGCAAGCCTTCCTTCTTACTTGGTTCCCACTCTCGGCATTTCTAGTTCTTTCCACCGAGCTGCAACTCCACCTGTCACCCAGGCTGCTATCACCATTGACTCTCTCATTTCTCCTCTGTCAGCTGACAAATCAGTCTTTCTGGAGAAATGTCTCCCCCATCCCCTTCAGATGCCTTTCATCACGTATCAGATATACTTTCCTGAAAATCATTTTATCATTACCTCCAGTTCTAAATATTAGCTTCTCCCATTGCACACAGAATTGCACGTTACCACCTCTGCCTGGTATTCCAGCTCCTTTGCTCTCCCAGCCCTTAAGCTGAGTAACCCGGTGTCTTTAGCCATCTAGCTCCTCACCAAACCCAGACACATCGGCTCATTTTCACCTCTGAGCCCTCCACGCATCTCTTTCCCTCTGAAGCGCTCTCTTCTTCTATCTGACCAAAACGTGGTTACTCGTCAGGGTCCTATTCCCAAGGAGGCCGACCATGTCCAGTGGCCTTTGTAAAAGGGCGGTTAAGAGCATGCACTCAGGAGTCAGCTTTCCTTGGTTCAAATCCTGCCTCTACCAGTTACTGGCTATGTGACCTTGAACTACGGTTAAAGGTGACAGTGTACAGAATAGAAGAGAATTCAGTGAGTGAAAGTGGGTTGAATAACTTATCTAAGAGTCCTTACTTTTTGCCTCCCTTTTTTATCCAATGTGAGTTAAGTACAAGTGCCAAGAGTACTTTCAGAACTGAGAGGGACCTTAAAGATCATCTGGTTGGATGTCTCACTTTACAGAGATGAACTGACTCATCCAAGGTTACAAGGCCAGCTAGAGGCAGAGCTGGGAATGAAATCCCTGGGGACTCCTGAGAAAAGAGAGTTTGGCATGCCTCCCACTGCGTACCGCAAAAGAAACATGAGTTGACTGTTTTAAATACGTAAGTAAGTCCTAACCAAATGAATGACTTGGAGGAAATTTACAGATGATTACTTTCCAGATAGGCACTCACCATGTAGAGAAATGCATGGAAATAACAACGAAATCATCAATTCTCGTGTAATTTTTTTTGAGACGGAATCTCACTGTCCCCCAGGCTGGAGTGCAGTGGTGTGATCTCGGCTCACTGCAACCTCTGCCTCCTGGGTTCAAGGGAATCTCCCGCCTCAGCCTCCTGAGTACCTGAGACTATAGGCATGCGCCACCAGGCCCGGCTAATTTTTGTGTGTTTAGTAGTGACGGGGTTTCACCATACTGGCCAGGCTGCTCTTTAGCTCCCGAGCTCAAGGGATCCTGCCACCTTGGCCTCCCAAAGTGCTCGGATTACAGGTGTGAGCCACCGCGCCTGGCCCTTCTCATGTAAATTTGACAAGGTCATCTTTCAAACTTTGTGACCATATAACTCAGATGTATATGGGTTACTCACACTACAGGTTGAGAATCCCTTATCCAAAATGCTTGGAACCAGAGGGGTTTGGACTTCAGATTTTTCTCAGATTTTGGAGTATCTGCATCATACTTACTAGTTAAGCATCCCTAATTTGAAAATCTGAAATCTGAAATGCTCCAGTAAGCATTTCCTTTGAATGTCATATTGCTCAAAAAGTTTCAGATTTTGTAGCATTTCGGATTCCGGATTTATGGATTAGGATGCCCAACCCTTACTATAAATCTGGCAATTCTAATCTTACCATGTAGCAGAAGCTCATCAGCACTTCTCTGTGGGTAACATCAGAAAAACATGCCCCAGCTCTGCTCAGCTGAACGCTCACAGCCACATACTTGGGAAGAATCGGCCCTGGAAGATGAGTGAGGACAGAGGACAAAGGAGCAAGCCTCTGCCACCCTTGCTAGGAGAACAAGCTGTGAATTACTAATGGGCAGGCGTGCAGGCACAGTGAGTGTATTATGGCCAAGTCAGAATAGTGAATGCAACAGCCATGGGGCCTGGACCCATTTGCACCCAGCACAGTGAATTCACTGCGGGGAAATCCACCAAATCTCCCTCCTGCCAACGTTTTCAAGGTAATCGCTCATAACAATGCCACTTTGATGGTAAATCTTCTGAGTAACATCAGAAACCTAAATAAACAAACTGTTTTCTTGGTGTAGAGACTACAGAGATCTTGGGAATATGGCTTGATTTGAGTTTACTTTACTAAAAGCTGTGCAACATGAGCAAGTCTCTTAGGCTCTGTGGCTCAATCTAGTCACTTTTTAAAACGTAGGGTTCAAGCCACATCAGTGGTTCTCCAACCTGGCTGCATATCACAATCTTTTGGGGGAGGTTTGATGCTGTTCTCTTTGGCTCTTATTTTTTTTTTTTTTTTTTTTTTTTTTTTTTTACAGAGTCTCACTCTGTCACCCAGGCTGGAGTGCAGTGGCGTGATCTCAGCTCACTGCAACCTCCACCTCCCAGGTTCAAGCGATTCTCCTGCTTTAGCCTCCTGAGTAGCTAGGATTACAGGTGCACGCCACCACACCCAGGTAATTTTTTTTTTTTTCCAGACAGAGTCTCGCTCTGTCGCCCAGGTCGGAGTGCAGTGGTGCAATCTCAGCTCACTGCAACCTGCGCCTCCCAAGTAACTGGGACTACAGGTGCCCACTACCACACCTGGCTAAATTTTGTATTTTTAGTAGACATAGGGTTTCATCATGTTGGCCAGGCTGGTCTTGAATTCCCAAACTCAGGTGATCCACCAGCCTCAGCCACCCAAAGTGGTGGCATTACAGGAATGAGCCACTGTGCCCAGCTGGCTCCTATTTTATTATCACTATTTGAGACAGTCTTGCTCTGTCACCCAGGCTGGAGTGCAGCAGTGTGACCATGGCTCACTGTAGCCTCAACCACCCACCCCAGCCTCCCAAGCAGCCAGGACCACAGGGTGTAGCACTATATCCAGCTAAAACTTTTTGTTTGTTTTTAAGAGATGGGGTCTCACTATTTTGCTCAGGCTGGTCTCAAACTCCCGGGCTCAAGTGATCCTCCTGCCTCAGTCTGCCAAAGTGCTGGGATTACAGGCATGAGCTGCCTTGCCTGGCCCCTCCTTGGCTCTGCTTTGTACAAGTCTCTATCTTATCTTCAAGGCCTGGTCTCCAACAATCAGGTCATCACTTACACAATGATTCCATTTGCCTCACCAACGCCTGCTCACAGCTGCCTTCTCTCCTTCCTATCAGCCGCTCCACACTCACACTTGACCACACACTGTCTTCTGTTGCTCTGTCCTTGTATCTGGTTTGTCTTTTATCTCACTAGTTCTTAAGCTGCTTGTCGTTGGGACTATTTCTGTCTTTTTTCCCCCCTCATAAGCATTCTGACTTAGTAGACTGCCTTTATATATACATTAAGCAAACGTTAATGCTATTTAGCGTGCATTCTCCTCAGCAGACCAACACTGAACTGAAGGCTGTGACACACTCGCTCTGGTCACCCCTCCGGCTCTTGTATGGGACAGTGCCTCCCTCTGCCTCCTTCCCCAGGATGCCTACCAGCTGATGTGATATATTGTGCCAATGCACGAGCCACCTGGGTAAATAAACGCATGAGGGCACGTTCAACATTGATTCACTTGTATCAATGTTGGTTGACTCACAGGGCCCCCAACCCCCTACCTTTTCCCAGCTATGAAGTCAAGTTCACAAACAACAGTGCTGTTACAGGGAAGGGTGAGCTGGTGCTTTCTGACCTCTGCTCCAATGTAACTGAGACACCAGATCTCATCTGGGATCTAGGCAGTGGGATGGAGAGAGAGGAGTGCTTTGGACAGTAGGATGTGGTCTGAAAGGCAGAGACCAGGGGCAAATCAGGATGAACTCCCAAAGGCAATCCAAGCAAAGTCTTTGAGCAGGAAGGCACCAAGCGAGGCAGGAGACAGGCCCCTGAGGCCCCAGGACAGAGTGGACAAGTTGGGAATGCAGGACGGGAAGTGACAAGAGAAGGTTCTGGGCGGACTCCCCAGGGCAGCAACTTAGCAGCTGCCCACCTGCAGCCGGCTGTGTGGGTGGGACGGAGCCGCCAAGGCAGCCAAGCCCGGACACTGGAGGCAAACCTCTGACATCTTCGTTTTGCTTTTTTATAAATGTGCCATTCTACACAATTATACACTAGTGGACATAAAATTTCCCATTTTACATCTTATCCTTTATTCCTCTTTTCTTGCTCCCTCCTTTGACATATCTTTCAAAGCTGTTTTATTTACATCTTCTATATTCAAATACTTGGCCAAAAATCATGCTACTAACACACCAGTGTTTACATTTGAGCATTAAATCCCAGACGTCACCCACATGTATACTTACTTGTTAAAGCAACATTTCACTCATAAAATACATGCAATCACTGGTACTATAAACAATGCTCCATCTTGCAAGATGCCCCAAAATTATCATCTAACATAGTTGGTGATATTCCTACAGTGTCTTTGGTTTAACGCACTAGCTTGACTGTATTGTCATTTTCTTACTGTATTTTAATTCTGTGCAACACATCTGGGATAATCAATCCTAGACTTACCAGAAATGCTCAAGAAATGAAATGTTTTGTTGAAAGAAACTTTTTTTGTTGTTTTTTTAAATACATATTTGGTGTAGGTAGAAACATTATTTTTAAGTAAGAGTTAGCAGAAGACGTTTTCCCCAAAACTATAGAACGTGCTTCAACCAATTTCCCCTACTCTAATGACTAGATCGACGAGCAATGGGTGATCTAGAGAACCTTGGGACCATTAGTATGAGCATCAGTGAGCCCTCCACAGTGCTATGGACACAAAGAGTTTGTAGGGGATTGAGACACACGTCTAAAACGTTTCTTAAAACGAAACTCGCAGGCCAAGGCAGGTGGATCACTTGAGGTCAGGAGTTTGAGACCAGCCTGGCCAACATGAGGAAACCCCATTTCCAATCAAAATACAAAAATTAGCAGGGCATGGTGGCATGCACCTGTAATCCCAGCTACTCAGGAGCCTGAGGCAGGAGAATTGCTTGAACCTGGGAGGTGGAGGTTGCAGTGAGCCCAGATTGCACCACTGCACTCCAGCCTGGGTGACAGAGCAAGACTCCGTCTCAAAAAAAAAAAAAAAAAAACAAAAAAACAAAAAACGAAAAACTGGCTGTTTCTTATGATTTACCTCCTTTGGGTACAGTATGGTGAACAGAAATAGCTCACCGATATTTAGGTGGCTTACTATGTGTGCCAAGAGGTTTACACGCATGACCTCATTCTATCCTGAGAACAGCACAATGAGCCTCGTTCTATTATTACCTGCCCCCCACCCTTGTCCTGAACGGAACATAGCTGTGTTTTTCTGCAAGCTGAACGCTCTCAGAACATTGAGTACACTGGGGGAAGTCTTGTATCCTGCAGCCTCCACCCACCCATCTCTGGGGAAATACGGAGGGCCTGCAGCTGGTGCCAGTGAGTCTGGAAAGAGAACGCTCTACCTTCAGCATTGGTTAGGTCACCTATTTGTCATTTCTGGGGTGGAAGACCATTTGAAGGCAAGTATTAGAGTTTGGGGGTGGCGTTTCCTTTTGACTGGCCACTGCAAATTAGACCCCAATTGGACCCATGCTCCAGATAAGAATGAAGGCAAAGTGAGAGCCTCCTCATCTTCATTTGTTCTGCTCAGAAAATAAAATAAAACGAGCTTTGGAGGAAAGTGAGTTCGCATACAAAAGACACTCACATAATGATATGAATGCACTTAAGTGTACTGAACTATCTCCTTAAAAATGGTTAATATGGTAAATTGTACGTTCTGTGTATTTTCGAAAAATATAAATTATTTGAAAAAAAATACCTTACTCAGCATAACACCAGAGTACTCTCCACAACATTTACCAAAGTCTGTGCAGATTCTTTCTCAATGGTGGGATTCTTCTGTTGATAACCACTTAAGATATTTCTCCTTTTCTTTTAAAATGTCTTCCAGACTCTCCCTCCAGATGCTGGATGACATGATGAGCCTGGCTGGGAGCCCACTCTCTGCTCCATCGGCCCACCCTCCCTTTGTGTTGTCTGTGGGTGGAGTAAGCTGTTGCCAACCGTGGCCAAATGAAAAGCCCGATGCCCTCCCTTCTCTCTAAAAGCTATTTATTGTTTTCCGAGGAGCCAGCCATCAAAGAGATCTCCTGTGCCCCACGCACTCCTCCCAACTCCCAGTTTTTGACTGAAAAAATGCTAACATCCGACCAGATACCAGAAAAACATCCTGAAAGACAATGCCTGGACTCTTATTTCCTAGGGAGCAGGACCAGGGCTTATTACCACATCAGCCTATCTTGTTTTTACTGCTGTGATGTTGCTGACAACATAGCTGAAATCTCCAACGTCTCCTTGTTCCTACCAGCATTGATTGGTTATATTTAAGCCTTCGTCCAGACCCACTTATTCTCCGTTTCATCTCATTTTCTTCCCTGGCTCAGCGCGGTGCCAAGAATTCTCTGGCTTTACACCCTGGAAGTGTGTTATGATGAGATTCAAGAAACAAAATGTGTGCAGAGAAGATGCAAATGGGTCACGTTGATCTCCCAGCAGGGGTTATTCAGATAATCCAGAATATTCTTACACAAAGTTTTTAATATTATCAACAAAATGCAAGAAAAAATTTAAAAAATTATTGCAAAAAAGCATGAGGTCCAAGAACACATCTAAAGACCCCAGTTGGAGTGAAATGGGTATGGGGCATGGGGAGGAAGGATGGAGGCAACTGACACAGGAAGAGACATTGTCTTTCTTCTGAAGGCAATGAGGACGGCTAACCCTCACAATGCGGTTTATATTACTCAGCATCTTCTTTCAGTCTCTCTCCCTCCTTCCTTCCCTCTCCCTGTCTCTCTCTCTCCCTTCTTTCATTCTTTCTGGGACAGAGTCTCACTCTGTTGCCCAAGCTGGAGCGCAGTGGCATGATCTCAGCTCACTGCAGCCTCCACCTCCCAGAGTCAAGCAATCCTCCCACCTCAGCCTCCCAGGTAGCTACGACTATAGGCACACGCCACCATGCTCTGCTAATTTGTGTATCTTTTTTCGTAGAGATGGGGTCTTGCCATGTTGCCCAAGCTGGTCTCAAACTCCTGAGCTCAAGTGATTCACCCGCCTCAGCCTCCCAAAGGGCTGGAATTACAGGCGTGAGCCACCATGCCCAGCCATGCATTTTCTTTGTATACATATTTAGAAAGGCTTTAAATCCTCGACTCATAATTGCCCTAAATTTTGCTCTAAATTTTTTTTAAATTTTATTATTATTATACTTTAAGTTTTAGAGTACATGTGCATGACGTGCAGGTTTGTTACATATGTATACATGTGCCATGCTGGTATGCTGCACCCATTAACTCGTCATTTAGCATTAGGTATATCTCCTAATGCTATCCCTCTCCCATCCCCCCACCCCACAACAGTCCCCGGTATGTGAAGTTCCCCTTCCTGTGTCCATGCATTCTCGTTGTTCAATTCCTACCTATGAGTGAGAACATGCAGTGTTTGGTTTTTTGTCCTTACGACAGTTTGCTGAGAATGATGGTTTCCAGCTTCATCCATGTCCCTACAAAGGACATGAACTCATCATTTTTCATGGCTGCATAGTATTCCATGGTGTATATGTGCCACATTTTCTTAATCCAGTCTATCGCTGTTGGATATTTAGGTTGGTTCCAAGTCTTTGCTATTGTGAATAGTGCCGCTATAAACATACGTGTGCATGTGTCTTTATAGCAGCATGATTTATAACTCTTTGGGTATATACCCAGTAATGGGATGGCTGGGTCAAATGGTATTTCTAGTTCTAGATCCCTGAGGAATCGCCACACTGACTTCCACAATGGTTGAACTAGTTTACAGTCCCACCAACAGTGTAAAAGTGTTCCTATTACTCCACATCCTCTCCAGCACTCTAAATTTCTTAATGTGGCCAACAAGGCCCTCCATGGTCTGCCTCACCTCCCATCATCATCTCTCCTCCTAACCTCCTTCCCACTCCCTCGCCTCTGACCGCCACATCTTACCCACCTGCCCTTCATGCTCCAAGTTTTATACTCTTTCCCACTTCTAGGTACTTCCTTCAAACACTTCTCTCTTTCTGGAATTTCCTTATATCTTGCTATGCCCTTCCTTACCCAGGGAACTTTCAAATATGAGCTTGAGTTTCCTCCTCCTTGACAGCATACTTCGGTTAGCAAGGCACTTGCTAACAGACTTTAATATTTTATTAAAATTGCTTATTTAATTGTCTTCCCTAAGATTAAAAGATCTATGGGATATAGAGATTTTATCTATTTTGCTCACCATCTTATCTCCATCATCTGCCTAGCAGAGACCACAAACATAGTAGATGCTTATGATAAAACAGTGGGAAGAAAGGAACAGGGCAGAGGAGTCAAGAAACAGAGTGTTCGACAAATGATAACTACTGTTGTCAGAAACAGTACCTTTGCTATTTCCGATCTCAAAGACAGGAGATGTTTATGGGATCTGGGATGGACTGAGTCTGGAGGTAAAACCTGAATCAATTTCAGCACCTGAAAATACAGTCATCAGCAAGTTTATATTAGCCTCGAAGGGATCAACTACACTGTTCAAGGGGGCCACTGCTCCTGAAAGACCCAGCAGGGGACAGGGGCATGAATAAATTTGTCCCTGTGTGGGTACATACACTTACAAATGTCTGCTCCCTTTTTAAAAAATGTGTTTGTTGGGCTGGGCGTGGTGGCTCATGCTTGTAATCCCAGCACTTAGCGAGGCCCAGGTGGTGGGTGGATCACTTGAGGTCAACAGTTCAACACAAGCCTGGCCAACATCGCAAAACCCCGTCTCTACTAAAAACACAAAAAATTAGCCAAGCTTGGTGGCGCACGCCTGTAACCTCAGCTACTTGAGAGGCTGAGGCATGAGAGTCACCTGAACCCAGGAGGCAGAGGTTGCAGTAAGCTGAGATCGTGCCACTGCACTCCAGGCTGGGCAAGAAAGAAGACTCTGTCTCCAAAAATAAATAAATAAAAATAAAATAAAATTTGTTTGTAAAATGAATTCTATACTGTTTAAAATACAACTTGAAACTGTGACCACTACGTAGCCTGAAAGGCTGAAAGGACCATAGGTATAAGTGGGCACATATTGTATCCACTCAGTTCTCATTTGGAATGTTTCTTCATTTACTGGTGATAGGAAGCCAGTTGTAGCACAGCTGAAACCTGCCATCTAGTGGACCTTCTCATGACAGGGTTTTGCAAACAAGCATCGCAGAGTAGACCAGAACTCCAAGAGCATCCTGCAGTTACGCTCTTCCAACAGAGCTCTCCTTTCCAAATAGCCCAGTATCAGGTTTTCACACTCTGGCATCCAAAGAGCTACCCTAAATCAATGTGGAATTTCAACCACTTTCCACGCAAAGCTATTCCACCAAGAAAAATCAATGCCTCATTCTGGGTATCTGCTTTTCATTTCTGTTTTGAATCTTTAGAAATCAGGTTAGTTTAGTCTACAGCTTTAAAAAAAAATTCGATGATTACTCTCTCTTGCCTGAAGCTACCTCCATCAGACCGAGAGTGTACTGTGATCTGAATTTATCTCAACACACATACCACAGAGCTCTGAAGTGGGGCAGCCGCTCTGCCTCAGGAACTAGGGCTCCCAAGTTCTGGGACTCATGCAGCCACTTGCCAGCTTGTCCCTCTGACCAGCCACATCTCCTCTATGACTCTCAGTTCCCTTATCTGTCAAAAAGTGGGGCTTCCTCGAAGACATACACATGGCCAATATGCCCAACATACTAATCATTAAAGAAATCCAAACCAAATCCACAATGAGATACCCTCTCACACCGGTCAGAACTGCTAGTAACCAAAGCCAAAAATAACAGATGCCGTCAAGGTCATGGAGGAAAGGGGAAGTTTACATACTGCAGGTGGGAATGTGGATTCATTCAGCCACTGTGCAAAGCAGTTTGGATATTTCTTGAAGAACTTAGAGCTACCATGTGGGCCAGCAATCCCATTACCAAGTATGTATCCAAAGGAATATAGATAGTTCTACCACAAAGGCACAAGAATTCCTATGTTCATGCAGCACTAGTCACAAGAGCAAAGACAAGGAATCAACCTAGATGCCCATCAATAGTAGACTGCATAAAGAAAATGTGGTACATACACACCATGGAATACTACACAACCATAAAAAAGAATGAAATCATGTCCTTTGCAGCAACATGGATGCAGCTGGAGGCCATTATCCTAAGTAAACCAACACAGGAACTGAAGACTAAATACCACATGCTCTCACTTTTAAAGGGGAGCTAACCATTCAGTACACCTCGACACAAAGACAGGAATTATAGACACAGGGGCCCACTTGAAGGTGGAGGGTGGGAAGAGGGTGAGGACTGAGAAACTACCTATCGGGTACTAAGCTTATTACCTGGATAATGAAATAATCTACACCAAACCCTCGTGACATGCAATTTACCCACGTAACAAACCTGCACATATACACGCTCAACCTAAAAGTTAGAAAGAGGAAAAAAAAAAAAACAAAAACGGGGGTATAAGTTAACAATCAGAAGGTCCCTTTCAGGTCTAAAGTTCTTTGAGCTTGCTCCCAGAGTCTCAGGTCACATGATCTCAGGGGCCTGACTTTAGATCCCCTGCAGGCTCAGTGCCTCTGGCACCATTCATTCATAGAAATACATATGGAGGACCTGGGGCATGCTGGAGACTGTGCTGGGTGTGAGGAAAACATCAGGGAATAAACAGACACCCTCTAAGGTTAGAGACTACAGTCACTGCTGTTGTGATAGGAAGAAGTGGGACAATTCAAGAAATGCTTAGATAGTAGCATCATTGGTTGGATGCGGGAGTGAATAACGAAAGTGGTTTTCAAGTGATTCCCGGGCCTCTGGTCAAGAGCAACTGGATGGAATTAGTGCCATTCTCTGAACTGAAGGACACAGGAGGATGACCAGGTGTGGAGAAAGATCATGAGCTCAGTTTGTTTATTATTTCTTTAGAGATGGGCCTTGCTCTGTCTCCCAGGCTGGAGAGCACTGGCACAATCATAGCTCACTGCAGTCTTGAGCTCCTGGGCCCAAACTATCTTACCATCCGAGCCTCCCAAGTAGCTGGGACTACAGGGGTGCACTACTATGCCTGGCTAATTTTTAGAGGTTTTTTTGTTTTTTTTTTTTAGAGATGGGGTCTTGCTCTGTTGCCCAGGCTGGAGCACAGTCACAGATCATAGTTCACTACAGCCTCAAACTCCTGGGCCCAAGTGATCTTCTCACCACAGCATCCTGAGTAGCTGCAACTACAGGCATGTACCACCACACCTGTAATTTAAAACAATTTTTTTTTTAGAGATGGGGGTCTTGCTGTGTTGCTCAGGCTGGTCTCAAAGTCCTGGCCTCAAGTGATCCTCCCATCTTGGCCTCCCCTGTTGCTAGGATAGATGGTTCAGCGTAAATAAAAGCTCATGAAAGATCCAAGCAGATATTGTGAGCAGGCAGCTAGGTAGCTCAGTCTGGAGCTCAGAAGAAACGTTTAATGTAATATAGGACAAATCGAGGGCATTCGCCAGCAAGTAGAGAGGAGTGTATAGAACCAACATTCAATGTCTGGAAGAGTGGAGGATTCAGAGCTGGTGAAGAGGACTCCAGAAGGGCTGTGAGACAGAGAGAAAACCAGAAGGACACAGGACTGCAAAGGCCAAGACACGATGCTTCACTCAGCTAAATGGAGTTGGTGCAGGAAATCTCAAGGCATGGAAAAGCGAACTCTGGATTTAGTGCCCTTGTTGACCTTGGTGAAAAAATGCATGTGGAGTAATGGGGCCAGGAGCCAGGTAGAGTTATTGAAGAATGAATAGGAAAAAGAAAAAAAGTGAATACAATGAGGACAGAGACTCCTCCCAGGGAACTGGGTGTGAAGGTTATCAGAGAGGAAGATGGCTGCAGGGTGCATGGGGGTCAAGGCAGAATTTCTTAATTTGGTGAATATTGATGAAAAGGACCCATAAATCCTTTTCAAGGAGATGTTGATGATCCAGAATGAAGAGGCAGTAAGTGATGTATTGAAGTTCCTGGGAAAGTAGGTAGAGATGAGATCCAGGGCACGGATAGTGCTTTGGCCTTAGGAGGGAAAATCCTCATCCTTCTTCCCGTCACTGGTAGATCAGGGAAGGAGGACATATGATCAGAGAAACTTAAGGTGATTAGAGCTCCAATTTCTTAATAAGTTAGGGGATAATTTCATTAGCTGAAAGTCAGAGAGATGAAGATGAGAGGTTTAAGAAGAGAGAAAAAGTGACCTTTCTAGAGAAATGTATTGATTTTGCCAAGCAAACGTGAGGTGGCCACATCTACTGGCAGCCACGGCCACGTGGCGAGCTGTACGGCTCCTTCCAGCAGTCCTCAGGGTCCATGTGCAGACAAGAGAAAGTAGATGAACAGGGTCATTTAGGGTCGCAAGTTTCCAAGTGGAAATGAAGGAAGAACAGAGAGCAAAGGAACTTAGGACATATTCAAGAGTTCAGTAGAAATGACAGAGCCCAGAATTGGAGACTATTATTCTAAGTAAAGTAACTCAGGAATAGAAAACATCATAAGTTCTCACCGATATGTGGGAGCTAAGCTGTGAGGACACAAAGGCGTAAGAATGATACAATGGACTTTAGGGACTTGGGGGGAAGAGTTTGGGGCAGTGAGGGATAAAAGATAACAAATATGCAAATATGGTGCAGTGTATACTGCTTGGGTGACGACGGGTGCACCAGGATCTGATGGCTCACACTAAAGAACGTATGTAACCAAATGCCACCTGTACCTCAATAATTTATGGAAAAATAAAATTTTAAAAGAGAGAGAGAAGTAAAGACATAAAGGTGCAATGTGGATAAAGAGGGAGAAGGGAGAGTCAATGGACTAACGGCTCTATGAGGTCAAGTAACAATAGGTTCTGTATTAGTCTGTTCTCACATTGCTAATAAAGACATACCTGAGACTGAGTAATGTATAAAGGAAAGAAGTTGAATGGATTCACAGTTCCACGTGGCTGGGGAGGTCTCACAATCCTGGTGGAAGAGCAAGGGATGTCTTACGTGGTAGCTGGCAAGAGAGAATGAGCACCAAGAGAAATGGGTTTCCCCTTAGAAAACCATGTGATCTCGTGAGACGTATTAACTACCATGAGAACAGTATGGGGGAACTGCCCTTATGATTCAATTATCTCCCACTGGGCCCCTCCCACAACATGTGGGAATTACAGGAGCTATAATTCAAGATGAGATTTTGGAGGGGAAACAGCCAAACCATATCAGGCTCTGAGACAATGGGGATGGATCCAGGTGACACAGCACCATAGATATGAAATACATTAATACTTTGTTGTTTGCCTAGCTGACCTACCTCCCAATACATGCAGTGTACACATCAGTACTCAGTAATTATCTTTAAATACTGAATGAATGAATGACTAAGAACTGACTTCTGACATGCGGCCTAAACCCCTGTGGAAGCCAAAACATACTTCCTGAGCTCTGGTATGTGTCAGACATTGTTCTAGGTGCTAGGAATCTGATGATAAACCACAGATGTGTTATTTGCCCTCAAGGGGTTTATTCTTTCAGGAGGGAAGAAGGACACAGATCCCAGATTATAAAGAAGTAATCAATTAAATAAACAAATAAGCAATAATATATTCACATTCCAGATAAGGCAACTGGGTTCTAGGGAAACTACTGATCACACACCACTTTGCTGGTTAGTAATAAACGGAAGATTCAAATCTAGCTGTGCCTCAGCCTCTGGCTTCTCTGTTCCACAACATTCTTTGTCTTTATTCTCACTGCAGGAAACATATAGGATAAGACATTTATCCTTATTGAGTAAATTGAATGCTTTCTCTGTGTTACACATATGAACCATGAGATCAAGTTATTTATATAATAATGTTTATAAATGCACTATTTATGATAGTAAAAACTCAAAAAGCCACAAGCTGGGAACTAGGTAAGAACACAATGCTATATAACATTGATGGAATACCATATTGTCATCAAAATCATAAGGAGATCTACATAAAAATCCATATGAAATCACTGCAGGTTACAACACATTAACTTACTGAAATATTGCTTTAAACAAATTCCCAAATCCCAAATTCATAGTTGAGTGGGTCCTTAGAGACCATCTTGTTTTACAGGCTAAGAAACTGAGGCAGCATCCTTGCTAAAACACCACTGTGAAAAATCCGTAAGAAGAGATGGATTTCTGCATCCTCCAATCCTAGAGAGATGCCAAATTATATTTGGGTGCCATGAATGTTTTCTTCATATTGTGTTTTAATCATTTACCAAAATCACTGATGAATAAAGCCAGATACATCAATTCATTGAAGTATTTAGTAAGCAACTGTGACATTCCCAGCACTTTGGGAAAAAAAAATGTATATTGCATTTTTCTCTACTTGGGCATTTTACTTCCTAGAGCTCTAAAGTTCATTAGATCTCCTTCTTCTTCATTAATTGCTCTCTCTGTTGGCCTGCTTTTGTAGGTGAGTGTCAAGAACATTTCACAATTTAGTAGGAAAAGATGAAGCAGTCAGAAGATTACATTCGGATAAATGTGGTCGTGCTTCCAGAAAGCCAACAATATTGGTTATAACTACAAGGCTTGGCTGGACGAGGAGGCTCATGCCTGAAATCTCAGGACTTTGAGAGGCCAAGGTGGACGGATCACTTGAGGCCAAGAGGTGTAGACCAGCCTGGCCAACTTACCGAAAGCCAGTCTCTACTTAAAATACAAAAATTAGCCAGGTGTGGCGGCAGATACCTGTAGTATCAGCTACTCGGGAGGCTGAGGCACTAGAATTGCTTGAACATGAGAGGTAGAGGTTGCAGTGAGCTGAGATCGTGCCACTGCACGCCAACCTAGGCGACAGAGCAAGACTTTGCCAAAAAACAAAAACAAAAAACAAAAAAAACTACAAGGCTTTGTTGGATGAACACCTGGGGAGCTTCCAAACCCAACACTGTCATAGCCCTGGAAAGAACTCATTCTACGGAAAAAAGAAAACACAGAATGAATACTTCTCTATCCAAAGGCACCACGTTCTGGGAACGATGTCAAGAGTCCGTTTCTTGAATCTCTGGTGTGAAATACATCGTGCCCCCTTGAGGGCAAATAGCACATCTGTGGTTGATATAGCTATGACTAGATGTTTTTCACATTTTTTCACAATGTTTCATAAGTTTTTGGAAGCCCACATCTGTCATTACTTTCTTCTAAGGCTCTTGCTGTGCTTCGAATGAACACTATTCAAAGAGTCAAAATTTGTTTTTTCACATGCTGAATATTTCTCTTCAGATTAACGCTCACTTTAGAGTCTTTAAAATGTTTTCAAATGCATTTTAATATATAATTTAGATATATTTGAAAATACTCTTAGAAAATACTAAAACTTCAAGCATGGAATCCTCTAAGCTTAAGATGCTTTGTGTAGGAAGTCAAAGACTAAATGTTCAGAATAATTTAAATTATATCAATTCTGTTTTTTTATAAAAAGTGCATGAATCTGACTTTGGTGAATAAGGTCGTTTAAAATGTACGTGGTATTGGAGGCAGGGCCGGTCCTGCGGGCGCGTTGGCTTCTTCCCACGGAGTTACGTGCAGCCCATGTGCCTGTGAGCAGCCTGGCAGCCGATCTGGCCAGTGGGCCATTTTACAGGAACTGAGGTCCAGAGAGGACATGGACACCCCCAGCCCGGTCAGAGTCACACGGGGCTCAGTGGACGGCCTTGGATTGAATGTGGGCTCCTAACTGCCTCCGGCCACTTCTCACAAACTGGGATGGCCCAGGTCCCCCAGCAAGGGTACCCAGCAAGGGTAACTCTGGGGCTTCCTGGCTGGTTGCTTCCCATTGGCTGCCAGCTGTGTGATACCACAGGGCGGAGTCTGTGGAGGCCCCACCCACCTCCTCTTGTCAACGGCCCCATCTGCCAGTAAGGTTGAGGACTCCCAGGTTTCACCCACTGGAGGCTCAACCTGAGGAACCCTGGCCATGGTGGGTGGGTTCACCTTGGGTTGACTACCCATTGGGCCTGCCTGCCCCTCCCTCAAAAGGCCCCTCGAGTTGTACAGGCTGTTGGGAGGTGGCTCAGCCTCGAAGGGCAGGCTGCACACCTGTTGACCTAAACTCACTGGACAGACTCCAGGTGGACGCCAACTCCTCAACAGCCCCATAACCTTAGCTCTACCTGGGGTACCCAGCACCCCCGCCCCACCACAGGGCTAGAGGCCCTGAGACCCTGAAAAAGGGGCGGGTAGTAGGGAAGGTGGAGGCACACTCCTCTCCTGTTGGACAGGGGAGCTCTGAGGTCAAGCCCTGGGCTCAGCCACGCAGAGACCCTGGCTGCCCTGGCTCTTGTTTGTTTAGGTCCAGGTTCTGCCCAGACCAGGGCCCAGGAGAGTTCTCAGGAGGCTGAGAAACCTCCAGGCCAGACAGAAAGTTGGGGCCAGAGCTGGGTTTTAGAGATCCTACGGGATCCAAAATAGGGCGGCTACCTAGGTGGGGCATGGCCCCTACCCGAGAACAGGAGGGTCCTCCAGAGAATGTGCCACCATCAGGGATATGAGCTGGGCCTGCCCAGACCCTGGGCACCTTTGGGAGCAGGAAAACTCAAGTGGAACTTGGAAAGGCTTTGAACGCCAGGCTAATGGTTGAGGGGATGGTGGGCAGGGAGGGAGGGCAAGGAGGCTCCCTCTGGCATTTGGGAGCAGGTGAGTGGAGGGCGGAGTCCCTGGAGGTGGCTGCAGTCCCTTAATGGGGGGCCTTGCTCTGGGCATGTGGGGCTGTCCCTCCATCCAGAGCTGGCCCAAGACCCATAGGGCCCTGAGTGCTGGCAAATCTCACTGCTCCTGACCCGGCTTGTGTATTCAAAACACAAACAGTAAAATCAACATCAGGATGTACATCAGGAAAAAAAAAAAATGTACGTGGTAAATCCCACTTGCGGGTATACATCCAAAAGAATTAAAAGCAGAATCTCAAAGAAATATATGCACATCCATGTTCACTGCAGCATTCACAACAGCCAGAAGGTGGAAGGAGCCTAAATGCCTATCGCTGGATGATGGATTACAAAAATGTAGTCTAGGCCAGGCACAGTGGCTCACGCCTGTAATCCCAGCACTTTGGGAGGCCGAGGTGGGTGGATCATGAGGTCAGGAGATCGAGACCACGGTGAAACCCTGTCTCTACTAAAAATACAAAAATTAGCCAGGCATGGTGGCACGTGCCTGTAATCCCAGCTACTCCAGAGGCTGAGGCAGGAGAATCGCTTGAACCCGGGAGGCGGAGGTTGCCGTGAGCTGAGATCGCACCACTGCACTCCAGCCTGGGTGACAGAGCAAGACTCCATCTCAAAACAAAACAAACAAAATAAATGTAGTATAGGCCAGGCATGGTGGCTTACACCTGGAATCCCAGCACTTACAGGAGGCTGAGGCAGACAGATCAGTTGAGGTCAGGAATTCAAGACCAGCCTGGCCATCATAGTGAAACCCTGTCTCTATAGAAGATACAAAAATTAGCTGAGTGTGGTGGTGTGTGCCTGTAATTCCAGCTAGTTGGGAGGCTGAGGCAGGAGAATCGCTTGAACCTGGGAGGCGGAAGCTGTACTGAGCCGAGATCCCCCCACTGCACTCCAGCCTGGGTGACAGAGCAAGACTCCGTCTCAAAAATAAAATGTAATATATACATTTAATATAATATTACTCAGCCTTAAACAAAGAGGAAACCACGTCATAGGCTGCAACATCAAAGAACTTTGAGGACATCATGCTGTGGGAAATACGTCAGTAACAAAAAAAACAAATACGCTGCATGTTCCATTTATATGGGGTACCTAGAGTTGTCAAACTCATAGAAACAGCCAGTAGCAAGGTGACTGCCAGGAAAGAATGCTAGGAGAGGGGTTCAGTGGGCACATAGTTTCGGCCATGCAAGATGAAAACGGTCTAGAGGTCTATTATACAACCATGTGCCTATAGTTAACAATACTGTACACTTCAAAATTATTTTTTCTTTTTTTTTCTTTTTTTTTTTTGAGATGGAGTTTCACTCTTGTTGCCCAGGCTGGAGTGCAAAGGCACGATCTCGGCTCACCACAACCTCCGCCTCCCAGGTTCAAGCGATTCTCCTGCCTCAGCCTCCCTAGCTGGAATTACAGTCATGTACCATGCCCAGCTAATTTTGTATTTTTAGTAGAGACGGGGTTTCGCTGTGTTGGTCAGGCTGGTCTCGAACTCCTGACCTCCGGTGATCCGCCCGCCTCAGCCTCCCAAAGTGCTGGGATTACAGGCATGAGTCACTATGCCAAGAATTTTTTTTTTTTTTTTGAAACAGTCTCACTCCTGTTGCCCAGGTTGGAATATAGTGGTATGATCACGGCTCACTGCAGCGTTGACTTCCTGGGCTCAGGTGATCCCACCCTCTTAGCCTCCCAAGTAGCTGGGACTACAGGAATGCACTACAAAGCCAGGTTAAATTTTTTTTTTCCGTATTTTTAGTAGAGATGGTTTCATCATGTTGCCCAAGCTGGTCTTGAACTCCTGGGTTCAAGTGATCCGCCCACCTTGGCCTCCCAAAGTGCTGGGATTACAGGTGTGAGTCATCATGCCTGGCCTTCAAAATCATTAAGAGGATAAACCTATGTTATATGTTTTTTACTGTACATAAATATATATAGTGGTAAGCCTTTCCAGATTTCTTCCAAGCAGAATATCCATACGTTCCCCCTTACGCACTTCAAGTGTGGAAAGGGAAACAGGAAGAACGGATTCACTTTCTCCCTCTCCAATCCACATCCAGCCCACTCACCTTTAAGAAGGACTCTATCCTGTTATATCCACAATGCTAGAGGGTAGAGTCAGAATAAAAATGTGAAAGATGTCTTAATACAACAGGATAAGAGAGATAAGTAGACAGTTTAATATCACTTATACGTCTATTTTTATTTACTCTCAAGGTGTGTGTGTAGAGTAGTGTGTGTGTGTGTGTGTGTGTGTGTGTGTGTGTGCATGTATGTGGGTTTAAGAAGGACAAATGTATCAGGGAGGCTTGTCAGTCAAACATTAATAGAGAAAGCTAACCGCCAACCACTCAGCTAAGTCTCAGTGAAAAACAAAGATGTTGAAAGAAAATAATAGTAGTTTTCAGTGTGAAGAGAGCTGGGAAGAGGAAACAGCAAGTGCTGTGGGAACACATAGCTGGGGGGGCCTGCCATGGGTTTCCCAGAGACAGTGATGCCTGAGGTTAGCCCGGTACTGAGGGGCCCAAGAGTGTTCCTGGCTATGAAAGAGCAAACTCGAAGTCCCCAGGAGCCTGGCGCTTTTGAGAATCTCACAGGAGCCCAGGGCAGCGAAAGCAGAGTGTCTGATCGAGATTAGAGGTGACTCCAGAGGACGGCAGAGGTCAGCGAGGGCTTCACTGCCATATGAGGATGCTGGACTTTATCCCCAAGGGCATCCACCGAGTGGTGAGCAGGGAAGCCACACGCTGAACTCTGACTTTTAAGTGTTGCTCCAGCGGCAGTGAGAAGCCCTAGCCCAGGTGTGGTCACCGCAGTATCAGAGATGGGAGAGAAGAGCGCCTCAGACAGGGGACAGTGACTCCAGGAATGCAAATGGACAGATTCCCATTCCTGGAAGAAGGCTCAAGTGCTATGAAGAGGGAACTGAGTCATGTATTAGGTTGGCGCAAAAGCAATGGTGGTTTTTCATCATTACTTTTCATGGTAAGAACAGCTATTATTTTTGCACCAAACTCAGAATTTTGAAATGTTAAAGTGAAGGCTGAACTGGCTTAACTTGGTGACCGATGGGATGTGGAGAGTGTGGGGGAGAGGGAGGAGGCATGGATGCCGCCCAGTCTTCTGGTTGGGTAACCAAGTGGATAATGATGTCCTTGAGGGAGATGAATTTCTGCAAAAACACAGTTTGTGTGGAAATATAAATCGTTGTGAACATGCAGAGTCTGAGATACCTGCCCTCTGCAGCCTTTCTTTCTTTGTTTCTTTTTTGAGACACAGTATCGCGATGTTGCTAGGCTGGAGCACAGTGGCCTGATCTCGGCTCACTGCAACCTCCGCCTCCCAGGTTCAAGCAATCCCCTCCTGCCTCAGCCTTCCGAGTAGCTGGGACTAGAGACATGCACCACGCCCAGCTAATTTTTATATTGTTAGTAGAGATGGGGTTTCACAATGTTGGCTAGGATGGTATCAATCTCTTGACCTCATGACGATCCGCCCGCCTTGGCCTCCCAAAGTGCTGGGATTACAGGCGTGAGCCACCGTGCCCAGCCTGCCTGCAGGCTTTCTTTCTCCCATTCTTGTCATCTCAGACAACATCTGGTATTTCTCCATTGTAAGTCCATCCTATTTCTCCATCATATACGGAAATAGGGCCAGAAAGAATCTTAGAAATCATGTCATCCCCTACCCTTCATTCTACACATAAGGAAACTGAGAACTGGCAGAGTTTAGGAGACTTCACCAAGGTGCACAGGACTGTAACCCCGTACACACCCCCTGACGCAGAGCCCATGCTCAGGTTCCTCCCAGCACCCCAGGAAGCACGTGTTTCTTTCTTGCTTCTCACACTTGCCGCTGTCACCATGGTAACCACTCTTCCTGGTCTAGAAGCCTAGCCTCCTGAAGGTACTCATTCAAACATGAGAAATCATGGGCCTTCTTACCAGTTGAGGCCTCTGACTGTAACAGTCATAGACTTATGAACATCAAAATAATCAGAAGCAGCCAGGCGCGGTGGCTCACGCCTGTAATCCCAGCACTTTGGGAGGCCGAGGCAGGCGGATCATGAGGTCAGGAGATTGAGACCATCCTGGCTAACATAGTGAAACTCTGTCTCTACTAAAAAAGCAAAAAATTAGCCAGGCGTGGTGGCAGGCACCTGTAGTCCCAGCTACTTGGGAGGCTGAGGCAGGAGAATGGTGTGAACCCGGGAGGCGGAGCTTGTAGTGAGCCAAGATGGCACCACTGCACTCCAACCTGTGGGACAGAGCGAGACTCCGTCTCAAAAAAAAAAAATTAATAATAATAATAATAATGAGAAGCAGTTGAAAAGTAGTTGAAGTTGATATCTGGTCAAGTTGCTCACAGAAATCTCCTGTTAGGTCATTTCAGTTTTCATTATGATTACTTAAAAAAACAACATAAAACATTGAGTCCATTAACTTTCACGGTATGATTTTTTTTTATTTTTTTGAGACGGAGTTTCACTCTGTCACCCAGGCTGGAGTGCGGTGGTACGAACTCGGCTCACTGTAACCTCTGCATCCCGGGTTCAAGCGACTCTTCTGCCTCAGCTCTGCCTGAGTAACTGGAATTGCAGGTGCATGCTACCACATCTGGCTAATTTATATTTCTTGTAGAGACGGGGTTTCACCATGTTGGCCAGGCTAATCTCCAACTCCTGGCCTCAAGTGATCTGCCTGCTTTGGCCTCCCAAAGGGCTGGGATTACAGGCATGAGCCACTGCACCTGGCCACACAATATGAATTTTTAAACATCCATCTCTATGCATAATAGTTTTCTATAACATTTTGGTTTCCCATAAAATTCCACACATCATACATTTTCATAGAAAATTGTCATATGGTTTTGTCACATGGTTTCCTGTAAAATTTCACTCTTTCAGCAAATGTTGGTAGGATTTGCAATTTTTTTTTTTTTTTTTTTTGAGATGGAGTCTCGCTCTCTGTCACCCAGGCTGGATGGAGTGCACTGGCACTATCTCGGCTCAATGCAAGCTCCACCTCCCAGGTTCGCACCATTCTCCTGCCTCAGCCTCCTGAGTAGCTGGGACTACAGGCACCTGCCACCACGCCCAGCTAATTTTCTGTATTTTTAATAGAGACGGGATTTCACCGGGTTAGCCAGGATAGCCTCGATCTCCTGACCTCGTGATCCGCCCACCTCGGCCTCCCAAAGTGCTGGGATTACAGGCATGAGCCACCGCACCCGGCCTGCAATTGTTATTAACTGGGTAAAGAAATAAAATCTGTGACTTTTGCCCTTTGAGCTTCTATTTTTATGATCTATTAGGGTAAAATGGAACATGTCAGAAACAATGTGTAATAATAGTTAAGAAGGAATTTTGTTAACTATTACAAATCCTCAACCCTACACAGTTTTAAAAAAAAATGCTTACCTGAGGCGAGAATCCTTAAAGGTGTCCAGATACGCAGGGTAGCTCCACCCAATTCTACTCCCTTTACATCGAAGCTCTACAGTTTGCCCCGCCAGCAGACTCAGGGTAGCGGCGGGTTTCTGGAAGCGACCTTTATCCAGCACTTGCATCATGATAGACTGCGTCTTTGGTGCTGAATTGGCTGAGTCCCTGTCCTTCATTTTAGGAATTTTGGGCTTCACCTTCTTGTTGGTAGGTTTGATTCTATTCTCTCCTGGTTCTTTTGGACGCTTGTTCTTGGGAAGGTGTTGGCCAGTAACTGCAAAACGTAAGGAGAGAGAAATGCGCTGTAGTAATGACATTTTTGGAATATTTGAGGCCAATAACTTTTTTTTTTTTTTGAGACAGATTCTTACTCTATTGCCCAGGTTGGAGGGCAGTGGCATAATCTCAGCTCACTGCAACCTCCACCTCCCAGGTTCAAGTGATTCTCTTGCCTGAGCACCCTGAGTAGCTGAGATTACAGGTGCCCGCCGCCACACCCAACTCATTTTTGTATTTTTAGTAGAGACATGGAGACAGGGTCTCAGCACGTTGGTCAGGCTGGTCTCGAAGTCCTGACCTCAGGTGATCCACCTGCCTTGGCCTCCCAAAGTGCTGGGATTACAGGAGTGAGCCACCATGCCCAGCCCTCATAGCTTTTAGGTAACTCTAGAGAAGATAACTTTTTAATCCTCCCCTCCTCATATGTCAATATTGTTTTCAGTAAAAGTCATGTAATTATCATCTTTTGATTAATTTTAAAACATTAAAAAATATTTCAGCTCCAAAGATATTATTCAAATTCAGCAAAACAGTTCATGTATGAGCTAAAATTTGCCCTTAGAAAACAAAAATATTACTGCCTGTAGTTCACACCGTCTCATAGTCTCCAAGCAGTCACACAAAACAGCAGAACTGAAGCCATTCAAGGCTGTTTGTTTACTTTGCAGTCTATATGTTGTCACCATTCATTTTGATTCTACTGTTTAAACACAGAAATCTGTAGCTCCACAGAGACTGGGGACACAAACTGTGCTGAAAGTGCACGCAAAATATTTTGTGTTTAACGTTAGAAACGGAATCTCACTCTGTCACCCAGGCTGGAATGCAATGGCATGATCCTAGCTCACTGTAGCCTTGAACTCCTGGGCTCAAGTGATCCTCCTGCCTCAGCCTCCTGAGTAGCTAGGCCTACACATATGTGAGACCATGCTGAGCTAATTTTTTTTTTTTAAAGATGGGGCCTTGCTATGTTGCCCAAGCTGGTCTCAAACTCCTGGCCTCAAGCAACCCTCCCACGTAGGCCTCCCAAAGTGCTGCAATTATAGGTGTGAGCCACTCTGCCCAGCCAAGATTTTGAACCACAGTGAACTTTCTCTCAAAACAAATGGTAAAGCAGACATTACATTTGTCAGGGGCTGGCGATGTCTAGGTAGAATAAAATGCTTATTATTAAAGAGTAAATATTATGTGTATACTAATCTGAAGCTTACATATAAATTATCAAAACTCAACTGTAACTGTAGCAACGATTTAGAATTTCACCAACAAAATGTCTCTGGGGAAGGAGTATTTTATCACCAACATTGTTGAGAGTTGCTGGCAAATAGTGATAATAAAAAGCTAACTGACTTTAAGTTGCTTTTGTTGTCATTTTTGCCTTCTCTATAAGTAAGGCACCCTTATTGCCTGCATCCAGGGAAGAGTGCCCCCACTGTTCTGCCTGTGGTGGGCCACCGGACTCTAAAAATCTCAGCTAAGCCCCTTGCAGCCACACAGTTGTGTCCACTCAACAAGAATGAATAGGGGACTGTAGGCCAGGTGTGGTGGCTCATGCCTGTAATCCCAGCATTTTGGGAGGCCAACGCAGGTGGATCAGTTGAGGTCAGAAGTTTGAGACCAGCCTGGGCAACATGGCGAAACCCCATCTCTACTAAAAATACAAAATTAGCCAGGCATGGTGGCGCATGCCTGTAATCCCAGCTACCACTCGGGAGGCTGAGGCACAAGAACTGCTTGAACCCGGGAGGCGGAGGTTACAGTGAGCCGAGATCACACCACTGCACTCCAATGCCTGGAGACTGAGACTGAGACCGAGACTTGAGCCCACAAGTCCGAGTTTATGATGAGCTATGATTGTACCACTGCACTGCAGTCTGGGTGACAGAGCAAGACTCTCTCTCAAAAAAAGAAAGAAAGAAAGAAAGAAAAGCCCACCATTATCATGCCCAAGAAATCTGTGCCCCATAAATACTTTAATGCCTGTGAAATTAATGAACCTCTGGATTAAGGTCTAATTTGGTATTCTGTGTATCATGTAACAGGAATTCAAGCTACCAGAAATGACAATAACCATCTGTAAATCCTATGGAATTTAGACAAACAGAGCTACTTGTCTGATCCTTCTAAGCTATCACATCTTGTGTATCTATGTTACTCAGGAACATGAGATTATCTGATTTTGGAGATTATGCATCCAAATATTTGCTATTATCTATGCAAAATAATTTGACCTTTTGACCAAATAGCCCCACCAGCTGATCTAACTGTATAGCTGGTCCAGCTGCCTGACCACAGAATTGGCCTGTGGTTTGATGGCAATGATGCAAAGCTAAAGGAGCCAGCCTAGTGTCCCCACAGATACCCAGACGGTATTGGAATTGAGTGACTCCCAAATCCCATGTCTAACTGTTTAAAAGAATATGACTCTTCAGCCTAACTATGTCAATTGGTTATTTTTCAAAGACTTAAAAAATACAAGAATTCATACTATAAGTGAACGTCCATTACCATTGAATTTTTGAGACTATTGCATCGTATAATTTATAGAGAAATAGGTGGCAAAATTCAAGAACCATTAAATATCATTACTAGCTTCAGGTCCAGGCCTGCCACTTACTGGCTGTGTGACCTTGGGAAGCTACTTGCCCTCTTCTGTTTCAGTTTTCTCATCTATAAATTGAGAATGATATGGTAATAACTACCTCATAATAACTGTAATAATTACTGTGGGAGTTAAATGAGTTAATATGTCAAAACTGCTGAAATTAGCATCTGACCTACAGTAAGTGATTGCTAGCTAAGTGCTATTTGTTTTTTTATGGTTGTCACATGAGATCTCTATGATGAACTTGTGGTGGAAACAAAGCAGATATTAGTCTCTTTAATGTATAGATGCCAAGTAGTTCACTCCAGGTCATCAAGAAGGTAGTGAAAAAACAGACCCTCTGACTCCAAGTCTAGAGCTTTCTCTGGCTCATGCCATTGCCTCTCCATCCACTTAGAGATTAGCATATTGTTGCTTTTTCACTTTATTTGCACAAATCTCATGCACCATGAGATTCTTTGTTTGATGTGACATGGAGTTCCAAGCCAAACAGAACCTGATGCTGGGGATGACAGCCTCCTCTTCCTGGAAGAGCTGGAGGTGCTTTTCCAAGGCACACACTGGATCCCCTCGGTGAGGAGATGTTGGTCAAAACCTCATCTCCAGCTGGGTGCAGCGGCTTATGCCTATAATCCCAGCACTCTGAGAGGCCAAGGAAGGTGGATCACTTGAGGCCAGGAGTTCAAGACCAGCCTGGCCAACATAGTAAAACCTCATCTCTTCCAAAAAATACAAAAAAGTAGCCAGGCATGGCGGCACACGCCTGTAGTCCCAGCTACTTGGGAGGCTGAGGCATGAGAATCGTTTGATCCTGGGACACGGAGGTTGCAGTGAGCTGAGATCGCACCACTGCACTCCAGCCTGGGCAACAGAGTGAGACTCTGTCTCAAAAAAAAGAAAAAACAGACAAAAACCCCAAAACCCTTATATCCAAAATAAATAAACAAATGTTACAAAGCAAGAAGGAAGCAGGAAAAAGGACCATGATTATTCATCATCAACTGAGAATCACAATCAAATCTTATTCATCAAAAGTGACCTATTAGCCTAATTCAATAGAACTGTGTTGGAGGAGAAAATAAATTCATTAGAAGAATCATTGACTGCAGCCTGGATGAGATTTCTTGTTAAGCACAGTCATTAATATCAAAGCGCTAGAGCTGTTGGGTTTTCTCCTCCCTGATGGGCAGTAAAGGGGAAAGGCCATCCCTAAAAGTAGCTCCTCAGTTAACCACACCATACATTCTTCTGAGCCACTCAGTTGCTTCCCAATTAGTTATATACACTGAGAGATGCCACTCTCATTTTTCCATTTTTCATGAAACACCCCACAGGAACACACACACTTTTCCAAGAACAAAGCTGAGAAGGTGGGAAAGCGATACTATGGAGAGGAAAATGTAGCAAGATGTAGCAAGCCCTTCCTTTCTCTCTTCCTTTCGAGAACCCCACTCCAAAAAACCCACCTACTGTCAGAGATTCGAACCAGAGAGACTCCATCTTGAATAGGGGCTGGGTAAAATAAGGCTGAGAACCACTGGGCAGCATTCCCAGGAGGTAAAGGCATTCGTCACAGGATGAGACAGGAGGTTGGCTCAAGATACAGGTCACAGACACCTTGCTGATAAAACAGGTTGTGGTAAAGAATCTGGCCAAATCCCACCAAAACCAAGATGGCCACGAACGTGACCTCTAGTCATCCTCACTGATCATTATATGCTAATTATAATGCATTAGCATGCTAGAAGACACTCCCACAAGCGCCATGAGTGTTTACAAATGCCATGGTAACATCAGGAAGTCATCCTATATGGTCTAAAAAGGAGAGGAACCCTCAGTTCCAGGAATTTCCCGTCCCTTTCCCGGAAAACTCATGAATAATCCACCCCTTGTTTAGCATATAATCAAGAAGTAACCGTAAGTATAAGCAGCTGAGCAGTCCATGCCGCTGCTCTGCCTATGAAGAAGCCATTCTTTTATTCCTTTACTTTCTTAATAGATTTGCTTTCACTTTACTTCTATGGACTCACTCCGAATTCTTTCTTACACGAGATCCAAGAACTTTTTCTTGCGGTCTGGATCAGGACCCCTTTCCGGTAACACTACCACTGTTTAAAGTATCTTTAAAAAAAAAAAAAAAGCAGTTTCTGAGAATTAGATCCTTCAATGCCAGGATAAAGGCCTCAATCTGAAGTATTTTCCACAACACCTGTTAGAATACAGTTGATGACGCTCTTCTTGAAAAACTCGATTCACATGGCTCGCAGGACCCTGTGCTGCCTTGGTTTTCCTCCTGTGTCACTGACAACTCTTCAGTCTGTGGCAGCTCTTCCTCATTTTCCTGACCTGCCTGATCACTCCTCTCTAACTACTCTTCACTCTCTAAGTGACCTCACACAATCCCGTGACCCCTGCAGCATTTATATGCTGAAAGCTGCCCTAGCTCCTGTCCTGACCCCGCCTCTACACTCCAGATCTAAATATCCTGTTGCTTATTCAGCATCGCCACTTGAAAGACTAGTAGGCATGTCAAAGTTAGCATCTCCAAAATTTAGCATCTCAAATTTAGCATGTCTGACCTCTGAATGCCCCTTCAGACATGCTCCTTCCTGATGCTCCCTTTATCAGCAAATGACAATTGCTCAGGACAAAAACCTCCAAGTCGCACTTGTTTTAAATTTTCCTCTCCTAAGCCACATCCAATCCAGCAACAAATTCTTTTGACTTCATCTTGAAAACAGACCCTGAACTCAGCCTCTTTTCCTTCCATCCACTGATACCAGCCTGGGCCAAGCCACTTACCATCCAGACATTTATACTATCTCCTAAGCAGCCCCTGGCTTCCACTGTATCACTCCTTCGGCCGTCTATGTGGCTATAAAGGGATAGCTGAGGCTGAATCATTTATGCAGGAAAGAGGTTTACTCAGCTCACAGTTCTGCTGGCCAGAAGATTCAAGACTGGGCATCTGGTGAGGGCCTCAGGCTGCTTCCACTGGTGGCACAGGTGAAGGAGAATAGGTATATGCAGAGATCACATGGAGAGAGAAGAAGCAAGAGAGAGAGAGAGGGGAGGTGCAAGCCTCCTTTTAACCAGCTCTTACATGAATTAGTGGAGCAAGAACTCACGCTATTAGTTCTATTACCTCCAGGAGGGCAACAAGCCATTCATGAGGGGTCCACCCCCACGACTCAAACACCTCCCATTAGGCCCCACCACCAACACTGGTGATCAAATTTCAACATGAGGTTAGGAGGAGGTCAAATATCCAAATCATAGCATTGCACCTCTGGCCCCCCAAAACTCATGTCTTTCAAATACTGCAAATTACAAGCATCCTTTCCCAATAGTCCCCGAAATCTTAACTTGTTCCAGCATCAACTCAAAAGTCCAAAGTCTCATCTGAGCTTGAGGCAAGTTCCTTACAGCTGTGAGCCTGGAAAATCAAAAACAAGCCTTCGCCCTCCCCACCCCTCTAACTTGGCTGGGTGAAGCCCACATGGCTGATCTGACAGGTTGGAGTTGAATGTCTGTTTGTTTTCCAAGGTGAGGGTGCATACTGCTGGTGGCTCTCTAATTCTGGGATCCCCACATGAGCCCTGTTCCCATGGCTCCCCTAGGCAGTGCCCTGGTAGGGACTCTCTGTGTTAGTTCTGCCCCTGTAGCAGGCTTCTGCTCGCACACTCAGGCTTTCTGATACATCCTCTGAAATCTAGGTGGAAGCTAAGCCTCCATCACTCTTGCATTCTGGGAATATGCAGACTTGACAACATGTGGAAGCCTCCAAGGTTTATTTATAACTTGTGCCCTCTGGAGCAACCTCTCTGTTCTGCTTATTGGCCTCTTCTGCTCTTATTCGCCCATCTGGAACCACACCTGGGACCTTTTAAGTGAAGGCTAGAGCTGGTGCACCTGAGATAGGGGCAGTAGCATCCCGAGGTGGTGCACGGCAGAAGAGCAGCAGGGCCTGCCCCCCAAAACCATTCTATTCTCCTGAGTCTCTGGGCCTGGGATGGGAGGGGCTCCTCAAAGATTTCCAAAATGGCTATAAGGCCTTTCTCTTATTTTCTTAGCTACTAGCATGATTCAAGCAGTCTCTCAACTGTGCCCTTGGATTCTTTTCCCAAAATGCTCTTTCATTCTCTGCCACATGGCCAGGCTTCAGATTTTCCAAACTTTTACTCTCTGCTTCCCTTTTCATAATAAATTCTACCTTTAGGTCATTCCTTTGCTGCTGTAATTGATCTTGAGCCTAAGTTTTTTTTTTTTTTTTTTTTGAGACAGAGTCTCACTCTGTCACCAGGCTGCAGTACAGTGGCCTGATCTCAGCTCACTGCAATCTCCTCTTCCCGAGTTCAAGCGACTCCCCTGCCTCAGCCTCCCAAGTAGCTGGGACTACAGGTGCGCACCACGACATCAGGCTAACTTCTTGTATTGTAATAGAGACAGGGTTTCACCATGTTGCCCAGGCTGGTCTCGATCTCCTGACCTCATGATCCGCCTGCCTCCCAAAGTGCTGGGATTACAGGCGTGAGCCACCCTGCCCGGCTGATCCTAAGCTTTTAAACCCAGCCACACCCACCACTACTTGAGCACTTTGCTGATTAAAAATTTCTTCTTTAGGATACCCTAGGACATCACTCTTAAGTGTGGCCTTCCAAAATCCCTAGGGCATGGACACAATGCAGCCAAGTTCTTTGCTAAGGCCTAACAAGGGTGACTTTTCTCCAGCTCCCAATAAGTTATCTGTTTCCATTTCAGACCTTGTCAGCATGAACTTTACTGTCTATATTTCTATCAACAGTTTAGTCACAACTATATAACCAATCTCTAAGAAATTCCAAACTTTCCCTCCTCTTGCTGTTTTCTTCTGAGCCCTCCAAACTCTTCCGATTCTCTGCCCAGTACCCAGTTCCAAAGCTGCTTCCACACTTTCAGGTATCTTTATAGCAATATCCCACTCCTTGGTACCAATTTTCTGTGTTAGTTCATTTCGCATTGCTATAGAGGAATACGTAGGGCTGGGTTGTTTATAAAGAAAAGAGGTTTATTTGGCTCATCGTTCTGCAGGCTGTACAAGAAGCATGGAACCAACATCTGCTTCCAATGAAGGCCTCAGACTGCTTCCACTCAGGGCAGAGGGCAACGATAACTAGCAGTGCAGAGATCACATGGTGCGGTGGGAGGAGGAGGGACCAGACTCTCTTTAACAAGCAGTTCTTGCTGGAAATAATACAGAATCCACACATCCCCAAGGGAAGGCATTAATCTCTTCATGAAGGATCTACCCCCAAGGCCCAAACACCTCCCATGAGGCCCTACCTCCCACCACCACCACCACATGGGGGATCAAAATTCAACATAAGATGTGGTGGGGGCAAACCATAGCACCTACCTTTGAAAACATAAATCAAATTATGGGTACTTCTTCGTTCAGAAGCCTCCAGTGACTTTCATCTCATCTAGAAGCCAGCCCTAAATCTTCCCATGCCCTACAAGGCTTGGCCAGCTCCCGTCCCACGCATCACAGCCACAGCCACACTGGCAACCGGTACAAGCCCATCTTGAAGCTATTGCCTTTGTGGTGCCCCTGGAGTGCACAGCTTTGCTGTCAGCTACCTCCGGGGTTTGCTTCCTTGTTTCAGGCAGGCTTATGGCTATCCATTCAAACGGCATCCTCACACCCCGCCTCAGTCCTCTCCATGTCTCACCCTGTCTTACTGGTTGAATTGTGTCCCCTAAAAAGATATGCTGAAGTCCTAACTCCCAGGTATCTGTGAATGTAACCTCATTGAGGAATGGAGTCTTTGCAAATGTAATCAAGTTAGCATGAGGTCATTAGGGTAGGCTCTCCTCCAATAGGACTGATGTTCTTATGAGGAGACACACACACACACACGTATGAAAATGCCATGTAAAGACAGACACGGGGAGAAGATGGTCACATGGCAACAGAGGCAGAGATTGGAGTGATGTGGCCACAAGCTAAAAAAAATGCCAAGGGGTTGCTGACCACAACCAGAAGCTAGTGGAGGCAGGGAAGGATTCTACCCGCATCTTAGAAGCTGTGTGGTGCTGCTGACACTGACTTTGGACTACAAGCCTCTGGACTGTGAGCAAACAAACTTCTGCGGTTTTAAAGCCTCCCATTCCGTGGTACTTTGTTATGGCAGCCCTAGGAACCTAATAGACCCTGATTCATGATTCTCGATGCCACTTACCACTTCCTTAAATTGTATCTTTACTTCTTTATCTTTCCTCTCCCTTCATTGAGCACCACAAAGAAAGGGTTTTAAAACCTTGTCTAGGTTTGAAAACCATCAGTCCTCTGACCACCAGATCTCTCTCTCTTGCCCTCAAACTTTTCTCTTTCTGTGTTTTAAGGATCAGAAATGGTTTTGTATGTCAAACATGCCAGCCAAGATCCTAAATGCTTCAAAGCATTCATTATGTGCATTCATAAACAATAAGGAACTTTAGAATTCTTTTTTTCATTAAAATATTTCTGTACTAATTTTTACTCTTTTTTTTTCTCAAAAATAAACGAAGACACGAAAGTGTCAAAGGCTCTTGGTTAGAGAATCCTCGTCATTGTGTCTCTGTCCTTACCTTCTTAGAGATCTGGCTATATTGCTCTCAGACAATAATGAATGTCTGTAGTCCTCCAAGAAAGAAACCCCTTTCACCAGATGCAAAATAAACCCAGGTTACTGAAGACCAGATTAGCATGGATCAAGGATCTCATGTTATTCAACAGAACTCGTTGCACAAATCAATATTAACACTTCAGTGTTTGCTCCTGACATTCAATAAAAATATGTAGGTAATCAAAAGTCAGGAAATATTTGTGATTTTATACTTTTCAATGTGAAAATAGAAGCACCCTATTAATAAACTCGGTGGCATGTATTCCATATAAATGCTGAAAATCAGGTGCTATGATTGACATCTCAACGTGGAATCTTGGATTATTTATTACCTGTTTTCATCCCTCAGTTTCATGCCATGAAGTATTATGTGCCTTTCCAGCTCCCCATCTTCATGAGGAGAAAGAACATTACTTCCAAAAATTTAAAGCATTTTGTCATTGGGAGCAGCCAGCTTCATTGGGTCACAGGCCAGATGTTCACCCCCATACACACTTGCAGGGAAGTCTTTTCCTCTTAGAAGGCTGTCTTTGGCTAGTTGTGGTGGCTAGCACAAGTGGAAGTCGCAGTGAGCTAAGATTGTGCCACTGCACTCCACCTGGGTGACATAGCAAGACTCCATCTCAATAATAATAATAATAATAATAATAATAACAATAATAATAAAATAATAATAAAGACTGTCTTTTAGATGTGATCAGAAAAACTAAAAGGCAGTGAAACAAGTTGAGTCATGGACCTTGTGTCTGTAATTTGTGCTTTGGGATGGCCTTGAAGGCAGGATATTCCCAACCTGCCAATCTGAGACCAGCACTGGAAGGGCCTCCTGTGTAATCCACTCTCCTTAGTAGCTCCTGGCCACAACTCACAACACAACTCAAAACCAAAAACCATTCTTAATAGGTTTAGCCAAACGGTTACATAACTTAATGAAGCACTGTGTGTTCACTATTGTATCCATAAATAGTCCATACATTATAGATATGTGTGCTTTTATTTTTATCTTTATTTTCTTGAGATGGAGTCTCACTTTGTCGCCCAGCTGGAGTGCAGTGGTGCGATCTCGGCTCACTGCAACCTCTGCCTCCCAGGTTCAAGCAGTTCTCTGCCTCACCCTCCCAAGTAGCTGGGATTACACGTGCCCACCACCACGCCCGGCTAATTTTTATATTTTTAGTAGAGACGGGGTTTCACCATCTTGGCCAGGCTGGTCTTGAACTCCTGACCTTGTGATCCACCTGCCTTGGCCTCCCAAAGTGCTGGGATTACAGGCATGAGCCACTGTGCCCGGCCAGATGTGTGTACTTTTATAAACAAAATCTTCGTGCTATTATCACCTAAAATTTATGAACTATTTCTTACATTCAGTCTGTATTCCACTTTCTCCAATTGTCTCATAAATGCTTATTGTTTGTATGGATTACACTTAAAGAAAGGGTAAATTTAGTCAGATGTTTGTAATAAACTCACATGGGCTGGGTGAGATCCAGGAGGCAGAATGGAAGTCAATTTCTGAGCCTCTAAGACTGGCAAGTTGGGTATAAACAAAGGAATGGCTGATTTGAAATTATTTTGCCTGGCCATCTCCTGCCCTATTCAAAAAATGATACTACAAATTACATTTCTGCCTTTTCAGCGGTTGCACACAAGGGCCTGCCAGGAGCATTTTAATATTGCATTTTACAAACTGAACTCATGGCAACTTCTCTCTGGGCAGAGTTAAGTGTTACTCTCCCAGTAGAAGCTCTGCCTACGTTTTATTAAGCAAAGCTCTAGGCTGAAGGACCCTCATGCTCAACTTCAAGTACCACGACTATCTTGGATTTTGCAAACTACAATGCGGTATTTTTTTGGCAAATGTAGTTTCCTAGGAAAGAAAGGAACTGGTCAGGATGAACGAGTGGATAAAAATGTGAGCCAGGTCGAGCTGGCTCCAGCATGAAGTTGCATAACAGCAAAAGCTACTTTTCCACTAAATCTAAGCAAAAATTGTGTTGTAGCCCAGGAATTTCAAGAGAGGGTTGAGGACACCAGGAGGCACCCAGATGAAACATGTACTGTACAAATAACACCCATGGAGTGAATAGAGCAAACAAAACATTTAAATGCTAACAATAATATATAATACACACCACAGTAATACACACACCCAGACACACAGAAAAATAACACCAGACCCTGTGGTCACGGGTGTACACGACAGGGTGGACCCAGGACAGGTACACATTCAAAAACGCGCAGCGGTCATGGTCCCATAAGCTGTACCAAAAAAATGCATTTTCTTCACCATTTCCCATCCAATTAGATAAATATAATAAGCCGTGGGCTTTTGATTCGTTTTGAAGTTTCATACACTGACATTTTTGTTCGAAGATCTAGGCAGATCTTGCAGGATTCAAGCAAAAGGTGGTAGACGAAAACACGCCCAGAACTGCGAGGGGAGGGGGAGGTCACCTGGAACTCTGCAACCGAATCAGCGATTGCCGAGCTTAGGTGGCACTCGCTCTCAGCAGCAGAGGTCCCAGCCACGCCGCTGGGAGGTGGAAGCGATCCGAGGCTCCCGCCCCACCTCCCAGACCGACACGTTGACACTGGGGGCTGGACCAGGCGCTGGCTGGGGATGCTTGGTTCGCCCGGAGATGGGGACTTGGAGAGGTCCTGGTGGGCTCCTAAGGGTCGGGGTAGCTGCCACCACCCCTAGAGGGCTCTCCGGGCAGGCAAAGAGTGGGAGGAAAGGAGACCCCACCAGGAGGGGGCAGGTGCACCGGGCAGGCAGTGGCGCGGGGGCTGAGCCACCGAGGGCCGAACGTTAGACCAAGAGCTGGCAGGAGGGCGGCGGGGGCTTCGGGTCCCGGCTAAAGTCAGGGCACAAGCTAGGTGGCCCCGCGCCCAGAGTCACTCACCATCCTCCAGCGCTTCGTGCACCAGCAGAAGACCAAGCAGCAGCCAGACCTTCATCTCGGGAACCTCGGACCTCGGAGCGCAGGAGCGCGGCGGCTGCGCGGGGCGGGGACGCAGGGGAGGCGGCGGGCGAGGGGCGGGCTCCTGGGACGCCGAAGCGGGAGGATTCGGTTTCTTCAGGAGGAACAAGGTTTGGGGGAAAAAGTTGGGGAATTTTTTTTTTTTTTAGTTCTCTGTGTAATGTGACTTCTCCTGCCCCCTGGCGGAGCCGCGGTGCGCAGCACTTCTTCCCAGCGCGGGGAGGAAAGGCTAAGCGTGAAATGTACATTACAACAGCCATTCCTTGAATTTCTCCAACGCTTGGCGTTTTCACCAAGGTTATCAAGTTCAAGAAGGATCAGCGGGTGCTGATGGGGTCACTTTTAACCACGATTGTCCAAATGTTACCAGCGCCCGCCCCACCTCCTCAGGCAGAACCTGAGTGCTCTGTAAAAAGTGCTTCCTAAATTATTTCTGTTCATTCCATTTCTCTCCCCCACATGCACTCACTCACAGGACCGTTGCCCCGGGTTCTTGCTGCTCCTCTGTGTCTGGCCAGAGTTGGTCTCCGCACCCAGCCCTGTAACTGCTGGTGGGGGTGGGAGGACGGGTTCATTACAGGAATAACGTGGAAAATGAGACTGTGCAGACAACCCGGGCCTCTGGTGGTGAGGCAGGAGAACAGGGAATTAGGGTAAGCACGGGCTAGGGTATGAGCAGGAGAACAGCAGGTGCAGCCAGTTCGCAGAAGCAAAAGATCAGCAGGTGCAGACAGTTCTAGGCATGATTAGGCGGCACACAGGCCACATCCTCGCTCCTCTGATAACAAGGCAGAAGTTTCCACTTCAGCCTCGGACTGGTCGCAGGCCAGTCCTTCGTAAGGTGTAACCAGTTGGAGGCCTCTAAAGGGAACCCAAGGGTGTTGCCAAGTTCTTTTCGCTTTATAAAATCCCTGGGGAGCGTCAGGCTCTTGTGGCTTGCTGCAGCGCCCTCTGTGAATTGTCTTCTATAAATCTACGTTTTCCTTCCTCCCTTCTGTTGCTTTGTTTTTCCTTGCTTCTTTCTTTCGTTACTCCGTGCATTTCGTTCAATTTTTTGTTCAACAGGCCAAGAACCTGGACAACTCTATCAGGTAACAGTGGGGCAGAAGATACGGGCTTTCACAAGTCCCTCTGCAGAGAGCCATCCTGCGTTTCTGAGCTTGCAGACTCTCATGATCAAAGCAGTTTGCTAGCGGGGGAGATGCCTGTGTGTGTTCCCCCGGTGAGAAGCAGCCCATCTCATTGTAATCTTCAGCACCAGGCACTGCTATTAAAGGGAGCTCAATTCTAAATAACAGGAAAGGGACTTGTCCCTCAACACCCAACGAAAGAAGTGCTGCCATTTATAACAAACTAATGCTTCTCAGTCACTTCTGCAGGAGGAACCAAGAATTCTATATTCTGTTGCCAGCTCTAGCCGGAGCTTTGCCACTCGCTTGCCTTGCGATGCAGAGAGCAGTTGGCTGGGAATAAAGACCAGAGTTCAGATGCTGACACTGGCACAAACTCTCCATGCCTCTCAGAATTCACTTAACCTTCTGGGTTTTAGCATCTCTTGTTTATTAAGAAAGGGAACTAGGTGATTATTTCAACAGGAGTTTGCTATGTGATTAACATTACGGCTATGAAGGTTGAGACATCATCTCTCATGGCTACTTTTAAGGAGTGAACAAGCATTTAGACCACTGCAATGTGGTGTGTCAGGTTCTGGGGAGAATTCTGAGCAAAGGACTTGGAGCATGCACACAGGAGAGAGTAAATCTGCCTAAATTGCCCCACCGTGAGATTTCTTTTCATTCTGACCCCATGAATTGACTGCTTAACTCTCACTCCATGTTGGAGCCTGGGGTTGGGTCTAGATTCCTCCTCTCGGTCGCAGTATCCCCTCCATGCTGACTATGCATGTGCCAGGTCCACCTCTCTTGTGCCATTATTGTCAAGCTTCACTGCCCTGGCTCAGCTACATTTAGCCGAGAGTCGTCCCTCTTTCTCTTGCCGCTTAGAGGCTCTTCTTGGGGGGCTGAGGCGAGAGAGTCATTTGAGCCTGGGAAGCGAGGTTGCAGTGAGCTGAGATGGCACCACTGCACTCCAGCCTGGGCGACAGAGAGAGACTGTCTCAAAATAAATAAATAATAAATAAATAAATAAAAGCAAAGAAGAGAGGCCTCAGAGAATACCCATTCTTCTGCCACCTTGCTCTCAGATTTCTGCCATTCAGAACTATAAGAGAATACATTTCTGTTCTTTAAACCACGCACTCTGTGGTTCTTTGCTATGGTAGCCCCAGCAAATTAATACAGGGGTCTGTATTAAGATGGGAACAGAATTCATAAGAAGTATAAGGGCTTCCCAAGACACGTAGCTATTTCATCACAAGGCTTATTATCCTTGAATGAGACAATCTCAAGATGATTTTAAATTTGAAAACAAAAACTGCCAAAGCTGTATTTTTCACAGGTCTTATTTCACTATAAAAATCCACGTGCTTTGTCTCTAGGGTGAGAAAGAATTTTATTATTAGAATGTCGTGTTGATCTTTTCCATTCCTTCTCCAACAATTACTATAATGTTAGCCAATTAAAATAAACATTATCTTGCAGCTCTAAATCAAATACAACTTGAAGCCTGCTTTCCCAAGGCCTGATTTTTTTTTTTTGTATGTTTAGCTTGTATCTGGTCACCTTAATGGACCTTCTTAGTAGCTTAAATAGTTTTCAGTTGATCTCTTGGGTTTTTAGATAAACGATCACATTACCTGTAACACCCACTTTTCTTTCTTCTCTTTTCTTTGAGATAAGTCTCACTCTGTTGCTTAGGCTGGAGTACACTGGCATGATCACAGCTCACTGCAACCTCCACCTCTCCGGCTCAAGCAATTCTCCTGCCTCAGCCTCCTGAGTAGCTGGGACTACAGGTGTGCGCCACCATGTCTGACTAATTTTTGTATTTTTAGTAGAGATGGGTTTTCGCTGTGTTGGCCAGGCTGGTCTCAAACTCCTGACCTCAAGTGATCCTCCTGCCTCAGCCTCCCCAAGTGCTGGGATTACAGGTGTCAGCCACCGTGCCTGGCCATTTTCATTATCTATTTTAATTAACGGTAGCTTTCTATGCTTACCCATGAAATCTCCCTACTCCATTGCCTTCCGTGCTTTTTATTTGCCCCTTTGAAGTGGTGAATACCATTAGGAATTTGTTAGGTAAGAAAAAATCAGCCAATATTTTGGGCATCCCTTCTCCATCCCCAAGATAAGGACACGTAACTTCTCTAACTAGTCTTCGTTAACTACAGACATACAACCAAGATGATTTTTTCACAAAAATCTATCAGGGGAATCCGCCCCCAATATTTCAACGTAGGTTCTTTTTATTTTCCTTAAGTGTCGGCCGGCTGAGAAATAAAGAGAAAGAGTACAAAGAGAGGAATTTTACAGCTGGGCCGCCAGGAGTGACATCATACATTGGTAGGACCGTGATGCCCACCTGAGCCTCAAACCAGCAAGTTTTTTATTAAGGGTTTCAAAAGGGGAGGGGGTGTAAAAACAGAGAGTAGGTACAAAGATGACACGCTTCAAAGGGCAAAAAGCAGAACAAAGATCACGTGCTTCTGAGGGAACAGGACAAAGGTCAAAAGCAGAACTACTGATAAGGGTCCAACAAAGATCACAAGGCAAAGGGCAAAAGCAGAACCACTGAAAAGGGTCTATGTTCAGCGGTGCATGTATTGTCTTGATAAACATCTTAAACAACAGAAAACGGTTCGAGAGCAGAGAACTGGTCTGACCGCAAATGTACCAGGGCGGACTTTTTTCCCCACCCTAGTAAGCCTGAGGGTACTGCAGGAGACCAGGGTGTATCTCAGTGCTTATCTCAACTGCACAAGACAGACATTCCCAGAGCGACCATTTATAGACCTCCCCCCAGGAACGCATTCCTTTCCCAGGGCATTAATATTAATATTTCTTGCTAGGAAAAGATTTTAGTGATATCTCTCCTACTTGCGTGTCCGTTTATAGGCTCTCTGCAAGATGAAAAGTATGGCTCTTTTTGCCCGACCCCACAGGCAGTCAGACCTTATGATTGTAACTTCCCTTGTTCCCTAAAAATCACTGTTATTCTGTTCTTTTTCAAGGTGCACTGATTTCATATTGTTCAAACGCACATTGTACAATCAATTTGTGCGGTTAACACAATTATCACAGTGGTCCTGAGGTGATGTACATCCTCAGCTTACGAAGATAACAGGATTAAGAGATTAAAGTAAAGACAGGCATAAGAAATTATAAAAGTATTATTTGGGAACTGATAAATGTCCATGAAATCTTCACAATGTATGTTTCTCTGCCATGGCTCCAGCTAGTCCCTCTGTTCGGGGTCCCTGACTTCCTGCAACAAAAATCAATGCTTCGAGGTTTTAGCAGGAATAAAATTTAGTGGTTTTAAATATGGGACTCCCTGAAGACTTCATTCTGATAGAAATGCCAGACATTTTTGACACTCCCAGAGCCACTCGTCAAGGGACATCTTAGGGTAAGGTAGGGATCCCAGAAACTTAGTCTACTTAAAACCAATGAAGCACAAGACCTTCCTAGCTCCAGGATGTAGCATGTTGTAAAGATGCATCACCTATTCATTAGTTGCAAGAGCCTCTAAGTGGCAAGGGAAAGAGGGACTACTCTAAGCCAAAATGTAGAATAGGAAAATTGTGACTTGAGAGCTTTGGCCTCTTTTTTCTTTGCTCTTTCTCTTTCTAGTCTCCTCCCTCCTCTTTCAACTGTCTCTGCCTATTTGCCTTCTCTTGCTTATTTGCTCTAAATGCTGTTTTTGAAAAGCATCTATTATCAGTCATTTACACTTGTGCACCAATTAAAGTCAATGGTTCTGTTTTAAGAACAATGGCGTGACAACCTGATTTCTACCAGAGCAGTGAAATTGTTGGTCCTTCCATGACATCAGTGAGCAGGTAGGGAAAGATTCCGGTGACTTGGAGACTCAGCCACTGGGGATGCCCAGAATCTTGAACTTTGACAATGTTGTAGTATTTGTGGGCTAAGGGACTCAGAGCTCAGAAACTGGCTTGGAGATTGGGGCCCACCCTGGGCTATATAGTACTCCTGGGTAGTGCAGTCTCTATCCTGTGGGTTTCTCTTCCTCTTGACTGCTGCAGTCTTAATAGAGTAATAAGAACTCTTTACCCAGAGTTTATGACATCTGAAACTCTGATATCTACAACTATTTAAGAGGTGGCTATCAATCTGTTACTAGGAAGGTTTATATAAGTAAGTGAGTATTGAGCTGAGTCTCTTTCTAGTTTAACTCATACTTTGATCTGTGTTCATTCATTCATTTACTTTTAGAGACAGAGTCTCGTTCTGTCACCCAGACTACAGTGCAGTGGTACCATCATGGATCACTGAAGCCTCAACCTCCTGGACTCAAGTGATCCTCCCACCTTAGCCCCGAGTAGCTGGGAATACAGGCACTCAGCTAATTAAAAAAAAAAAAATTGTAGAGACTGGAGTCTGTGCTATGTTGACCAGGCTGGTCTTGAACTTCTGGCCTCAAGCAATCCTCCCACCTTGGCTTCCCAAAGTGCTGGGGTTACAGGCATGAACCACCAGGCCCAGCCGCTTTGACATACTTTAAAAGACAAACTGAGATAATGTCATAGTGAGAGTTATTTTTGTATGTCTTTGAGAATTTTTTGAGATAGTTTACGGGATGAAATAATTTACTCTTTCCACACAGATGAGGACTTCTCAGCACAATCTCTTAGCAATCCATGGGCTTTGAGCCCTTAGCCCCAAAAGGAAGCCTATCTGAGTCCTTCTTTAAACACTAAGAAGATCATATTCCTCTCTCCGGGAGCTTCTGGCTGGACCTACAGCCCAGAGACAACTACTGGGGGATTATTTCATGTGATCCCATGGTGACAAAACAGAGAGGTAGGGCACCACTACCTCACAGCAACCCTAATCACACAAAAACTAAATTGTTTGAGGCTTCTACTTGGCAAGTAGTTTGCTTTTTTAGCTTGGTTTTTAATGCTTTCTAAATTGATAGTAAAGTTTTTAAAATTCAACATGTTCCCTCCAATTTACTAGAAACAATAGGAACTGCATACACAAATATGTTTCAAAATTAAACAAGCTAACTCAAGAGATGTGTAATTTTAAGCAATTTAGAAACATTTTAAAAATCCGCATTGAATTCTCCCTCCCTATCAAAGAGTAAAAAGTTGATAATCATTCACCATACTTAAAAGTATCCTAGTGGACATACAACTGATCACCAATGATTAAAGGCTATGATTGGTGGAAAGAACATTGATGAACTTCTTACAGATCAAAGCAATGTCAAAGTGAATGGCAGTCGTAGTGATAGGATCCCAGATGTGTGACTCTGGGGTAGCATGCTTCAAGAGCAACTGGTATTTTTTGGAATGTGCCATGAGTATTGAGGATATGTGAAGACATCTCTTTCATCTCACAGGACTTGGTAGTCAGTCATACAGCAGGCCTTAGGCTGCCAGCTTAGTATTCTTCAATTGTTTCAATGTAGATTGCTTATATTTCTGAGCTTTAAAGATTTCCAAATAAATAAGGAGTTTAATTTAGGTAAGTATGAAATGTGTGCTTTTGGTATGGGTAACATCTGCATTCTATATTATTACATATTAAAATTTATTTTAAAAATACACCACATCAGAAAGCATATTTTACAGTGGTAAAGCAGCAGTTTTTATTTATTACAAATTCTAAAAAAGAATCCAACTTTATAAGTAAAAAGGAACACTGATGATCACTTAAAACATTTAAATTTAAAATTACTACTAAAAAAACCCTGTACATTCACACAAGTCCAATGCCTTTGTTGGTTTTTACAGACATAGAATTTCTGTAGGGTTTTGGGCCCTATCAACAATTTTTATTAAGTACTGCAATAACAAAATACAGCAATAAAACAACTGGACACTCCTAGGGGACACCAAAGATAAAGGGCCCATTAATCAGGTGTAGGCCAGAGAAACCCAACCTGTTGGCAATATGACGCTCTTTCCCAACTGGGTCTTGGTGAGACACGTGGCACAGCAAGGCTGTCAGTGCATGTGCATAAATTGTAGACCAGGTCCCACTATGCTACTTCAGGATTCAGCCAGCCCTTCTATGAGTCACAGAGGTCCCTTGGTCCTTATTCATCTTGATATACTCATGGGATGTTTGGAATTAAGGAGCCCAAACTACCTTACTTGCATTTGAAGTCTTTCACTTCATATCCTACCCCATCAGTCTAAGAGCCCACCCAACAAGGGTAGCTACACATAGATGCTCACACTCTATAGGCTGCCTGATCCTGGAACCAGCCTGGGGCCCTGATTATGATCTCCACGGGGCTGTCAGTGGCTAGGGAAAGCTCTTTAAGACCCAGCGATCATGGCAGTGGCATCAACCATGGTGAATCAAAGTTAAGTATAATGCTCCCAGCAAACAGTGTTACCAGTTGGGTTGAGCAATAACAAAATGCATTTGAAATCAGTAAGACTAAACCGTGTATATACAAACAATAATGAATATTACAAACACCAACAACCACAACAATAACAGATCAGGCTTCTCAAAATCCAGAAACCGGAAGGCTATTTTAAAGTGTTTAATATAATCATGTAAGGAAAAAAAATCTCCCCAAAACAATAAAGTCAAGCAATTTCATATCTATATGAACTTATTTTCATATCTATATGACTAAAAAATGAAAATGACCTTTGCTGGCATTATTGCTACGCGAATATCCATACTTTCCCCCTTGATATTTAAGGACATGTGGGAGAACTTTATAAACAAGTAAAGTGTGCAGAGAAGGCACTGTTTTGGCACTAGCAAAAAGGACAGTTAATTTCACATGAATCACGTGAACTTTAATAACGCATGATATACATGCTAAACTCAATCCTTTAAAGCCCTGCGGAAACTGTATTTTTTGTGGTAACAGTTGCTTGAAGCGTATTAGGAGAAATCATGAGCAGTATCACCGGAAAGGGAGAGTCAGAATCTTGGCATGATTTCATCACGCCAAGGTGTGATGTTCTGTAATCTCGGAACACACCCTGATTTAAGAGGAGGGAAGGCAAGGCTCAAGTGCTCCCTCTGTCATCATGGGTATTGGAGGCCGATGGCTTTTCCTTATGCTTCCTGCTAAGCATTTAAATAAATTTAGAAAATAGGTAAAAATAGATTCTAATTAAAGTGTTTTATTTTTATTTTTATTTTTTTTGAGGCAGGGTCTCACCGTTGCCCAGGCTAGAGTGCAGTGGCGTAATCTCAGCTCACTGCAGCCTCACTCTCCTGGGCTCAAGCGATCCTCCCACCTCAGCACCCCCAGTAGCTCTGACTACATGTGCATGCCACCATGCCCAGCTAATTTTTGTTTTTTTTGTAGAGACAGGGTCTTGCTATGCTACTCAGGCCGGTCTTAAACTCCTGGGCTCAAGCGATCAGCTTGCCTCGACCTCCCAAGATCCTAGGATTATAGGTGTGAGCGAGCCACCATGCCTGGCCTTAAAATTTTTTTAACAACTACCTGTAAGCACTCAGGACTTAAAAAGTATTTTGACTAATATTTAAAATTTTAAAGTTTTTAAAAATTTCTTTTATTCATAGAAATTAAAAGAAAACAAATAGTCTCTTATTTTTTAAAGGAGGGTAATTCTGAAACTAATATTTTCTATCAACTACGGCTGGTGATGGTAAAGTTCTATATATTAATGTTACTTTTTCATATATATCTCTCTTAAATGACACTTTGGCTTTCGTTCTCTCAATGTTTATCTCTGGGGAAAATGTGATTAAGATAATCAGTATTTTAGTATATATCAAAAGTTCTAATATAAGTTTTCCTCATAGTTTTTAACAGAGTTTGCATAGCTCTATTCTTAAATGTAGGACTGCCATTGCCTTTTGGTGGTAATTCACAAATTATTGTTTTTTTTTAAGAGTATAAAATTTGAGGTGCCATTACAAGAAATTCTCACTGAAAATGTTGAGAATATATTTCTTAATGTAGAAAAGAAAAGTAATTTAAGCTGCTTTTACTCAATCACAAAAGAATTTGCATATGTATTTCTTAATTACTGGAGAAGACTTTATATAATTTTGATTGATTACTAGTCAAAACTCTACAAAACATTTAGGTAATTCTGAGAAAGAAAAAAAAAATTTAGTTGAAAACATTATGAATTCACAAGCAGAAACAGAAAGGTGCCAAAGAGCTGGTGATACTGACTTTTGCTAATAAACACCTACCAGGACAGATCAGTCGGAAAAGGTGTGGCAGCAGCAAGTAAACAGGAATCCCCAAATGCCCCTACCTCTTCTCCATTCCAGATTACAAAGCACCTGCTATAATGTACTAGAGTTTAGTGATTTCATATTAGAAACATTATAAATACGTCTTAAAGAGTCTATAGGAAATATACATATAAAATCATAGTATATTTTAAAATAGTTTAAAAACTAAAAATTAGGTATAAGCATATCTATCAACATCAAACATCAATTTTTCTCCACATCAGTTGGGTTTTGTACCCACCTAATGACATAGTCAAAGCCCACCATAAACCCAACTTACTTATACACTGACGTTAGAGATACACACACACAGATATATATATACACTCATACAAACATATGTAACTGTTAACAAACATACAAACACACACATCCGTTGAGTCTTCACAGAAAAAAAGGCACAGTGGCTGACAAAGCATCTTTTCATAGATATTTGTGTCTGCAAAGTGTTTCAATGTGGAAAAATAATTTTTCACTAAATTCTGCTTCAAATTGAGCACAGTGGGCATAACAGTTTTAGCTGCCTATCACATTCTAAACAAGTTTCTTGGTTTCGTTACAGTAAAAGATTTGAGTGTTCATATATAACAATTGTTCACATTTCCTGTGTGAAGGGTCTATTCTTGATTGGGTATAGAATCAAACGGGTTTTCAGCGTACTGTGACAACAGCAAGGATTTATGAGCATGCCTACAGTCCCTACCAAAATACCCGAGCCTGTGCTTATCCAACTCCTTCTCTCCAGTAAACCACGCAGCTTGAGAGAAAATTCTGGGCTTCAGATTTTACCATGTGCACCCTGGAAGTTGTGGAATGTCCGTAATGAGTTCTGTGTCATGGATGCTATAACGCTAGCAGCCAGAAACCCAGGCTTTCTACCTGTTTCTTTGATGTTTAATCACAATAAACTCCTGGCTATACAAAACCATCGCAACTTGCTTTTTAATGGCATCAATAAAATAGCTCATTTCTTGGAAGACCCATGAGGAAAACGAATGTTTTCCTTGTCTTGGGATTACACGGGCCAGCTAGCATGCCTGGTAATGTTCACCATGCTGTCCTGGGAAATGTCACCCAGCCTCATCCAATGAACTATTTAATGATTTGTACGAGAAATAGTTCATGAGAAGCAAATACACTGCAAATAAACAGTCCACTATTAGGGAATCCTAAAAAGTAAAATATGACAATTAGAGAATCTTACATGTAAAAATTTGTTTACTCATTTACAAGGGTTAACTGTGTTTATATAGCTTTAATTCAATTTGATTCTTTTTAGTTTCCAGTTTTAAATAATCATGTTTTTTAAACCAAAATGTTTGATTCCCCAATCACTGATGGGTTATTGTATAACACTGGAGCTTGTATTATTAGGCTTAGTGTAGTCATTTGAAAGCAAATGGAATAAAAAGTGCTACACAATTTATGGGGTAGGGGGAGAAAAATATTCCTAAATGTTTCCAAAGGAAACATCAGAGGCAAATTAGATCCAAAGCCCTTAAATTGGGCCATTTGCCATTTAACAATGGAACAGGCCGTTCCTATCAGAACAGGGGGATTTTCTCTTCTTCTATCCCTTCATCTTTCCCTCTTTGCATGATGCTGCTGTAGCCCCCTCATCTCTAAGACAAGACAAAAGAAACAGAGAAACAAAGAAGTGAACTCTGGGCCTGACGAGGTTAAGAAAAAAACTAAACTGTGATTAAGTAAGTAATGGAAAAAGGAGGAATCATTCCACTAGTTGTGTGGTCTGGGAGAGTCTGTTGGCTTATTTTAAGTCACTTTTTAGAAAAGGATGCTTGGGGTCTACTTATTCAAGCATTGGTCTAACTCTTTGATCTTCAAACATATTCTCATTACGGCCACTCCATGAGCTTTCTGGCCCTGGTGACTATCTTCACTTTTTAATTTAAAGGGTCCCAAGTATATCACAGTGCCTCTCTTAAGTCCCTGACTGGGGATACGTCATTCACAGCAAGTGAAGACCTCGTATTTTAGGACCACTGTTTGCAAAGGAGACAAAAGTTCAAAAGGATGCCAACTAGTGGCATGGAATGCCACTCCTGGCCTGTGTAGTGCAGCAGAAGCAGACACCCCTGTTGGCTGAAGTTTGAGCAAACTGTCATACCTCACAGGAAAAAAAATTTGCATTAAACCCACTGTTGGCATTCACAACTTATTGAAAAGTCTCTTTCCTTATCCCCTCATCTTACCCCTAACCAGTGACAGACACCATGATGAGTAACTGCATTTTTGGCATCCCCTAAACTGACATTAATGAAGTCAAACAAGGTAAAGCTACTAGTATTTCCCCAACTGCAGGGGGCATAGATGAAACCTCTTTACATTCAGTGATTTCCCTCTATTTCAGTATGTGCAGTATATGCCACCGATTAATGACGACACTGGAAAAATGTAACACAATAATAGTAAAACACCAGCTAACTTGTAACACTCATGTTCCCAAGCATATACATAGATACATACATACACACATACATACACACTCCCACTGTTTGGGGGCTATTCATCACTGATGAATGAAACTTCCACTCAGGAGGTTTCCCCGTGCACATAATTCACCATCTGAGGAGATGCTGTCCAGATGAGTAAGTATAAATTAGGGTGAACTATGTATGCAGCAAACCCATGACAACCCAGCATGCTGATGACATCCCGTTACGGTTTACTCAGTGTAGGATATGTATGCTAAGACGATGACCAGCTCTGCTCCTGCAAGTGTTAGAATTCACTTGTCTTTTCATGGAATATGAAAGGTGAACTGAGATTTCTTGGGTGATGGTCATTTGCTTGAATGGCAGATTTTTCTTCTGCTGCTGCATGAACGTTGTCTGGATAAGCATCTTCTTCATTGTTTTCATCTCTCAGATGACCCTCCAGGCTGTGTCTAATGCCATAAGAAAAGTAAATCAGGAAGCCTGTTGGGGCAGGAAAAAAAAAAATCAATGTTTCAGGTATGTCAGAAAATGACTTTTAAGTTATTGAGGTGGAAAATGTAGAACTTAATAGAGTTTGTCTCTTTCCTTTCTGTAGTACTTTAGAACGGGGGTCACCAACCCCTGGGCCACAGACCACTATTGTTAGGAACCAGGCCACACAACAGGAAGTGAGCAAGCAGTCTCTAGTATTTACAGTGTATTTACAGCCACTCCCCATTGTGAACATTACCACCTGAGCTCTGCCTCCTGTCAGAGCAGGGCAGCATTAGATTCTCACAGAAGGGACTGCACACGTGAGGGATCTAGGTTCCATGCTCCTTATGAGAATCTAACTAATGCCTGATGATCTGAGGTGGAATAGTTTCATCCCCAAACCATCCCCCACCCTGTCCATGGAAAAACTGTCTTCCACAAAACCCGTCCCTGGTGCCAAAAAGGTTGGGGACCGCTGCTTTAGAAGAATGAAATGCAAATGTAAGATACCCCACAGAAGGTGTCCTTGATCAATATTTTCCTGGTAGAATGTGCCTCTCTATTGTGAAGACCCAAACTTTATAGACTGTATTTTGCTCTCAACAAGTTTTTCAATGTTTATATGGAAAAATTTTAATTGATGTTCTTAGAAGTCAATACTGTACTTTAAACAAAATGATATGTGGAATAAAGTCTCAAATTATACCCTAAATACAAGTGGTGAGTTATCAGAGTCAAGATCAGATATTTTGCAAAGTACACTCTGTATTAACAAAGAGGACACGGACATGCTTTACACGTGTCACTGTCACCAGGAGAGTCCGAAGAACTGTATGCAAAGCAACTGTTTATTAACAGCCACACTGACTGTGTGGGGATCAGGAGGCAACGTTTTAAGTACCCTCCTAAGATCACTGCAGACATGTAGGCATTTTGCTGTTTTAGTTCTATTTTAGAAAATTGGTTGTGAGTTTTGGGTTGATATAAAATGACTTTTTCTGGGTTTCATTTTTTTCACCCATAAGTAGAAGGAAATAGAGCCTACATGGTTCTACAGGGTTAGTGGGAGATACTGACTTAAAAAGGCATCTGAAAACATCTGGAAAAGCACTCGGACATCCCTAAGAATTAGGAAAGAAAGAAGCGGGAAAAAAAAGCCTTTATTCCCAGGATGGGGGAGAGGGCATGTTTCTCTCATCACAGCACATGAAATAGGAAAGAGAACCCGACATTAAAAGACCTACCAATTGCCATCCAAATGCTGAATCTGACCCAAGTGTCTGCACTTAACTGGACCATCAAGTAAATGTTCACCAAGATGCTGAACGCTGGCAAAAATGGTAAGAATGGAACCTGAGGGGGAAAACAATCCTTTTGAACATACTCATATTTTGAAGCATATTCCCCAAGTTATTTCAACAGGGTGGCAATTAATTTGGCATATATACTTTCACACCACGTCAATCACAGTTAAAACCACGCTTCTAGAGACCATAAAAGGAGAATCACATCTTAGAGTATTTACTAAAGCTCAAGGCACCAGGGGATTTATCAGATTCAGTAACACCTGCACAATCAAAATAATATTGGTTTTAGGATTTAGCTTTCTTTGGGGTTTACTGATTTCATTTAGACACACAAAGGGGAGACCTCTGAAATGTGGGATACATATGGTTATCCCAGGTACATCCTCCCAGGAAGCCCTCTTCAAACCCAAGCCAGTATACGGTTAGCTCAAATGGGACAGGATAGTTTAACTTGCAGTGGAGGAGCTTATCTTTTTAATGTTCAATTTAGTTTTATTTTATTTTTAGAGACAGTGTCTCACTCTGTCACCCAAGCTAGAGTGCAGTGATACTATGATAGCTCACTGCAGCCTTGAACTCCTGGGTTCCAGTGATCCTCCCACTTCAGCCTCCTGACTAGCTAGGACTACAGGAATGAGCCACTACACGCAGCTAATTTGTTTGTTTGTTTTGTAGAGATGGGGTCTCGCTATGTTGCCCAGGCTACACTTGAACTCCTGGCCTCAAGCAATCCTCCTGCCTTGGCCTTTCAAAGTGCTGGGATTACAGGTGTGAGGCACCACACCCAGCCCAAGAGGAAAGGCTTTTGGTAGGAACAAAGTTCTCATGAGAAGGCAGTGAATTTCTAAAAACAAAATACTCACCCTACTTTTTTGATATTATAGCTTCTTTAACATGAAATTTGTTTACTATCATATATAATAATATTGTGATAGGAACATACCCAAGTGTTTGAAAAGGCAGTAAGAGGACCAATGTAGAAGGAATTCTGTACAAAAAGGAACATATCGAAGGATTCTGACACTCTCATTCACTGGCTAACCACATTAGAAGTTGTTGAGGCAGGTGGATCACCTGAGGTCAGGAGTTTGAGACTGGCCTGGCCAATGTAGCAAAACCCTATCACCAGAAAAATACAAAAATAAGCAGGGCACGGTGGCTCACACATATAATCCCAGCACTTTTGGAGGCAGAGGTGGGTGGATTATTTGAGGTCAGGAGTTCGAGACCATCCTGGCTAACATGGTGAAATCCCATGTCTTCTAAAAATACAAACATTAGCTGAGTGTGGTGGCGTGCACCTGTGATCCAGCTACTGGGGAGTCCGAGGCAGGAGAAGTGCTTGAACCCGGGAGGCAAAAGTTGCAGTGAGCCAAGATCACTTCGCTCCATTGCACTCCAGCCTGAGTGACAAAGAGAGAGATTCCATCTCCAAAAAAAAAAAAAAAAAAAAAAAAAAAAAAAAAAATACTTACCAAACTAATTATACAGAGAAAATGAATACAGTATTTTGGGTCTCTAATCCTCATTACACATACCATGAAGGCTACTTTTTGCTGATTCTGGGGCTGCCTCCAGATGGTGAGAACGATGGCAACGAAGAGAACAAGAAACAGCGCGAGGAGAGCGAGGCTCCAGGCCTCCAGCCTGGTGATGGCATGAACTCCGTAAGTGGTCAAGACACTCAGGCCCAACACGAGGAAAGCTGCAGGGGGATGTGTAGATAACAGAGTCAGCACACTGTGCTCCACCCAGATTGCTTGGTGCAAAACAGCATATTCTGATAAAACACTGACTTCTGTACACATCTACTTGGCTAAATACAAAGAGTCTTCGCCTTGCCCTTTCTTCTTTTTCATTGAGGAGAGAGATGTCCAGTTGCAGGGATTTAAGAACCATTGCTTATTTACTCATTACTCTCCCCTCCTTAGAACCAACCGCCCCTCCTAGTGTTACTCACTGGCATTATCTGCCCACGTGCCATCTGTGTCCTCACTGGTTACTTTCAGACTAGAATGCTGTCGGGGTTGGATACTTCCCTTTTTTCAAATGGGAAATGGCACATCTGGTTATTTTAAGCTGTCGTAAACATGGACTGTGATATGAGTTGGCTGTGTCCCCACCCAAATCTCATTTTGAATTGTGGCTCCCATAATTTCCATGTGTTATGGGAGGAACCCAGTGCAAGATAATTGAACAGTAAGCGGTTTCCCCCACACTGTTCTCATGGCAGTGAATAAGTCTAGCGAGATCTGATGGTTTTCTAAGGAGAAACCCCTTTTGCTTGGTTACCATTCTCTTCCCTGCTGCCATGTTAAGATGTGCCTTTCGCCTTCCACCATGACTGTGAGGCCTCCCTAACCACGTGGAACTGTAAGCCCATTAAACCTTTTTCTTTATAATTTACCCAGTCTTGGGTATGTCTTTACTAGCAGTGTGAGAACAGACTAATACAGACTGCTAATGTGCAAAAATAATATATCATCTGCATCTTTTCTCCTTGTTTTAGAGAATGACATCACCACCCCATCTCTGACCATCAAGTCTGCTCTAGGGGCAACTCCTATTTGCTCTGAGAAGCCTGTGCTTCCCTACTTGCCACCAATTATCCTGTCCTGTAAAGGCCAGTGAGAGTACGGACCGTCTCTCTTGGCATCCCAGGTGCCCAGTGGAGTGCCTGACACACACGCAATGTTCAATAAATGTCATTGAAAATATGAATGAATGATTACGTAACTGTGGGTAAACAAACAAGGATTTTCTATATTATTGGACAATTCCATCGGGTTCCAGTCAGGTTATTGGCAGGGGTACGTGGCCTGATGCTTTCACCCAGAGGGCATCCTAACCTCTAATGAATGTGCCAGTTTGTATTTCTGTCACTCTCGTCTTGAAGTATTCCTTCCTCTTTTGTTCAATTATCAAGATACAATAAATTTATACAGGTAATATAAAGATGATCTCAACCACTGGTGATGCTTTAGGTGAAAATTTCAGGGTGGTTGCTAATATATTCTAGGGCAATGTTAGGCCCTCTTTTCTCTTTCATATCATGCCAGCTCTACTCACACACATCTTCTGGGTCTGTACAATGTAAGCAGAGAAGAAGACTTACCTAGGAATCCTACCAGAAAGCTCACGAGAGAAGCTGACTGCTGTGTTGGCAGAAGGGAGGGGCAGAAGAGGGTCCGCATGCTGAAGCCCTGTCTCTGCAGCATGGTGACCTGGGACTCACTCTTCGAGGTTACCCTGGGAGACGATCCCAGACCATCTTTCTCAGGAGAACATTTGGGCTGGTCGTAAGATAAGCCAGGCTGGTACCTATTTCCAAACAAACATCTATGTCTTTATTCTCAAATAGACATTTGGCCCAAGTGAAACCAGCACCTAAAACCTTAAGTAAGACATCATACAGAGTGATAGTGTGTAGAGTAAATCAACACTTATGACTCCAGTCCCAGAGCATGCTGAGCCAGGACACAAACCTTTCCGATAAAACAACTGCAGCAAAATACCCCAATTTCCCCCAGTAGTCACCAAATCAGAGTCATACAATAGATGGCACAAGAAAGTGAAATTGTAAAGTAAGGCAATCATGAAAAAAGAATGATTATTCTGAAATTACCTATGTCCAAAGGAAATGCGGTTCATGAAAACAGCACAGAAGCTCTGGGTAAATTTCAGCTATAAAATAATGCAGTCACCAGTTTGGCATTCAAAGGCCTCATCACAATCTGTCTTTCTGGCCTCATCCTTCCCTACCGATTCTTCTAGCTAAACCCAGACAAGCTCATCTGACCATCCTGCCACTTCTACACCCATTGCATGTCATTTTCCTTTATTATTTTATCCTCCTCCTGTATAGCTTATATCAAGACATCAGCCGTGATATGGTTTGGCTGTGTCCCCACCCAAATCTCACCTTGAATTGTAGTTCCCATAATCCCCACGTGCCGTGGAAGGGACCCAGTGGGAGCTAATTTCATCATGGAGTGGTTACCCTCATGCTGTTCTCATGATAGCAAGTGAGTTCTCATGAGATCTGATGGTTTTTCTTCTTTCGTTTTGTTATGTTTTTTTTTGAGACAGAGTTTCGCTCTTGTTGCCCAGGCTGGAGTCCAGTGGCGTGATCTCAGCTCACTGCAACCTCTGCCTCCTGGGTTCAAGTGATTCTCCTGCCTCAGCCTCCTGAGTAGCTAGGACAACAGGTGCCCACCACCATGCCCTAAGGGGCTTTTCCCCCTTTTGCTCAGCACTTCTCCTTCCTGGCAGCATGTGAAGAAGGACATGTTTGCTTCCCCTTCCACCAAGATTTTAAGTTTCCTGAGGCCTCTCCAGCCCTGTGGAACTGTGAGTCAATTAAACTTCTTTCCTTGATAAATTACCCAGTCTTGGGTATGTCTTTATTAGCAGCACGAGAATGGACTAATACAAGCCTGCTTCTCCTCCTAGTGTCTGCCCCAGGCTTTTCAGTGCAGCCTCTTCTCCTTCTTGGCAGCCTTTACTTATCCTTGAAAATAATATTTTCCCTCCATATAAAGAAATAGGCTCACTGAGAAAAAATACATGAAAGTATACAGGAGAAATTCAAAACCAGCCATAATACCATCAGCCAGTGTTAATCACTGTTAGCACTTTGGTACAATTTCATCCAGGCATATAATGTCTATATCGGCATATATGATTTCTTCATGAAAATTTATTATTTAAATAAGTTCAGACACTATATATAACTATAGTTTTATATCCTGAAATGGATATATTTCTCCATAAAATTAATACCATTTTATTTGCTGTAGAAGAGTTCAGTGAACAAATGTAGCCTCATTTATTTAACCACTCCTCTAGTGATATTCAGGTTAGTTTCATTTTTTCACTATTGTAAATTACCTTTTCCAGAAACATCCTTTACATACATCTGTGTGTGCCTCTGATTAAATCTTTAGCACAAAAATTTTTACAACTGAATCAATGGAACAAAAAGCACAGCATTTTTAAGTGTCGTTAGACATTATGAGAAATTGCCTTTCATGTAGATCAGGCCAACCTATCACTCATGGTCAACTTGCATTTGATTCTTTGCTAAAGACCAGATACGCTTCTTCCACTTTTCATTGCTATTTTGTTAGATGTGACCTCTCACCTTGGTGAGACTGCTGGCTCCCTGGAAGCCAGGAGAGTGAGGGCTCATTTTCTCACTCCCAGAGTCCCTCGTGCATGGTACACCCTGTAGAACCACCAGGTGACTCACCTGAGGATGAGAACACAGGCTGCCACCAGAGAGTAGGCCATGAGTGTGCCAATGGACATCATGTCCACAAGCGCCTTCAGGTCAAACAGAAAGGCCATCAAAGCTAGGGGGAGAAGAAAAGAACGGTGAAGTAAACGGCCCAGGAGGAAATTCCATACAGTTACTAACGTTCAAGTCAGGGACATCTGACTGCCACTTCGTTTTAGTACCAAGGATAAGTCAACCAGAGTGTAGAAAATATATCTCTCACAGTTAATAAGATGTTCTTTAGGTCATATAAACTGCTGATAGGACTTCAAAAACCCTCAGCTCTCTGGCAACTATCCAAGGCGCATTCTACTTGGATTACATAAAAAATATTTGGCCTGACAAAGAGTGAAAACATTACATGACAGAACACTGTCATTGATATTTCAGAAGAAAAACACTGCTAGGAAATACTGGCTAGCTCCTTTTTTAAAACCACAAAAAAACATTCAAACAGAAGGTGCTTTCATTATAGATATTATATAACCACTTTAGTTTCCATATGCACTGAGTTATAGACAACTCAATTCTTTTTTTCTTTTTTGAGACAGGGCTCACTTTGTCACCCAGGGTGGAGTGCAGTGGTGCGATCTCGGCTTACTGCAATCTCCACCCCCCTGGTCCAAGCGATTGTCATATCTCAGCCTGCCGAGTAGCTGGGACTACAGGCGTGCGCCACCACACCTGGCTAATTTTTGTATTTTTCGTAGGGGCAGGGTTTCACCATGTTGGTCAGGCTGGTCTCGAACTGGCCTCAAGTGATCCACTGGCCTCGGCCTCCCAAGATGCTGGGATTACAGGTGTGAGTCACAGTGCCCGGCCTGACTCAGAATTATTTTAGTAATTCTGATAAAATAAAGTAAAATAACTTTCAATTAAATTATGTTTATGAAACAGACTAAATTCTACTACGATTAAAGCCATGCATTCCAGGTAGACTTACTAGATCTGAGAGATCAGTTTCTGGTCCTGCATACCAAATCCCAAAATACTAAGAGACAAAACATACTTTAAACAGTTAAATAGCTTAACTTCCACTAAGCAACTGTTTTCTCCACTGAAACATCAAAATAGTGACAATATTAACTTGAATTTAGCATATAGTTTTCTGTGTCATAGTAAGTAGATAACATCACATTCCATTTATATGATGTTTCAGATCCCTCTACAAGATTTAAATCTCTGTGATCTCATTTTACCTTTGAGTCAATGATCCTATGAGAAGGGAAATCATTTATGTTTAGGCATATAAAATGGCTGGATTTGACAATTTTTGACCCCAAACTCAGCAATTGTGAGTGGTTTTTCTAACAGAATTATCCCCATCTTAGAGATAGGCTAACTTAGCAAGGCCACGACTACCCGTCGGGGCAGAGTTCCCCTTATCCAACAGCCCCATGTTCCTTCTACAAGATCACAGTGTTTCTTTTAACACACTGCGTGCCTCACTTTGAAAATTCTTTGCTGGGCACAGAGGTTCACACCTGTAATCCCTGCAGTTTGGGAGGCGGGGCCGGGCAGATCACCTGAGGTCAGGAGGTTGAGACCAGCTTGGCCAACATGGTGAAACCCCATCTCTACTAAAAATACAAAAATCAGCTGGGCGTGGTGGCACGTGACTGTAATCAGAGCTACTCAGGAGGCTGAGGCAGGAGAATTGCTTGAACTCGGGAGGTGGAGGTTGCAACGAGCCAAGATCGTGCCACTACACTCCAGCCTGGGTGACAGAGTGACACCCTATCTCAAAAAAAAAAATTCTTCATTGCTCATATACGTCAGATTATTACAATTTTGGTATGCTTAAAAATCACAGAGAGCCAAATAAGGTAGCCAAGAGAGAAGAAAATGATAAGTTGTCCACACAAGCGCTCTGATCCAAGTTAAGAACAAGCAAAGTAAGGTATGGGAGTACAAAATCACAAAAATATTTTAGAGCATTTTAAAAAGTGGTCTATTATAATTATCTTCTTTTAATTATTAATTTTAATATCTTAACATGCCACCAAATTAAATTCTTCCTGAATAGAGAAAGATAAGCTTTTAAAAATTCTGCATCATTACTGGCAAGTATTTTACCGGAAAGAGAAAATTTTTTATGAGTTAAATAAAACGTATGACTCTTTGTCAAAAAATATTTATAAACTACCTTTAATATCATGTGTTGTTTAAAAATAAAATGGGCTTCACATCATCTGGGCAAACCTTCATTTTAGGGGGGCAGAAATCTAAGCCTGAGAAAATAAGTGACTTGACCTTCTAACATAGTTTAAGAAAGGGCCAGATTTATAAGAAAATGTTTACAAAGTGAAAGTGTTTAAACAAATACATTCTGACCCTGAAAAAAATTCCATTTTACACAGAATGAAGCACTAGCTTTTTCTAAGCTAATTTCCTAACAATTCAGAGCCTCAACGAAATTGTCATTTTGGTTTGAATTTATAGTGCCAAGATTGTTCATTATTTTATGTATAAAGCTTGCAAAAGTCTTTCTTTTGCTTCCTGTAACAGTACCTTTAAGGCCATTGTCTGGATCTAGAATCTCACTGAAATTTTCTGCATGAGATAAGGATCTGGCCAAAGGTATTTTACATGGATATTAAGATGTGCCAAAAGACTAGCAATCTGGATTTTCTGAACATAATTTAAGTACCAAAACTGTTGAAAGGAAAAATAGATTCCTGATGGAGTTGGAGAGGATATGTATGTTCCTAACTGTTAGATGGCTGCGATGGCCCTGGAAGCAAGGATGCCCACCATACTGAGGATGGCGATCACAAGGGCCAAGCATAAATCATCTTGAATATTTCTTATTAATAATGGGTAAAGCTTAATTTACCCTATGGTCCCTTAGCAATATTCGACGTATATCCTAGACCAAAAAATTGAATCATTATTTTAAAATTAATATTTCAAAAATTAAGCAAGAATTCCTTAATCAGAAGTTTATGTATCAATAATATAATTTTGTGTGCTAGTTCATCAGAAAAGCAATTCATAATATTTAGTGAAGAGCTATTATAACCCTTTGTACATTTGTTAGAGCCCAAAAGATTAAAATAACAAAACAGTAAAAAAAAAATCCCAAAGGGTCAATTAAGAATGAACTTCATTATACCACCGCCACCACAATTTTCACATGTTAATCCCAATGCTTGTATACTAATTTTTATCAGTGATTTTGTTTTTTTTAACTTACATGCACAGCATGCAGACCCTCTTTATAAGTCCATGCATGCGAATTAAATGTTCCAGTCTAATGCTCAAGAAACCTAAGTTTGTAAAGCTTACCAGAAATGACCCCTGCAGTCAACGTGGCAGCAACTGGTGACTGCCTCTTACTCACTCTGGCAAGAAATCTAAACAGTAAGCCATCCCGGGCCATGGCAAACAGAATTCGGGGTAAAGGAAACATAGAGCCCAGAAGACTAGAACAGAAAAATTCAAAATCCACACATGAGTTATTTTAAGGATTATTCTAGACAGGTATAGACAGGTAAAGACTGGACACACGAAAATGCAGAACCAAAAAATTCAAAATAGGAAACACTCACAAAAAAGTGACTGAACTTCTTGGAAATCAAAAAAGAAAACCACCTAGCTTTGTATTTTTAATGCAGAGTCCTTGATGAAAAAGATCCCCCGTTTCTGAAGAAAAGTCAACTCTCTCTCACCTGCCACTGCACCCGATGATAAAGTAGCAATTATTGGTGTCTTCGTTTTGGAATTGATTTGAGCTAGACATTTGAAAAGCAACCCATCCTCCGCCATAGCATAGATTACACGAGGCATTGGGAAAATGGATCCAAGAAGACTGAATAAAAAGCAAACACATGCAGTATGGCAAACATTCATGCAAGATTACATCCCCGAACGGAAATAAAATAATTGTATAATATTCAGCATGACAGTTGTAATTATGAAGTCATATTATTTATATTAATAATTATGTCATTATTTTTTAAATGCACTATGATAGGGCATTTAAAAAATTTGCTAATATTTACCATTGTGCTATTCATTATTCTGTTACAGATAAGTACGCAGCAAAATTATCAGACTAAAAACAATATTGCAAGTAATTTGTGTGTACCCACAATTATTACCAAATTAAAACTAAATAATTAAGACTTAACCAAACCAATATTATTAAGACATTTTTAGCAGCAACAACTTGGAAAATAAAATTACTAATTTGATATGTAATTAAAGAAAAGACTAAGTAATTTTATTTCATAAGCAATAGTTGCAACCTTTATTCAATAATGATATATTTTTTGCATTTATTGTACCAGTATTTTTTCTCATACACCCTGATCTTGGATCAAGTTAGTAATAATCCCCAGCATCATAAGATAATCAAGGTAGAAGAAGGGAAAGAAGATCAATTTACGTAAATGTAGTATACAGATGTGGCCACAGTGAAAAGTTAGCAGCTGAAGTTTAGTAAGACAGTTTTTGCTTGAGATGTTCGGAAGTACTTTTGTTTACTAGCTGCACCATTTCACACATTACTTAGTTGTGAAAAATAACCATGTAAGAGAAAACAAAAAAAGTATTTTATTTAAAAATCCTTCTTATTGATTTATTTTATTTGCGACAGGGACTCACTCTGTCACCCAGGATGGAGTGCAGTAGTACGATCATAGCTCACTGTGCCCTCAAACTCCTGGGCTCAAGCGATCCTCCCACCTCAGTCTTTCAAGTAACTGGGACTGGGACTAAAGGCGCATGCCACCATGCTCAGCTAATTTCTTGAATTTTTTGTGGAGACCGAGCCTTGCTACGTTGCCCAGGCTGGTCTTGAACTCTTTGCCGTAAGTGATCCTCCCGCCTCGGTGTCCCAAAGTGCTGGGACTACAAGAGTGAACCACTGTGCCTGGCCCTTCTTTATCTTTAATAAGGCTCTGTTGAGCTTGGCCATAGATGAATCTTTGTCCATCCCTTCTAAGGCCATGGTAGCACGGTATCTTCACAGTTCAGACTTTTGAAATTACTTGAAGCTATTCAAAATAAACCTCAAGGCCGGGTGTGGTGGCTCATGCCTGTAATCCCAACACTTTGGGAGGCTGAGGTGAGAGGATAGCTTGAGCCCAGGAGTTCAAGACCAGCCTCGGGAACTTAGCGAGACCTCCTCTCTATAGAAAATAAAAAATTAACCAGGTATGGTGTTACGTGCCTGTATCCTAGCTACTCAGGAGGCTGAACTGGGGAGATCACTTGAACCCAGGAGTTCGAGCCTCAGTGAACTATGATTATGCTCTGCACTTCAGCCTGCTTGACAGAGCAAGACCCTGTCTCAAATAAATAAATAAACCTCAACACTAGCAGATGGCTGAGAAACCAAGAGTGTCTAATTGCTACTCAATATTGTCTTAACTAGAAAATAAAAGGGAGTTTGAAGGGAAAAAATAAAGCTAGGCTGGTGAATTACACTAAAAGACTTCTTTTTCTAGTTTCAGACTTTCAGAACCTTATTTTCAGTTAAAAAATTACTAATCTGCCAAAAAGATTAATTTTCTCTTTGCAAGACTCTTCTACCATGTGGCATGATAAAAAACTAGAACGAAATATCTGACTCATATGTTAATTGAAATAAGGGTAGCTGAGGAAACCTGGGAAATGAGTTCTAAAGTATTCAAACAAGCAGCTACTGAAAATCTGAAAACTTGGGATTCAATGACCCTTTTCCCTTCACATATTTATATGAATTTCCACCATTTATTTAAGAATGATAATTTCTATTTCTAGACCAACTTCACTCTGATTGGTGCTTCCCTTCACATATTTATATGAATTTCCACCATTTATTTAAGAATGATAATTTCTATTTCTAGACCAACTTCACTCTGATTGGTGCTAAGAAGAAAAAGTCTCCATGTTTCACAATAAAAAGCACATTATATTTTTAAAAGACAGAGCATAAGTGTCCACTCCCACAGGCTCAGTATTACTTGAACAGAGTGTGGCAAATGCAAGGTCTGTACATACATTCTCAGATGTCTGAAGAACTACAAGTATCACCAACGCCAATAGAGAAAGATTTTAGGACAAGAATCCTGAAGTTTCATAATGCCTATATACATGACTACATGCCACAGATATATTTGTGTGTGTGTGTGTGTGTCTGTGTGTATCAATGCCATATGTATTTCTACTGAAGCCTGGACCATCACTATCTTAAAAAACTGACTCAACTAACAGCAGGGGAGTTTATCCTTTAAGATTTTTATGTGGAAATTCTGAGCAAGCCAATCAATAAATACAAAGTTGCATAATATTTTGTTTCTATTAGGATACTTTTTAAACAGACAAAAGCAAATTTTTAGACACTGACTACTTTGTAGAGTCCCAAACAGCCCGTGCCCCAAAGGCGATGCAATGTACCTTGTTGACAAGGCGCAGAGAGAACCAGCTGCGACGACATATTTGGCAGGACCCCATCCCACATATTCAAACGCTACAGGAAGGGGGCTTTTTTCATCGAGGAGGTAGTACGGCATCATAAGTGTTAAAGCTGCAGAGACCCCAAAATAGGCCATAAAGCAAACAAGCAAAGACGTCACAATTCCAATGGGAATAGCTTTCTGGGGATTCCGAACTTCTTCACCTAAGGAAATATAAACAAAAGATGTGTATGCTTAATAAAACATCAACAGGTAAAGAAATTAAATTGTGTGAAATTCTTCCTCTTCTCCAGGGTAGTTCTCCTCTGCTTTTGTCCCTTTTCTTATCTTGGTCCATCTATTTTATTTCATTTTATTTTACTTATTTTTGAGACAGAGTCTTGCTCTGTTGCCCAGGCTGGAGTGCAGTGGCGTGATCTTGACTCACTGCAACCTCACGCCTCCCAGGTTCAAGCAATTCTCCTGCCTCAGCCTCCCGAGTAGCTGGGACCACGGGTGTGCGCCACCACACCTGGCTAATTTTTGTATTTTAGTAGAGATGGTTTGCACCATGTTGGCCAGTCTAGTCTCTAATTCCTGGCCTCAAGTGATCCACCCTCCTCAATGTCCCAAAGATTGGGATTACAGGCGTGAGCCACTGTGCCCAGCTGATCCATCTGTTTTACATGAAATTTCCTCTATTCTTGAAGGTACTTTCTTATTACGTAAAAATCCGATTCCCAGAGGGAGAAGAGGAGAAGTCATGCCAGTCAGTTTCCTATCGCCAGGAAAGAAAAAAACCAACCAACCAACCAAAACCCGTAACATAGCAGCACTACTAAGTGTTCAGCGATAGAATAGCAGTCTTAATCCATTTGGAAAATGATTCATCTACAGAGATTAAATGACTGCTGTGCCATTCGGTAGGCCCTTAAGTATCAAGGCTTCAGATGAAGTTATTTCACCTATTTGTACAAAGTTCTAATTTCAATTTAAAAAACAGTATACTTTGTACACTAATGAGACTGAATACTCAAAATGTGGTCAATTGTATGGCCACACTATGACGTAAAAATAGAGGAGGCATTTAGAGAGTGACTCCGGCATGATTATGATGTTGTATAAGATAACATAGAAAGAACTGACACAATATTTTTTCTCCCACTAACAAAGAGACCATTTAAGAACATGATCATCATGTATGGCCCATGTGACAGCACTTCTGGACTGAAGGTTAGGGATGGTAATAATGACTCACATTTATAAAGTAATCAACAGCTGGCAAAGTATTTTTCATATGCATTATTTTAGGTAATCTTCCTACTATTTGAAGAGTAGGAATTGCTCTCCCAAACTTACTAACTGGAAACCAAGGGCAGAGAGTTGCATTCTTTCTTTTTATCATCAGCAGCACGTGTCACAGCTGGGCCTGGAACTAGTGCCCTTCTTACCCGAAATCCCTCTCTCTTTCCTGGACCCTCTGCTACCACACACGGGTACTCGTGCACAACAAGGAACACTCCTTCTACACTGAGCCAAGACACTGCTCTTACCAGTTGTTGCAATGCAGTCAAATCCCACAAAGGCATAAAAGCAAGTTGCAGCACCAGCCAACGTTCCCGTAAAGCCATAAGGCATAAAGCCACCAGCCCCATAGATACTTGTTCCGTTTTCAGAAGGTGGCTCTCTAAGAAAGAGAACAAACACATTGGAAAGTCACTTTGACAGAAAACTCTCCTTCTGGTGACTTTTCTCAGACTATATCCTTGGAAGGTGGTTGTGTTTATTAGCTCTTTGAAGATGATATACATAAAATTAAAACTTTACTCTCTCACCCTGTGCTACAGAATGTGGTGGTGCCACTAACAGTGACCCTCCTGTGTCACTGACACCCAATTACAGGCTGATTGATAGCACATGTAGAAGCCCCAGACCTGCTCCAGCTGAACCCACAGCCAGGGAGGATTTTGAGAGCAGAGATTCCACATACGAGCCATGCTCTGGGACAAAGACCAGAAACCTCTTCTTCTCATGGATGCTTATTCTTAGGAGAATTCATTCTTCAATTCATAAAGCATCGAGTAAGGCAGAGTATATGTCTCTAACATTCCCTAAGAAGACATTTAAAAACACGAAACAAAACTTCCTAGTCTTGATTGATAATAATGAAATTGAATATTTTATTATATGTTAAAAACTATGTAAGTTTATAGGATACCAATTTTTTCCCTTATTGGAATGACTAAACAACCTCTGTCAAGAAAAACATACAGGTGTACCCCATTCCATGCAATAGATATTTGTGTAATCTTATGTCTGCTTGTGCAACTAACAACATTCTCCAAAAAACAAGGTCTGAAGATTACTAAAGCATTAAGAGAATACAATAAAACTGAATGGTGGTCCTGAAGGAAGAACTAAAGGATGCAGGACTCAAAAATACTCATTGTTATTTAGTGGTGGCAAACTGCTGGGGGGAAAAGATCAAGTTTTTCCAATGGTTAGGATCTTCCCTTGCTCTTTCCCTAAACCCGGAGCAGAGCTTGAGGCTGGGAACCAGCAGCTGCATGGGTTCACACAGTTGCTCCAAAAGGAGCATACCTATACCTTTAAGTTTGAAGGGAATCTGGGAAGAGGGGTCTTGGAATGGAACAGTCTCTCAGAAGGGTCTCAGAAGCAAGAAATTTGAGAACCACTGCTCTAGAAGAAAACCCACATATGCCTTCTGGTATGGTTTGGCTGTGTCCCCACCCAATCTCATCTTGGATTGTGGCTCCCACAGTTCCCATGTGTTGTGGCAGGGACCCAGTGGGAGGTGGTTGAATCATGGGGGCAGGTCTTTCCTGTGCTGTTCTTGTGATGGTGAGTGGGTCTCACAAGAGCTGATGGTTTTATAAGGGAGAGTTTCCCTGCACAAGTTCTCTCCTCTTGTCTGCCACCATGTGAGACATGCCTTTCACCTTCCGCCACGATTGTGAGGCTTCCCCAGCCATGTGGAACTGTGAGTCCATTAAATCTCTTTTTCCTTATAAATTACCCAGTCATGGGTATGTCTTTATTAGCAGAGTAAAAATGAACTAATACACCCACTTAAAATATTTTCTTAAACAAGAAGGAGAAAAAAAAAAACCTCAAATATTTTACCTGGCACTTGCTGATATATTTTTGAGAAACTCTTCACTAATCTTCCAGTTTGCCACATTTCCTTTCACAAACCCAGCAACCATCACAAACAGAAGGACGAGAATATTAACAGCTGTGAAGACTTTATTCACCCAAGCAGACTCTTTTACTCCAAAAGACAAAAGACCTATGGAAAAAGGGCATTTCAATTTTTATTTAGCTTTAGGAAAGGCAATAGCATTTTGAGGCAAATACATGACTTTAGGATATTATTTCACCAGCATTCATGTCTTTAATTTCCATCTATCTACCTCTACTGCTAGTTCTTACTCATTAGTTAATTACCTAATTCTGAAATGTCTTCTGAATGCAACCAACTCAATTTCGGAGGCAGGTCATGCTCATAGAAGACACTACACTTTCTAAGAAACATAAATCTAGTAACTTTGGCCATCTTTGCCAGTGATAGGTAAAGTAACATCTAATTTCAAGGTAAATGGTTGCAAACTATTTTTTCTTTTTTTGAGACAGAGTCTCGCTCTGTTTCCCTGGCAGAAGTGCAGTGGTATGATCTCGGCTCACTGCAACCTCTGCCACCTGTGCTCAAACAATTCTCTCACCTCAGCCACCTGAGTAGCTGGGACTACAGGTGTGTGCCACCATGTCTGGCTAATTTTTGTATTTTTCGTAGGGTTGGGGTTTCGCCATGCTGGCCAGGCTAGTCTAGAACTCCAGACCTCAAGTGATCTGCCTGCCTCAGCCTCCCAAAGTACTGGAATTACAGGCACTTAAGCCACAATGCCCGGCCCAGTTGCGAACTTTTAAAAAGTAAACGCTAAAACATTTGTCTGCCATGCACACAAAATACATAAACAAAGATAATACTTCAATTGTGCCAAAAAAGTACTTTGTTAAACCTATTCTCATTTTAATAGCTGTATATTCTGATTGCAAAAGTGATCAATTTCTATTCAAGTACTTTGAAGACACAGAAAAAAATATAAAAAGATCAACCGTGCTTTTCCCTCCCAAATTTTGTAAACACACACACACACACACACACACACACACACACACACTCTTTTGTGCCAGTAAATATATAATCTCATTTTTAACAGCTGCATAATCTTCGACTATATTGAGGTACTACACTTTAATTCATCCCTTATTTATAGACAATTAGATCACTCTTTGTTTGTTACAATTATAAATAGCACTGACATAATAATTCTTTTATAAATATCTTTCTACACTTTCCATTTACTTCTATACAACAATTTTCTGCAAAGTAATACTGCATCAAAGATATGGACTGTTGGTTCCTATTATCAAAATATTCTCTGGAAAGTTTGGCTCAATTTAAAGTATCTATTTTTTCTATTAGGATATTCTATTCATATTGATTATATGATTTGGCTGTGTCCCCACCCAAATCTCATCTTGAATTGTAACTCCCATAATCCCCATGTATCATGGGAGGGACCCAGTGGGAGGTAACTGAATCATGGGGGCAGGTTTTCTGTGCTGTTCTCATGATACTGAATACACCTCATGAGATCTGATGGTTTTATAAAGGGCAGTTCCCCTGCACATGCTCTCTTGCCTGACACCCCGTGAGACGTTCTTTCCCTACTCGGTCACCTTCCACCATGACTGTGAGGCCTCCCCAACCATGTGGAACTGTGAGTCCATTAAACCTCTTTTTCTTCATAAATTACCAAGTCTTGGGTATTTCTTCATAGCAGTATGAAAATGGACTAATACATTGATTTATAAAATTTATTTATATATTAATGCCATAAGCTCTCTACCTGCCATGTACAACAGATTATGTACATGTAGAAAAGTTATCAGACTGAAAAATAAATTTTCCCTTTTTAGTTTCTACCTTGAAAAAAATCTCTTAAACATTAACCCAAAACACCTACTTTGCTTCCTTCTAGTATTTTTCTAATTATATTTATCATATGTATATCTTTAACCCATCTGGTATAAGATTTGAATTACGGACCTAAGAAAGTTTATCTTTTACCATTGAGCAAATGATTGCTGTGAAAAGATGATGCCACAGATTTAGTTGTTTGTTCCCCGTATCTATACCACCCACCATCAAAAAAGCAAATTTTTCCAAGCAGAGATGAAAGAACTTGAATTTTATTTCTACCTGTGTAATTCCTAGAATCATATATTAACCATATAAAGGAAAGCTGTATGGTCAACACAATTCCTGACTCTGTAATTGTAAGTTAGGTTAGGAACCACTGCTATATACCTCAGAGAATAACAAAGCCACCTTTATATTTCATGTAAGTTTCCCAACAGCATATATGCACTGTCTACTCTGAGGTCTCATCTCCCACCGGAAGATTAGACACCAATGAATATCTCATCTAAGCAGAGCATACACTTCCCGTGTATCTTTAGTAAAACAACGGCTTCACGTAAAAAGACATTTGGTGTTACGATATGAATAGGGATTTACATAGGAGGTTTTGATCTTCAGAGATTCTAAGAACAAAGTTAAAACATAAGCTTCACCTATAATTAAAGGAAAGATATGATGGTGAATGAACACAGGACAAATGAGCCAAGACCTGAGTCTTGCTGTGGAATTAAACTATGTTCTAATTGTGTCACAGCTACATGCTCTTCGTCATTTAGAGATTAAAGTTGAATATTTTAAGTTCATTAAAATGATCCCTAAATAAAATATGATGGAAATAATTTAACGCTAGACTGGTTTCTATTTCTAAGCTAGACTGCTTAGAAACCAAAACAAAAATCAATTCTTTGTTGAAAAACAATTGGTGCAACTTCTCTTGACATTAGACTCAAAATGCAAAACATTTTAGATCTACGCACTTTGTTCATGTTCTTATCCCTATCCGTATGTAAAACATTTGATTAATGACTCACTTTTTAAAGGGTAAAGCTATTTTTAAAATTATATAATTTTTGAGTAAACATTTCAAAAGAGAAAGATATTTCTGTCTCACTCTTCTAACAAGGGAGAAAACAGAGATAAGGTCGGACAAGAAAGCATGAGGCAGACTGCCCAGGGTAAAGCAAGGAAGAAGTAGGAACAGACATGGTTTTTACTCTTAGGGCAATCCTTGATGGACATAAGCAGGACTGCAGGTAAGAAGGAGACTCAAAAGAGAAAACGTGGCCAGGCATGGTGGCTCACGCCTGTAATCCCAGCACTTTGGGAGGCTGAGGCAGGGGGATCACTTGAGGTCAGGAGTTTGAGACCAGCCTGGCCAACATAGTGAAACCCCGTCTCTACTAAAAATACAAAAATCAGCCAGGTGCGGTGGCGCGCACCTGTAGTCCCAGCTACTCAGGAGGCTGAGGCAGAAGAATCGCTTGCACCCGGGAGACGGAGGTTGCAGTACCACTGTACTCCAGCCTGGGCGACAGAGTCAGACTCCATCTCAAAAAAAAAAAAAAAAAAAAAAAAAGAAAATGTTCAAATAGTTAAAACAAATATAAGGAGACAGAGCAGGGATTAGCTATGCCTATGAAATAAAATCAGCCACCACGTGAGTGCTTACTAGGAACCAAACGAGAAGGCTATAGGAGGCAGACACTGATGCCCTCATTTTATGTACGAGTGAGGGAAAGATTAAATAAATTGTTCTATGTTCTAAAGCAGAGTGAGTGGCACAGCAGGATTGAAATGTGGTTATTAGAATTCCTGTGCCTCCTAAAACCACTATGCTACAATACTGACAAAAACTGGAAAATCCTAGTACTAAGTATGTTTGCCTATATAATGTCGACATTACAAAATGACAGGTGATTAGAACTTGCTTCCTTTACAATCAAAGGCCTACATTATATAGATGAAGCCATGTCAGAAAAACAGAAATTCTTCTAGAAATTGCAAATATCCCTAGTTGTATCTAGCAAGATGAAATAATGCCAAGAAATTACACATTCTTCCTTACTGAAACCACCGCTATTCCTGCAAACCTGCAATTAACGATTTAAAAAATCAATGTCCTCATCCTATTATTTAGTGTGTACCAGGTGCCATTTACTCAGAAGTGCTATTTTTACCATTGCACACAATTTAGACTTAGGTTAAAATGTGATTCCAGCCAGTGATAAACCCCACAGATGTCTAACAGTGACATAAATGTGTAAATATACTAATCTCATCTTGGGAACTCAGGCCCCAAATTCAGAAGTAACCTATTTTCCTGAGACAAATAGTGTGGCTCATTCTGCAGAGACTCATAACTGGTTTTCTTACCTGCTAGAAGTAATATAAGGCACACAGCAAAAAAATCGGGATATTCTGCAAGACCAGTGTAATTCATTCTGAAGTATGTCCTCAAAAACTGACCAATCTGTTTGCTAAGAAGTTCATCAAAGGTGCCACTCCAGGCTCTTGCAACACTTGATGTACCTTCCCAAAACAGAACAGAGAATACGAAGTCACTGGGGGCAAATTAAAGTAGCATCATTTGCTACTCTATTATAGGATAAACATGAGTTCACAAAAGATTGAAAATTTTAATCACATATACAGTATCTGGATATTTATAATCATACAGTAGTCATCAAATGTTCAAATCCATAACTCTGGAATCAGGTAACTTTATTTGCAATAAAGAATTATAACTTAAAAAGTTTGCAAGCCCACTAAAAGGCATAGTCAGAGATGAAGCAAAAATCACAGAATTTTGTGGCCGGGTGCCGTGGCTCACACCTGCAATCCCAGCACTTTGGGAGGCCGAGGTGAGTGGATCACCTGAGGTCAGGAGTTCGAGACCAGCTTGGTCAACATGGTGAAACCCCGTCTTTACTAAAAATGCAAAAAATTAGCCAGGCATGGTGGCAGGTGCCTGTAATCCCAGCTACTCAGGAGGCTGAAGCAGGAGAATCGCTTGAAGCCAGGAGGCAGAGGTTGCAGCGAGCTGAGATCACGCCACTGCACTTCAAGCCTGGGCGACAGAGTGAGACTGTCTTAAAAAAAACCCACAGAATTTTGTAATTAGAAGGAGACATTTTCGAGATGACAAAAATGAGACACACAGACATCAAGTGATGTACCCAACACCTACAACTGAACCTAAGGGCTGTGACTCAGGGCTGCGATTTCTTCCATTCCACACAAGTTAGATTTCTTTTTGAAACATACCTATCACATACGATAAAATGAGATTCCAGCCAGTGATGAAGGCCCACAGCTCTCCGACAGTCACGTAGGTGTACAAATATGCAGACCCCGTCTTGGGAACACGGGCCCCAAATTCGGCATAGCAGAGGCCAGCCATCACTGAAGCCAGGGCAGCAATGAGGAAGGACACCACGATGCTGGGGCCCGAGTCTGCCTTGGCCACCTCCCCAGCGAGGACATAAACCCCGGCCCCAAGGGTGCTTCCAACGCCCAGGGCAATGAGGTCCATGGTGGATAAGCAGCGGCATAATTTGGTGTCTTCTAGACTGTCCAGGGTCACGATTTTTCTCCGGATCAGACATCGGGCAAAGGTCAGCGCGGCTCTGCAAGGAATCATTCTGACGTCTGACGAAGGCGACCTGAGCAGAAGGGAGGAGGTTAGAAGCTGATCTGGAATTGTCATCCCTCCCTTTGGTAACCTAGCTTCCAGGCACAATTAGAGTATGTGTGTGTGTGTGTTTGTGTGTGTGTGTGTGTGTGTGTGTGTTTCACTTGTTAGAAGAGATGCAGTGACCCAGAGCAGTCAGAAGGAAGGTTTAATAACCAGAGCCTCGAATTTCCTGTAGTTCAATTTCCTGTAGCATACACGTCCCCTTATAAGAGACTGCAATAAATGGCTTATGTGGCAAGCAAAGGAATATAGCAGCCTTGGGTGATTAAAAAGATTTGCCATTCTTGTTTGCATATTATAATTTTGTGTTTCTGTTTTTGTTTGGAAACAGGATCTCACTCTGTCGCCCAGGCTGGAGGGCAGTGGCACAATCTTGGCTCACTGCAGCCTCAACCTCCTGGGCTCAAACAATCCTCCCACCTCAGCCTCCGGAGTAGCTCAACCTCGGGGTTACAGGTGTGAGCCACCATGTCCAAGCTAAAAATTTCCTAAGGATATGTTGATAGAAATATATTTCAAGAGATGGCTAATTTCATTCTCACTACAAGGAAAGGAGTGAATTGCCTCATCTTTTGGGTTCTGTCTCTCTTTACTTCAACCATCCATTTAACTCAGGTTCTTTTTCTTTTTTTTTTGAGACAGGGTCTCACTCTGTCACCCAGGCTGCAGCACAGTGGCGTGATCATAGCTCACTGAAGCCTCAACTTCCTGGGCTCAATCAATCCTCTCGCCTTAGTCTACTGAGTAGCTGGGACCACAGGCATGTGCCACCACGCTCGGGTAACTTCTTTATTTTTCGTAGAGACAGGGTCTCACTATGTTGCCCATGCTGGTCTTGAATTCATGGGCTCACGCAGTCCTACCTCCTTGGCCTCCCAAAGTGCTGGGATTACACGCATGAACCACCATGCCTGGCCCAGATTTTTCAGGCCTTACTAAATACCAGGAATTGTGCTGGGAATATGTGTAGAATGATCTCTTACATAGATGGGGTCTCTAGCCTTACAGGACTTAGCTATCATCTAAAAGCACGTAAAAACTTAATCATTACGTATTCTACAGCTTTATCAAGCATGTGTGAGCTTCTCTGTTTTCATTTTAAACAATGAATGTGAAGCAGATGTGAACTTTTTAGAATTTTTAAAAAATCACCTCTCAAGGCCTGCTGAAATCTAAAAGTGCTATTCAACTATGCTTTAAGTATGAATTTGTACTAAAATACACATGCTTATTATATTTGAGATTTCTAGATAAATAAGTCCAAAGTCCATGCCAAATATTATTCTATGTTCTTTTAAAAATGGAATGAATAAAGTAGACAAAAAGTCACACTCCCCACCTCCTGCAAGCCTAAACAATCTAACACTGAAAAAAAATCAGGTTATAAAACAAGGTGTGAATATTAGTTAAGAAAAAATACATAGGCATATATTACAGTAAAAAGACTTAAAGCAAAACATTCAAAATATCAACAGTAATTATATTTAGATGGTGGGTTCTTCTCTGTATTTCATATGTTACATTGCTAATACCTATTTCTAATTTGTCTCCAATGAATATGTACAACTTATATGCAAAAGAAATATCAAAAATGAAAGAGCTGTACATGGGATTGTCTACCAAAACATATAAGTCAACAGATGAGAAAATAACTGAGGAACATTATCCACACATCAATATAAATATAAATACAAGCTTCCAATAGTGAAAGCAGGTAAGTCAAAGAATATGAAGAAAAGCCTAAGGAGAAATAAAAAATAGAGGACACGTTCCTTGATGATAAAAACAAACTTTCACACATCTTCAGTATCTTCTGTGCCAACCTGACAGAGTGCCAAAGCATGGCACTTCACAAATGCTTATGGGAAAATCTGCAAAGACGTTGACATCTCCAGTTTTGCCCATATTCAGGTTTTCAACGTCAAAACCTATCAATGCTTCCATAAATCAAATGTTTATCAATTTCTACCACTGGCTAACCCTTAAATAGCCCTTTCTCATATATCTAGAAGATAAGTGTTCTGCTTAAAAAGAATTGAGAAGCAAAAAGTTATATAAAAACCAACTGAGGGGGCCAGGAGGGATGGGAAAGGTAGTTACTAAATGCTGAGCTTCTGTAATATTTAAGCATTTTTATACAGAGATGTACAAAGATCAAGGAGTAGGAACCACTGCCAACTGAAAAGTGCTCAGAAACAAAGACCCACTGAAGTTCATTAACGATTTAAGATCACTTGAAAATGAGACATGTCATATACAACTCCGGGAACACAACTGATAAACATACCCATTTGTCATTTAACCAAATAAAACATGCCCATGGTGGAGTACTTAATTAACCTTGACTTTTATGAGAAAAAGATATAAATTCTACGACTATTGCATATTTAAAGAGAAAGGATCTGGAAGGAAGCAAGGAAAACAAAGGACAGATTCGGGGGCTAATAGGATTGTGGGTAAACTTTTTTTAAATCCTTTTTTCCTGGTACTGTGATTATGATGTTATTTGTGAAATTTCTAAAGAAAAAACAGCATAAAAATAAAAGAATAAGCAAGTCGACCAATAAACAAACCTCCTGTGAAAACGTTAAAACAGTAAAAGCTTTTATTATTAAGCTACCCAAAATGAATAAATTAGTGATGGTCATCTCTTCAATACGAAATTGAATTTAATTCACTCCAGATTACACAGGAAGCAGGACTGCTTATAGAAATGCACAGCTTTAATCACATAAGATATGATTTCTACTGCTTCTGTCCTATTTTTTTTTCTTTTTTGGAGGGGTTGGGGGGAGGTCTGTGTAGGCAAATTACTTCTTTCCCATTAAAGATGAAAAGTATTTTATGGGTAGTCAGGTTCTCCATGTTACTCTGGGGAAAAAAGACAAAGATCCCATTTGTCAAGCATTCATTTGCTTTTGAGTAATTAGAAAAACATACGTCAGAAACTTCTCAGAACTGGCAGGTTACTCGATGCCCTTTGCAAACAATCTCAACTACGCACAGCCTGGTAAAATACGGATTGCAAAAGCCACAATGCAGAACTAATTTTGTAGGACTATAATGAGATGGGAGAAAAGTAAGGAAAAAACATATTGGGTCAATTTAATGAGTCATTTTTAAACAAACATTTATTGAGTCCTAGCAGGTGTATCATGCAGTGCTTAGCAGATGAAGAAAGTGTATCTCGTACTTTTGTAAAATATGCTTTTGTCGAGACACACTGATATATGAAAGGAGTGTGGCAACAAGAGAATGAGAAAAAAAATTTGTGTCTAATATTAGTGATATAATTTGATATGTACATATCTTTGAAGTTTTTATAACTTTAACATTTTTAAAAAGATAAGCTCCCCATATGAAATGGTTATGACCATCTTACTCTCATTTTTACAGGGGACTTACTGCCCAAGAAAAACATCCCTCCTACTTATACAACAAATACGAATGCAGAGATACAATGCAGGGGTTTTGGAGGTGATTCCATTAATCTGGAGGGCATAGACTTTGTTTTTCCAGGAGCAGATGATCTGCACCATTGTAACCATTGTCAGTTATTGCTACTGTGACCAAGGACTCATATTTAATACGAAACCTACACGCATGTAGTATAAGAACAATGATGCAGATTTTGGGAAGTGGCCCATACAAAACTCACACCCCTGTCCTTGGCCTTAGAATATAAGGCTCTGATCAACATCCCTATGAGGTCACAAGTGATTCTGGCAATACCAGAAACAGATATCTTTCTTCAATAAGCAATTATTTTATTAATTGCTGAGACAGTGGCGTCTCTTGAGGAAGATAAATATGTGCATATTAGCTTAGATCTGAAAATAGAATTAGCGAAGGGAGGGCTGGAAGGAACTAGCAATATGCTGTGCTGCAGAAAAGTCTCTGAATGATTTTCATGAGCCTAATGATACATGTGAGATCTTTCTTAGCCCCACGCCCATTGTGCCCCAAACTTAAGTATAACCATTTCTACGCACCTTATTCCTTGATAAGTCCCTATTAATTCTTGCCAAAAAGCTAAATTCCTTCCTCAGCAACTTGGAATTACCTCCTTCTAAAACTTCTTCAGCCCAGGCCATCAACTTGACAGTATAGAATTTTAGGTCTAGTAAATCCCTAACCCTGATGACATTGACGGAGCAAACTTCCTTTCAACGATTCCAGGAAATCTTTCCAAATCTGCTAATCATAGTCACAAGTTGATCCTGGATTTTCACTTTAGTTCAAAAGTTTGAAGTTGCATTGAGTCACTTAGAAATGAATCTTTCCCTTCCTCCCCTAAGTAAAGGTTGACATTTCAAACTTAATCTTCTATATCAGTATCCCAGGCCCTGACAATAAATCTTACAGGAGAAACTTGCTGTCGCAAACCGGTGGGGCAGGTGTTCCAATAAACCCTCGACAAATTAGTTTGTCTGAGTTATAACCACTTGTTTCTATCTTCATTCCAGTTGCTAGTTTCGTGGTGAGACATCTGCTCTTTCTGTTTTGGGACTGATGGAAAAAAAAGTAATTAAATCGTATAGATAAGTAGGGATCTTTACCATACTGTTTTTGCCCTAGATCTTTTTTATTTTGCAATGTCCAAACCCAACGTTTCTACAATGTTAAAGTTCCAAGATAAATTTTCAAATTATAACGTGGGTTAAATAATTTAGTAAAGAGGAAAAAGATATAGCCATGATACCATGGATTTATTGACTTTTATTCTTTTTGCTAAGTTTTGAGAGATTAATTTCTTTACAAATTCATCAAAAGTATAATGTAGGATAAAAGACTATCACATGTGGTAACTGTTCAGCCTTGATTAGCAAAAACAGAAACCACAAAACTTGGCATTCAGTACTTAAGCCTGAATCTTTCTGGAAAAACACAGAACACTCTTCCATATTCACTTCACTTTTACTGGGTCCAAAACTTATCTTTTCTCCAAATCAAGTCTTCTGAATAATTTCTTCCTCCAGAGTTTTCTCCAGAGAAGTTCGTGCAAGTGTAGACATAGGTAAAAACAAAAAACACAACTGAGGCCACTACAAAGTTACAAGCACTGTAATAAAACCATTGATATTTTCTCCCATTTTATACCAAATCAGTACTGCCAGGAAGTTAGACTAAAAACATAGTATTTCAAATTTTCTGATATAGAATCCAGACATAGGCAAGCATTTTTCCCAAAGACATTCAACAAATAAAGGGCTGATAGAGAATTCTGGGAAGTCTGTAAAGACAGCTGCTGCTTCCAAACATGTGACTCCATTTCACTTTAGTGAAGGCAACATCACAGTGGGAATAAGGCATACCTAGTTAGCTCAAAGAGATGCAGAAAAAAAAATTAAATGAAGCATCCAACTTTTGTGTTTAGGCTTGGGGAACAGAAGAAGCAAAACTTGAAATGAAGAAAGCAAAGCCCTCAGCACCTTGGTAACCGGAGTCCCTGCCCAGTCAGCACACTGCGTTCCCAACCAGAGCTGGGTGTCAGGCTTGGGCACCAGGCAGATGCCCATGCCCGTAGGTCTCCAGCAATCTTTGGCTAGTATGTCACTCTGACTGCCAGTGGGTACAACCTGTTCCCTCTCCCCAAGCTGCTAGGACCTGTCACCTTATATGTGCCTTTGCAAACATGAGGAATGGCCCCTTCCAGAATTTTTTACCTTACCTGGGATCCCGCCACTGCCTCCTGCCCTCCCCACAGCACTGTCTTCATACCCCGAAGCCAAGGATCACTGGACCAGAGAGACATCTGACTCAGGGTTAAACAGTCAAAGGCTGGGAATGCTCAATTAGATGTTCTTGAAGCTCTTACGAACAAAATGATTAGGTCGGTCAAATGGTCTAGTGCAGGCTGAAGTCACACACACTGGGGACCAGCTTGACAAGGTGCAGAAACCCACAGGCTGGCAGTAGAAGCCACACAGGGTGGGCTGGGCACGGTGGCTCATGCCTGTAATCCCAGCACTTTGGGAGGCTTGAGGAGCACTTGAGGTCAGGAGTTTTGAGACCAGCCTGACCAACGTGGTGAAACCCCATCTCTACTAAAAATACAAAAATTAGCCAGGCATGGTGTTACGTGCCTGTAATCCCAGCTACTCGGGAGGCTAAGGCAGGAGAATTGCTTGAACTCAGGAGGCAGAGGTTGCGGTGAGCCAAGATCGTGCCACTGCACTCCAGCCTGGGCAACAGAGCGAGACTCCATCTGAAAATAACTAAATAAATAAAAGAAGCCATACAGTGTTCATTCAGAGGAGGACAGTCTTGTGAAAGGCAGCTGCCCCAGCAGGGAGGCAGGGCAAGAGGAGCCTGGGGAGCTTTTCTGTCCCCCCAGGCCTTGCTGCGCTTCTAACGCTGGGTGTGCAAGATTCCCCGACATGGTTTGGACACACCTCCTGTGCACTTCAGCTATTTAGAGTGGTCTCTGTTCCTTGAAACCAGAAGCTAATGGCGAAGGTCAAGATGGTACTGAGCGGGCCTGCTTCACCCCACTCTACTCCCACTGTCAACTCTTCCAATCTGCTACCTTCAGCCATTTCTGCTACATTTCCTGGGAATTCCTCTTCTTTCCAAAAGGAGGTTTCCGTGATAGAATAACTCTAATTTGTTCACTTTCCAATACCGTACTTAAAGTGTTTAGCCTGCATTAGTTCTGCCCTTTACCCACAGACGTATATACTCTCTCCTTGAAAAAAATAGCTTGACATAAGGTAGAATTGTTTGTTCGTTTGTTTGTTTTGTGGCAGGCTGGAGTGCAGTGGTGCAATCTTGGCTCACTGCAACCTCCGCCTCTCGGGTTCAAGTGATCCTCCTGCCTCAGCCTCCCAAGTAGTTACAGGCACCCGCCACCACATCCAGCTATTTTCTTTTTTGTATTTTTGGTAGAGACAGGTTTTCCCCATGTTGGCCAGGCTGGTTTCGAACTCCTGACCTCAAGTGATCTTCCTTCCTTGGTCTCCCAAAGTGCTGAGGTTACAGGCGTGAACCACTGCACCCGGCCAGAATATCTTTTCTTTTTAGACATACATACAACCAATCTGGATTATCGGTAACATCATTTCTCCCAATGCCCACTGTTGGAATGAGGAGCATGTAAGAGCTAGTCAGGGCCCCAGGAATACCAAGGGCTCTACAGTACTTACTAAAAACATTTAAAACTTTTTTTTTTTTTTTTGTGCCAAGGAATTATGGAAGTAAGCTAGCGGCAGAGCGATAATTCATGTAATGGAGGAAAGGATATCGAGGGAAGCACCGGGAATATTTTACCATACTGGAGAAGGTTTTTTAAGCTTCCTGAATCAGAGAAGTCTCTACAACACTTAAGACTTCAATGTTAGTGGGCTATCTTTTGTTAAAAAATGTAAAAAAAATTTTTGTTTTGAGATGGAGTGTCCCTCTTTCACCCAGGCTGGAGTGCAGTGGCATGATCTCGGCTCACTGCCACCTCCGCCTCCCGGGTTCAAGCGATTCTCCTGCCTCAGCTTCCCAAGTATCTGTGACTACAGGCGCCCACCACCACACTTAGCTAATTTTTGTATTTTTAGTAGAGACAGGGTTTCACCATGTTGGCCAGGCTGGTTTCGAACTCCCTACCTCAAGTGATCCGCCTGTCTTGGCTTCCCAAAGTGCTGGGATTACAGGCGTAAGCCACCGCGCCCGGCCAAAAATGTAAATTTCTTATAAATACTTCCACTACTTTATTCGTTCCCCCAAATACTTGAGGCACCCTATCAGGCCCTGAAACAACCATAAATAGGCTGCCCCAATTCTTCCCTCGTGCCACCTGCAGTTGCACAGACACACAGATGATGGCCATTGCAATATGAGACAGCTATACTTGTGCATAGGGGAAGCAGGGCACTGCAAGGGCTCCTAACTCTGACTGTGACGGGGATACAGGTAGTTAGAGAGGTCTTCCTGGAGACAGCTATGTTTGGATGAGTTAAATTTAGCCATCTGAAAGCTCAGTGAGAAGGAGGGCGGGAGGGGGCGGTGGGGACACAAGTGTTCTAAGCAGAGGGTGTACACAGCAAGAGTAAACAAGTAGAGGGTAGTTCAATCCACATAGAGCTTAGGGATGGGGAAGCCAGAGGTAAGCAGAGCTAAGCAGAAGGGTCCCTAGGCCATGCAAGGAGCTTGAACTTGACCCTGGTGGCAATAGGAAATCACTGAGAACTTTAAGCCAGACGTAGAATTTGAGAAACATCATTCTGACTGTATCATAAATAAGGGATGAGAAAGATCAAGACTGGAGATAAGGAAAAAGGTAAACAGGCTACTCAAATTATCTAGGCACAAGGGACTCTTAGCTGCTCTAGGGGAAGGGCGGTGGGGTAAAGAGATACAGGTGGACAACAGAGCTTAGCTTCTCCACCTTGAGAGTCAAGGAAGAGGATGAGTGGGAAGGGACACACGGATTTGTAGACTATTGAGCGCCTATTTCACTCCAAAGTTAAAACATTAACTTTACATGCCATATAGTTTACAGATAAAAATAACAGAGAATCAACAAATTATGTCAGATTGACTTCAGTGTAACTTTGTGCAAGGAGGGTACTGTTTTGTCTTGTTTTTTTTTTTTTTTTTTTCCATTTGAAACTTGCACTCCTGTTCTAAAACTGAAAAAGCAAACACATAGAGATGTTAAATACATGCCTCAAGAATACAGCTAAAATTTCCACACTGAGCTCCTTGAATTGTCAGAATTCCAAACAGAGTAATATTTGGCATGATATTTTCATGGAACAGAGTATTTTAAATGAGTGGGTTTTCTAGCTTACTGAAGATTCGATCTCTGAGTCTTGGCAATGCCCATCAAATCTTGCCACAGTTCAGTAACCCTCCTCTAAATGCTGTTGGATTTCAGGGTGGTTATCCGTTGTGATGACAGGGGTCCGAACTGCTCATCCTTACAAAAGGGTAATCACTTCTCAGAGAAACTGTTTAAAAAGATGACCACAACTGTTGTTTAAAAATCAAACCACTCAATATTACCTTAATTCCACTTTGAATCCACTGTCCACATAAATTAGAGCTAACTCAAGGATGCCAAGGAAATCCCAAAGACCTGGATGAAACCATGTTCCTGCTGCCCTTTTTAAATAGCCTGTGCCCATCAATAATAGACAGGATAAAGAAAATGTGGTATATACACACTATGGAATACTATGCAGCCATCAAAAGGAACAAGATCATGTCCTTTGCAGGGACATGGATGAAGCTGGAAGCCATTATCCTCAGCAAAATAATGCAGGAACAGAAAACCAAAGACCACATCTTTTCACTTATAAGTGGGAGCTGAGCAATGAGAACACATGGACATAGGGAGGGGAACAACACACACTGGGGCCTGTCAGGGGGTGGGCTGAGGGGAGGGAGAGCATCAGGATAAACAGCTAATGCATGTGGGGCTTAATACCTAGGTGATGGGTTGACAGGTGCAGCAAACCACCATGGCACGAGTTTACCTATGTAACAAACCTGCACGTCCTGCACATGTATTCTGGAACTTTAAATAAATAGCCTGTGCTTGGGAAGTGACCTTCACTTTTCTCTGGATTAGTAACTGACTTTCAGATTAAAGATGCCAGAAGTATGTGCATGGACCAGGAGGGTAGTGGAGTATAAGAAAGCTTTTTGTCTAAAAGCGAAGAGCTGAGAAATACTTTAGAACACTCTGGTTTCCTGTAATTATTCTCTTTCCAAAGAGAGCCAAAGTGTATCCCTTTCAAATCACCACCCTGCACCCACCCCGTAAAAGTTACCTAATTTAATTAATTGTTAGAATTCAATCACTTTTGTCTCAATGCTAGGCAAAATTCTTTCCTTCAACTGTGGCAGAAGTGGAATTTAACCAGAATTCACATTCATTTTCAGTTCAAGTTCAAGAAATTTAGAGGGAAACTGAGTTGAGATTTATGGTTTTGCTGAAAAGTCATTTATTGAAACAAAATGGTCACTTTTGAAACTATATTTTGAATTCTGAAAAACACGTTCTGATTTGGTTCTTCTTAAAACACAGCAACAATGTATGAGCATAGATTTTTATCGTTAGCTTCTTGATAGATTGTTGAAATGCTGCTATTGGCTCAGAGAAGTTTGCAAGTTCATACTGGCTTCAGATAAATCTGAATAAAATACTCCCATTGTGTGCTCAGAGAAAGCAATTAAAAGGGTGCTGGTTCTTCATGATTCAGAGCCTCTAAAATTTCTATCTAGAACATGCAAACCAAGAACCATTTACAAAATTAAAACAACTGGAAATAAAGTGGTCCTTAAAATTGAAGGTCCTTAAAACTGAAGGTCCTTAAAACAAGGCCACTATAAAGGTTTTAGAGGACAGAAAAGTAAGTTATAGTTTAAGTTTTGTTTTGGGGTAACAAAAGATTAAAAAATGAGTGTTGTTAAAAAGAAATTTGAGAAACTCCATGAGTAGTACGATATATGTGTATATGGATATATTTTTAAAATTTTTGCTTAGATTGCAGGGCGTCTAATGCTTTTTATTTTTATGAATTATATTCTTTGTAAAACCTACTTTTCACACTTTATTTAAATACTTTAAAATTCCTATTGATGTGCTTGTCACATTTCTATTCTACTTATTAATATGCCATAAATGTGAACAATTTCTCCAATTAAGTTTTCTCCAGACTTTGTTTTAATTTTTATATTAACTGCATAGACTGAATTCAACTTATTAGCTGTTCAACAAACTGTCAGTTTCTCTAAAAGATCAAGACTTAAGACATTTCAAAAAAAGCAAAAAAATAATCTAAAGGCAATTTCCAAACAAAATTCCAGGAGGCAAGGGGATACAGGTACAAAAGGACAAGTAAACTGGCCATTACCATAAAGCTTGATGTCTGTGGGTAAGGGAAGTCCAGGGTACTACTGGCACACACAGGAGGGGACTCCATGCTCACACTGGGATTGGGGTCAGGAGGCAGCAGGGAAGCTTTCCTGGGGAAAGCCATGACTAATCTGATTCTTCAGCCATTATTCCTCCCTAGAATTGCTGGGGTTTTTTTTTTTTTTTTTTTTTTTTTTTTTTGAGATAGAGTCTTGCCCTGTTGCCCAGGCTGGAGTGTAGTGGCGCAATCTCAGCTCACTCCAACCTCCGCCTCCCGGGTTCAAGTGATTCTCCTGCCTCAGCCTCCCAAGTAGCTGGGATTACAGGCACCGCCACCACACCTGGCTAATTTTTGTAGCTTTTTTAGTAGAGATGGGGTTTCACCACGTTGGCCAGGCTGGTCTCGAACTCCTGACCTCAGGTGATCTGCCCACCTCAGCCTCCCAAAGTGTTAGGATTATAGGCATGAGCCACCGTGCCCAGCCACATTTTTTTATTAACTAAGAAATATCCATAATCTTTAAGACTCATTTTGAAATTTTGACAATTTATTTAATCAGTCACTTCTAAAATCAATTAGAAGTCCAAATTTTCCTCTTTGTTACTTTACTTGAAACAATTCCTTCCTTGGAAAAAGATCTTGAATTTTTGCACAAAAATTTAATGGCAACTATAGTTATTTCCCTGATAAGTAGAAAAAAAAACCCTTAAAATAATCATATTAGTCTATAAAGTCTTAATCAGAAATTCCTAAAAACATGCATTTTGATTTTTAATTCTGAATAATAATAGCTTAAGTTACTATAAAATTTAAAATTCAAACCATCTCATAAATATAAAAACTATTTTGGAATCATTGATCAATAGGAATTTTAAAATATTTAAATAAAGTGTGAAAAGTAGGTTTTACAAAGAATATAATTCATAAAAATAAAAGGCATTAGACACCCTGCAATCTAAGCAAAAATTTAAAAAATATATCCATATACACATATATCATACTACTCATGGAGTTTCTCAAATTTCTTTTTAACAACACTCATTTTTTAATCTTTTGTTACCCCAAAACGAAACCTAAACTATAACTTATTTTTCTGTCCTCTAAAACCTTTATAGTGGCCTTGTATTACATACAATATACGGCCATTGTACAGCTGCAGTATTTTCAAATAAGAAGACTGTAAGAAGAGAGAGAAACTCCCTTCCTCCCCGCTCTTGCTGCTTCTTTATAAAGAGGAGTTTCATCTGACCTTCAGGTCTTTCAGCACTAAGATGCAGACAGAGAGAGAGATATCCTATCTTAGGCTCTGAATTACACCATTTCCAGGAAACCAGCCCTGTTATCTCCCAGCCCTGACTTTCAATGACAGAAGAGGAAGCAATTATTTGAAACCACACCGTATGGAGATTTGTAAATGAATTAGCCTTCCTTCATTTTAAATACGCTTAGAAATATTTAGAAATATCAGCATACTTTAAAATAACAATTAATGCTTATTAAATTTAAATTATTATATAAAGAATGAGATTTCAGTTTTAAGGCTTTGAATCTACTTACTGGCTGGATGCAGTAGCTCACACCTGTACTACCAGCACTTTGGGGGGCCAAGGCAGGAGGATCACTTGAGGTCAGGAGTTTGAGACCAGCCTGACCAACATGGCGAAACCCGTCTCTACTAAAAGTACAAAAATTAGCCAGGCATGGTGGCACGTCCCTGTAGTCCCAGCTATTCAAGAGGCTGAGGCAGGAGAAACGCTTGAACCTAGGAGGCAGAAGTTGCAGTGAGTCGAGATTGCACCACCGCATGCTAGGCTGGGTGTCAGAGAGAGACCCTGTCTCAAAAAAAAAAAAAAAAATCTATTTACTCACACTTGTACCTAATCTGCCTTCTGCCAACTAACTTCAGCAACTTGCCTGGGTTTCCAAACCATCCCTCTGTGACCTGGCCCCAGCCTGGCTTTCTAGCCCTGCATGTTGCTATTCTCCAACGAGTACTGTAGCCCAGTTTGTCCTCCTACTACCCTTAGCACATAAGTCTTCTGGCTCACATAAAGGTGAAAAGGTTTTGACTGAACTGCATGTATCCAGCTGCCCCCACCTTGCCCCCTTGCCCTCTCCCTCTGTCCCGGCTCCCAGGCCATCCGAGCTACTGCAGGGACACAGCAAGAAGGTTCTTTCTTATCCTCTCTGTCAGCTCCTGAGCTTTCCTTCTGACTCAAAGAAGCAGCGGCGGACCGGGGATGGGGGGCAGGGGGGAACGTAGAAAATTAAAGCTAAGAAACCAGGCTTATTTATATAGCACGGGGTAGGAGGCAGGGAAAAGCTAGCAGCCTGAAAAATGAGAACCTCCCGCTCATTCACCTGCCAAGAGAAGCCGGCAAGAGAGATAAGAGGGTGTGGAGAAGTGCTGGTGTTGAATGCAAATGGGGTCTCCTTCAAGACGTATTAGGTTGGTGCAAAAGTAATCGTAGTTTTTGCTACTGCTTTTAATGGCAAAACAGCAATTACTTCTGCACCCACCAGCCTAACACAAGGGAAGGTTGAAATTCCTTTTCAAGGGACTTTTGGCAGCTTCTTTGAAAATGTCCCTCTGGGCCAGGCGTGGTGACTCACACCTGTAATCCCAGCATGTTGGTAGGCCAAGGTGGGCGGATTACTTGAGGCCAGGAGTTCGAGACCAGCCTAGCTAACATGGTGTAAAACCCCATCGTTACTAAAAATACAAAAATTAGCTGGGCATGGTGGTGGACACATATAATCCCAGCTAATCGAGAGGCTGAGGCAGGAGAATCTCTTGAACCCAGGAGGTAGATAGAGGTTGCAGTGGGCCAAGATCACATCACTGCACTCCAGCCTGGGTGACAGAGCAAGACTCTATCTCTCAAAAAAAAAAAAAACAAAAAAACAAAACCAAAAACAAAGAAAATGTCCCTCCGTAGAGACTGAGCCCCATGGCACTTGGGTAGGATTGACACTTGCTTATACAATGTGTCCTCTTGCTCCCCCATCCCCAATGAAGGGAAAACTGCTATATATATACCATCACTTCTAAATAGTATTTCGCTGGCCATAAATGACTGGCAATTGAGCCCTAGAAATGAGCTTGATAGAACAAGTCAACTAAGGGCAGCAGAGAGAACATTAAGAAAAGGGAAGAGATGGTTGTACGTACACAAGACGTGTGGTTAAGGACAATTACTGTGATTGCAGCAGACTGTAAGGAAAACCAGTGCTACTGAACAGAGTGCAGCAGAAGTGTCTAAATAAGTCTGCAAAGGTTTTTAAATGAATTTCAATTATTTAACAATCCCCCAGTAACATTTAATGTTAAAGCCTTTATAATGCTTTTTTATTATAAAGTACATGTAAATACATTTTAGAAATCTTAACATCACATTTGAAACTCTAGTGGATGCTTTTTGTGGGGACCCTAGAGGAAACTGGTCCCCTCTCATCTTCCCTTCAGAATTCCTTTCATCCCCGACAGGCGGCCATGTTGTATGGGCCCCGAGAGCCCCGAGTTTCAAGGACATCCTGTCTTCTCCTTATGCAGCTCTCAATGCTTTTATTTCATGGAGCTCTCCTCCTATAACTCTTACCCATTAGTCTAACTCTGCCCTAAGAACAAATAAAGAAAAGTCTTCTCCTTCAAGTAATTCCAAATAGCTACCTTCCCAAGATTTCTCTCCCCTCATATAAATATATTAATTCAAAGTGTAATGACCAGGCCGGGGGCAGTGGCTCAGACCTGTAATCCAAGCACTTTGGGAGGCGGAGGCAGGCGGAGTTAACTTCCTCAGAACCCTAAGCCTTTGACTGCCCTAGGAGTTTGAGACCAGCCTGAACGACAGAGCAAAACCCCGTTTCTATAAAAATTAGCCAGACATGGTGATGCGCACCTGTAGTGCCAGCTCCCTGTGGGGAGGCTCAAGTGGGAGGATCCCTTGAGTCCAGGAGGTAGAGGCTGCAGTGAGCCATAATCATGCCACTGCACTCCGGCCTGGGCAACAGAGTGAGACCCTGTCTCTAAAAAAACAAATAAACAAAAAAAGCGTAATGGCCACACCGAAAAACAGTCATTAGCTTAAAATATGAACCTCTCAAGAAAACAAAGGGTTCCAGATGTAGGGAGGCAAATATAAAGCCTAATTAGCTTATAATAGTCCTCCATTTTGTCTACTTCTATTAATTCTTTTTGCTTTGTTCTTAAAAACCACCTCGACAGTGTACGGAGCTCTGCTGGGTCTGCTCCTCCCTGTCTCCTCAGCTGTCTTCTGCTTCCTCCTCCTCCACTTGAGCTGCCCTGGGCTCCTTTAACTTCCTCAGAACACTAAGCATCTGAGTGCCCCAGGGCGTTCTGCACTGTTGTTTCTTCTTCCTGGAAGGTTACTCCTTCCCCTCTTCGCCTGGATGGCTCCCAATCACCCCTGACACTCCCTTGAGCTAAATTAGGTCACCCTGTTCTCACAGAACTCTATTTTTATGTCACATAAAAAAATCCTAATTAGTCAACTACTTAGATGAAGACAGATTTTACTCCTTGTTATGTATTGAATTGTGTCCTCCATCCAGAAAAATATGCTGAAGTCCTAAAACCTGGTACCTTATTTGGTGACCTTACTGGGAAACAGGGTCTTTGCAGGCGTTATCAAGTTAAGTCACTAATCCAGTAACACTGGTGTCCTTATAAGAAGAAGAAAATGCCATGTGAGACACACGAAGAATGCCATGTGATGACAGAGGCAGAAATTACAGTGACGCAGCTGTGAGCCAAGTAACGCCAAAGATGGATGGCCACAACCAGAAGCTAGAAGAGGCAAGGAATGACCCTCCCCTGCAGGTTTCAGAAGGAGCACAGACAGTCCAGCTGCCACCTTGATTTTGGACTTCAAGTTTCCAGAACTGTAAGACAAACTATTTGTTATTTTAAGCTACCCAGTTTGTGGTACCTTTGAATGGCAACCCTACGAAATTAATATATTCCTTTAGATTACACGTTTCTTGAAATCGAGGTCTATATTTATTCATTTGTCACATCCCCAGTGTTTTCCCAGTGACTGAAACATGGATAGGAGTAAACATTTGTCCAATGAATGAATGAGGGAGTGAATGATTTATATTTGGTTTGTAGTCGGCTAAAACCCTCATGTCTTTTTTCTCAAATATTTCTATATAGCGTGGTCCTCTTGGTTCCATTTTGCTACACTGATTATTTTAAAACCTAAATTCAGCATTTTAAGTTTCATATTATTTGAGGTCATGTTATAACACAAGTCTGTCAATCATGCATTAAGTACCCTACCTACCTGTGTATCACTGCAAATTTGAAAAGCAGGTCTTCTATGTTAATCCAAATGAATGATTTTTAAAAGTTAAACCTGACAGAGCCAAGGGCAGAGTACCATGGCATGCCACCAAGATGTCCCTTCAGGATGATACTGACCCATTGATCAACACTCTGGTATTATCATGCAACCAACTGGAAATCCACATTTCTCTCGAACTTATCCCCAGGTTATCACAATATATTAAGTGCTTTGCTGAAATCCTAATACATTATGTTGAAACTTTCCAAATTCGCCAGTGTAATAATCGTGGAGAAAGAGGGCATGCAGTTCGTTAGGCATAACGTGTTCTTAGTGAACTCATGATGCTTTCTGGAGATCAGCTACTTCTCTTCCAACTAGATACCACACGCTGCTGAAATTTTTCTGATGGATGGTCTTCAGCTCCCTGATCCATGGTTTCCAGCATCTACATTGGCTTCCAGTTTGAAAATAAAGGTGACTACCTCTTTCCTTTCTTCTTCTCTCTTCCTCATACTTCAGGGCACCTCCAAGATGATCTCTACTCACTCCACACACACACATCTAAAAATTCCTCCAACATCATGAGATGTAATTCATCCAGACCTGAAATTGTGAACTAGTTTTAACAGTGAGGTTCTCTCTCACCAACTCGGGCTTCAGGTCCTTTTCCATCATGCGTCCTGTCCTCCTAGTCAGGTGGCCCTTCTTTGTGTAAAGACAAAAGCAAAATAGAGATTTAGGAGCTCTGCTTCCCTGTCATCTGCTGCCACCATACCAGGCCTCTCCTTTCTTGTTCGCCTTCCTATTTTACAAGCTTCCAATCAACCATTTCTTTGCCATTTTTCACAAACCCATACTTTTTACTTTATTCTTCCACCTTTTAAATCTGAATCCCTCAAATGAATTCCCATGGCAGCTACAATGAAACCTTCTGGTATCCTCCCCTCTTGTTCCTAACTCAGAGCATTCGTTATCAGACTAGGATTTTGATTGTATTTGTCTTTTCTTCTTGCCAAAAAGCATCACCTTTTAGGGTTACAGTCCATAGAATTATCTTCATATTTTCTCTGGGTATTTAGAAATCTGCTTTTTAAAAATCTAGGGTATAGAGATTGAGTCCACTAGCTAGTCATGAGGGAATGTTCTAAGGTATATGCAAATTACTTCCCCATCATGAAAAAAGACAAACATTCTATGAATACTACCAAAAAGTAAAGCTTGTGTAAATTTTTTGAACTTCCCAAACTCTCAGTACTCAGCCTCCCTATTTCATGTATCTTACATCACCAAAGACCAAGTTTGTTTAAGAATCCTTCACTGGAAGGTTTCAGCAAATCCCGCTTGCAGGAATGTGCTGGTTTGCAAGCAACAGAACAGTATTTCATCATCTACCTCTCTAGCACCATCCAGTTGCTTAATGTACCCTGAGTGCAAACTCATACACAGCCAATCACTGTTGAGGCATGTAGGATTCTACCATGATAATTTAAAAGTAACCAGTTCATTGTCAAATTAAAACCCTAGCAAACAAATCCTCCCGGATTATCACCTGCACCTCCCTCAGGACTCGCCACTCCTACTGTTCATACACCCAAACCCGTATCTGTATAGTGTCCTTTTTCTAGGACATCTTGCTGTGAATGCAAAGATAACTTGTTGAGAAATAAAAAGAAAATGGGACAAATACTAATAATTGCCACTGTGATTTTTGGCCACTTTCTTGTTTCAGATTCTAGAGCTTGTTTCTTATTGCATATATTTAAGGTCTACATCATGATGTTTTAATATACATAGTGAAATGGTTATGACAGGCAAGCAAATTAGCATATCCATCTGATCACGGTTATCCCCTTTTTTAAAAATAAGACTTCTAAATACTCTATTTTCTTCAAGTAGAGGAATACTCATAATGAAGATAGGCCTTCTAATGAGGGAGAAGAAGAGCCCAGCATCTCTAAGACACCCAGAAAGAAACCCATTATTCAACTTAAGAAGTCAAGGCAAACTAATCTGGTGGGCTGAAAGGATCCTTTTAATAGATAGGATGTGATGTAGAGAATGGGGGGAATATGTGGAAAAATGGTTCTGTGTTAGATTACAACTCTGTCTAGATGCAGGGAGAGAGCTGAGCTCTGAGTCATCCCTGACCCTTGCCCCAGTCAAAAATTTTTGGTAATTTCTCCACTTCCAAAAGTTAAAGTGCTATCACTATAAGCAGCAAGTGAGCACAGGGAAATTCATCAAGTATGCTAAGAACTTGCTCCTGATTGCACACTGGCTCTGTATGTTAATCCCTGCTACAAACAAGCTAAAAAAAAAAAATCAGGATTAGATGCGGAAGTCACAACTATGTACATAAATACATAAGTTCTTCAGCGGTGATTTCAGGTGCACCCATCACCCGAGCAGTGTACCCTGTACCCAGTGTGTAGTCTTTTATCCCTCACCATCCCCAACCCTTTCCCCTGATTCCCCAAAGTCCAGTGTATCATTCTTATGCCTTTGTGTCCTCATAGCTTAGCTCCCACATGTGACTGAGAACATAACAATGTTTGGGTTTCCATTCCTGAGTTACTTCACTTAGAATGATAGTATCCAATTCCATCCAGGTTGCTGCAAATACCATTATTTCATTCCTGTTTATGGCTGAGTAGTATTCCATGGTGTGTGTGTGTGTGTGTGTGTGTGTGTGTGTGTGTACACACACACACACATATATGTATATCTCACATTTTCTTTCTATACTTGTTGATTGATGGGATTTTTGAGCTGATTCCACATTTTTGCAATTGCAAATTGTGCTACTATAAACATGCATGTGCAAGTATCTTTTTCATATAATGACTTCTTTTTCCTTTGGTAGATACCTAGTAGTGGGACTGCTGGATCAAATGGTAGTTCTACTTTTAATTCTTTAAGGAATCTCCACACTGTTTTCCATAGTGGTTGTACTAGTTTACATTCCCACCAACAGTGTAAAAGTATTCCCCTTTCACCGCATCCATGCCAACATCTATTCTTTTTTGATTTCTTGATTATGGCCATTCTTGCAGGAGTGAGGTGGTATTGCATTATGGTTTTTGATTTGCATTTCCCTGATAATTAGTGATGTTGAACATTTTTCCATATGCTTGTTGGCCATTATTTTATCTTCTTTTGAGAATTGTCTATTCATGTCCTTAGCCTACTTTTTCATTTTTTTTTCTTGCTGATTTGTTTGAGTTCTTTGTAGATTCTGGATATTAGTCCTTTGTCAGATGTATAGACTGTGAAAGTTTTCTCCCATTCTGTGGGTTGTCTGTTAATTCTGCTGATTATTTCTTTTGCTGTGGAGAAGCTTTTTAGTTTAATTAAGTCCATCTAGTTATCTTTGTTTTTGCTGCATTTGCTTTTGGGTTCTTGGTCATGAACTCTTTGCCTAAGCCAATGTCTAGAAGGGTTTTCCCAATGTTATCTTCTAGAACTTTTATGATTTCAGGTCTTAGATTTATGTCTTTGATCCATCTTGAGCTAATTTTTGTATAAGTTGAGAGATGAGGATCCAGTTTCATTCTTCTACATGTGGCTAGCCAATAATCCCATCACCATTTGCTGAAAAGGGTGTTCTTTCCCCACTTTATGCCATGTTTGCTTTGTTGAAGATTAGTTGGCTGTAAATATTTGGGTTTATTTCTAGGTTCTCTATTCTGTTCCACTGGTCTGTGTGCTATTCTTATACCAATACCATGCTGTTTTGGTGACTATGGCCTTATGGTATAGTTTGAAATCAGGTAATATGATGCCTCCAGATTTGTTCTTTTTGCTTACTCTTGCTTTAGCTATGTGGGCTCTTTTTTGGTTCTATTAGGATTGTTTTTCCTAGTTCTGTGAAGAATGATGGTGGTATTTTGATGGGAGTTGCACTGAATTTGTAGATTACTTTTGGCCGTATGGTCATTTTCTTTCCTTTTTTCTCCCTCCTTTTTTTTAAATTTATGTTCCAGGATACATGTGCAGAACATGCAGGTTTGTTACATGGGTATACATGTGCCACAGTGGTTTGCTGCACCTCTTAACCCATCATCTAGGTTTATATTTTTATTTTTTGATACAGGGTCTCCCTCTGTCACCCTGGCTGGAGTGCAGTGGTGTGATCATGGGTCACTGTAGCCTTGACTTCTTGGGCTCAAGCAATCCTCCCACTTCAGCCTCCCAAGTAGCTGGGATACGGGGGCACCCTCCATGCCCAGCTAATATTTTTATTTTTTTATAGAGGTAGGGTGTCACTGTGTTGCCCAGGCTGGTCCCAAACTCCTGGGCTCAAGCGATCCTCATATCTCAGCTTCCCAAAGTGTTGAGATGACAGGGATGAGCCACTGTACCCAGCCAACCCCTCTTTTAAAAAATGTACTTCCTAGAAGTCACAAAGGAAGCTTTCCCTCACTAGCTATTAGCTAGAATTTGACCCTAGTATGCTTCAGGGGAGACACAGGACCTAGTCTTTATTTCAGGTGCTCTTGTAGATGCCCAGCTAAAAACTGGGAAGCAGATGTTGAGGACAAGCAGCATCCCCTGTTACATTGTCTGAGAAAATGTGATAAAATATAGTAAGAATCCTCCCCAGTCTCTGTCCCCAGGTACTTATCAGGGTGGTACAAACAAGCGCACAATCTACTCAAGCCCCGGATGCAGGTTCAGTCCTGCTTCTTGTAGTCAGCATGGCCAAGTTGACATGATTTGGCTGTGTCCCCACCCAAATCTCATCTTGAATTGTAGCTCCCATAATTCCTATGTGTTGTGGGAGGGACCTAGTGGGAGACAACTGAATCATGGGGCTAGTTTCCCCCACACTGTTCTCATGGTAGTTAATAAGTCTCACGAGATTTGATGGTTTTATAAGGGGATACCCCTTTTACTTGGTTCTCATTCTCTCCTGTCTGCCACCCTGTAAGACGTGACTTTTGCCATCTGCCATGATTGTGAGGGCACCCCAGCCATGTGGAACTGTGAGTCCATTAAACTTTTTTAAAATAAATTATCCAATCTTGGGTACGTCTTTATCAGCAGCGTGAAAACAAACTAATGCATGCATACAGCCTGGGTCATTTTCCTCCTCTTACCTAGGAGGCTCTGTTGCCAGGCAGCCACTACAGTCATTAAGGACACAGTCTCAGTAAGATTCTGTAGCCTCTGTTAAAAGAACTTTCCAAACACAATTTCTTTAAGCACTGGCCACTGGGTAACAGCTCCCTGTGGAAGTGGCTTGACAGAAAACTTTAAACAGGGAAACAAGGGCATGAAGAAACTTGCTTCCACATTTGGGTTTGATTTCTTCCTTTTGCAGCTGGCTGTATGCTAGCAATGCATAATTCTGGGCACGGACACAAGACCTGGGTTTTCAAGGCTTCGGCTCTTGAGATTTCCTCCTTGGCCAAGCATACCGCAGCACCCCATGCTAATGAGAGGCTTGCTGCCAGAAAGCTGAAAAGAGGCCACAGCCCAGCGCCACGTCTCCCTGTGAAGAGTCCCTGTCTCTGGGGCTACTGGCTCCTGCCACGGCTGTCTTCACTGGGTGGTCTGATCCAGGATGGAATTCCAGAAGCACTTGATGGATGGCAGACAGGGATGAGTGTGAATGAAACATCAGAACTCCCTCAGTGTAATTCCTTAACCAAGACGTTTACAGAAATTAATGAGACAGACAGTGTGCCTAGAATTAAGTATCAAGGAAATATCAGAATCCTGCCAAATTCATCTGACGTAAATTCTTACAATCCTACACTCTGTCCTCTTGCCACCAATTCCGAAGAACCAACATAGGCCATTTACGAGGTTTTTTGTCTGTGGGGAAAACACAAAGTATACCAAGCATTGCCTAAGCTCTACAAGTATTTCCCTTCATTTTGTTGAAATATAAACATTTATTTGACCTCCCTCTATCAAAATATACAATTTCATATTTTAAATGTATTCTTTTTAGAAAGCAAGTATCCTAAAATGGCTCAAGGACTACCAAAAAAAATAGTAGAAGAAAATGTAGTTACCTTACATATATTAGCCTAATCAATAATACCAACAAATCAGCAAGAGTAACTATCATTATGGTACTATGTGTTTTCTTTCTAAAGGAAATCTCATCTAAAAAATACTAAGCCTGAAACAGGCTTATATAAGGTCATTTCCGTAACATGTATCTTAGCTGTAGGTTAAAAATCTAAATAACTTTAAAGCAATTAACAGAACTGATTTGCTTTTAAGACACTTAAATATCTTTTTTCTTCAGTATTGTGTGGTCACAAATCAATACTGGAGTACAAAATAAACATGCTGCTCTATTTAAAAATATCCTCTGCTTAAGCTCATCTCTACTTACAGATACCCTTTTATTCCTCTCAAGGTCCTTCTCATCTCCCATCTCCTCCTTGAAACTTTTTTGTAATGAAAGTAAATTTCTGTTTGGAAAAGTACTCCTTTTTTTTTTTTTTTTTTTTTTTTTTTTTAAAGACAGAGTCTCACTCTGTTGCCCAGGCTGGAGTGCAGTGGTGTCATCTCGGCTCACTGCAACCTTCACCTCCCAGGTTCAAGCAATTCTCGTGCCTCAATCTCCCAAGTGGCTGGGATTACAGACGTGTGCCACCACACTCGGCTAATTTTTGTATTTTTAGTAGAAATGCGGTTTCACCATGCTGGCCAGGCTGGTCTCAAATTCCCAACCTCGGGTGATCCGCCCACCTCGGCCTCCCAAAGTGCTGAGATTACAGGCATGAGCCACTGCACCCAGCCATGATATTTTTTATAAAAGGATGTGTGCGTGTGTGTGCATTTTATGTATATATACACATACACCACATACACAAATATTCTCATGAACCCCTATGCTTCAGATAACTGTCTTAAAATATAGTTGGAACATATGTCACAATAAAAAAGTTTCTCCCTTTAATAATTCTTTCCTAAAACATGTTTGCAATTGGTTACACATAACCTATGTTTCAAGATTTAAGATGCTTTTATCACTTATTGAAATCTCAAAATGCCCCAAATTCTACAATCAGTACCAAACAGCATTCAAAACTAACTATAATATAGCTTTAACATATATGTTTCACTCTGATCATCACTAATTCTTTCTCACAGAAAACTCTTCTTTTCCCAAGTCATTGTTGGGGAATAAGATGTTTCAATCAATCAGATGGTCTACTGGTAGACAACAAAAATGAATCCATTCCCAGGGTTCACAGAAGAAGAAGCAGGGTGCTCTCCTTGGATCACTCTAGAAGGTTTTATGGAGGAGACATCATAAAGAATATTTTAGGCAATCAGAAGTCTGCTTGGCAAGATGAATGTGAATATTTAGGAACCTGGCCACCTTTATTCAGAAGCCCCAAAGAAACTTTCATCCTCTTTAGGTAAGTGACCCTGAAGTAAACAAAGGAGATGATGATATGGCATGGAGAAAAGTTAGAGAAAAAGTGTGAAGGGTTTGAAGCAAAGACTAGGGAGCCACAGGCAATGAGAAACAAGCACCTAACTATATGGCAAGGTCATAGTGAAAAGAACCCAATACTCCACAGCCTCAGTGAAGGCTGACCCGGAGGGACAGGGCCAAAGGGAACAGGATTCAGATACAGGAAGCTCACAATTAGCCTAGGAAGAGAAAATGGCGACAGAAATATGGACGAAGATAGAGATTCTCATCACTGTTGCTTAAAAAGAATTCAATCATCAATTTATAATTTCAGAAGAGTTCTGATAAGTTCCTGGAATGAGACATGCTCCTAAAATATACTACCATCACTATAACTTACTTCTGCTGCTACTACTGAGAGCTAACATTTATCAAGCACGTACTATGTTTTAGGAACTAGGCTAAGTGTATTACATATATAAACCTAACTGAATTACCTATCAACCCTATGAGGTAAGTGCTTTTATTATCTCTAGTTTATAGGTGAGAAAACCAATGCTTAAAGAGGTTAAGTACTAGCTGCTTGTTACAAACAAAATATTTGTGTTCCCCCAAAATTCCTATGAAGTTCTGACCTGCAATGTGATAGTATTTGGAGGTAGGGCCTTTAGAAGGTAATTAGGGCTAGATGAGATCATGTGGGTGGGGCACCCATGATGGAATTAGTGTCCTTATAAAAAGAGGAAGAGCTGGTGTTCTCTCTCTACCAACTGAGGACACAGGGAGAAGGCTGCCGTCTGCAGGCCAGGAAAAGAGCCCTCCCCAGAGCTCAACCATGCTGGCACCATAATCTCAACTCCTAGCCTCCAGAAGTATGAAAAATAAATGTCTGTTGTTTAAGCCCCCAGTCTATGGTATTTTACTATGACAGCTCAAGCAGACTAAGATGCTAGTACAGATCAATGTCAGGACAATGTCAGACAAAATCAAGTCTGTCTGACTCTCCATAAATGAATATAATATAATGATTAGCATTTCAGAAGCAATGTAATGAAGCTTTGCAATTAAAAAATAAAGCTTCTTTGTTTGTCTTTTGCTAATGGTTTTGTTTTGTTGTGGCCACTGAAGTTTCTGATTAGTTTGCACCATCTAAAGAGACAAACACGAAGTTTACATTTTTCCAGAGCTCAGAATTTCCCATGATGAACACTAGGCTGAGGAAGGAGAGTGCTCTGATGAGCAAAGTGTTAACTGCCACATCCCAGAAAGTGAAGCACAGGCAGCTCCTACCAATAAATAGTCCAGTTATGAAGTACACATTCTAAACTGAGATGAAACACTATTCCAGAATATGCCTTAAGGAAAGAAACTTGTCACCACGGCTTGGTGAAAAGCCAATGTTAGCTGATGATGACATCATCTAGCTTAATATAGCACACTGAAGAGAAACTCAGAATCGATGGAGTTGCAGAATATTGTTTCCTTTACTTTTGGATGTTGTGCAAAAAAAAAAAAGAAAGAAAAGAAAAATGAATAAATATTTGAGACTATCATATGGGGAGAAAAAGTAATTCAAAGGAAAGGGGATTCCATTTTTAAGCAAGGCCACTGTACCCCAGACTTTGATATATAAAAATAAAAATTAATAATAGAGACGATTCATTGCTTTCCTATTATGTCTTGGGCTCTTGACTTACTTTATTTAACCCTCACAACCACCTCAGGAGAAATGTCCTATCTTTGCATGATGAAACTAAGGCTCAGAGATGTTAAGAAACTTTTCAAAGTCACAGAGCTGGATTTGAACCTAAGGTCTGTGTGGCTCCAAACTCCATGCCCTCTCTTCCATGCTGCATAACCCAGAAGCAGTGAGAAACAGAATGCTAGCAGTTCCCAGGCTCTCGGCAGCCCCCTAACACTCCGCTGATGAAAGAAAATTTGAAGGTCATCAAGATGTTACCAAAAATATATTTGAAAGACTTCAGAATTGTAAAACTTCATCTCCAATAGATTTTAACTTTTCAAATTCATGAACTATTACTGCCTTAAAACTGAAAATGTAATAGTTATTAAAGGTAAGCAATACGGGAAAATCAATGTTTAAGAACAAAGAAAGATACTAGATAAGCATCAGGACTTAAGTCTGTATTAAAAATTCCAACACACATTAAAACTTATACCTCTAAGCTAGAAAAATCTCCCATGATTTAATAGAAGAAGGTTACCTACAATAAGCAGCTGAAGATTTTCACGGCCTTCACCAAAACATGTAACATTTTCTAGTACACTTGTGTGCATTTTACAATTTATCCAGTTCATTTCTAACCCATCTCTGGGCTTCTCAATCTCTAATATTCTTGATTCTCTTCATATTCTTGAATTCAAAACACATTTCAGAACAAGCAAAGTCTTCTGGCCCTACAAATCACATCTTTTGTGGTTTCATTTTGCCTGGATTTTATTTCGAATGACCTCTGATAATATCAGGAACCTCTTCCTTCTATTGCCAAGTTTTTGTTTGGTCTCATTTTGTGCCTAGAAATAAATGAGTATAAGTCAGTTAAAGTCAACATTATTTTCTTAATCCATGCAAGGAATGTGTGTTTAAAGTGATGCAAAGGGGGAGTGAGCAGAGATATTGGATCCATATTTAATACATCATTTGAACTTTTCGTATAGAATTCCCACCTTAATGCCTTAACAGCACAAGCCTGCTTCTGCAACTTTTCTGTCCCCTATTTCAAAGTCCTCTTCAGTGTTGATTGTGGGGACAGGGACTAAGCCACAACATGAACCCTCAGTGTACCATGCATGAAGACAGGGATTTGTTTGACTGCTCTGTTCACTGGTTTATCCCAAATACCTAGAGTGCTTGGCACATGGCAGATACTCAAATATTTCCTGAATCAATGGATACTTGGCATCCATGTTTTTCTTGAATGCTTAAACCATCTTTTTCTTAAGTGCTGACCAGTTAAGTTCAGTGAAGAGTCAACTGGATGGGGTGAGGGGTCTGGGAGACCATGTCATCACTTAAAGAGCAATGAAAGAAACTGCAGGTGTTCAGGTACAATAAGCAAGGGTACAGCTGTGGCCCAAAGAGGGAAGAAGCCCTGAGCTAGCTAATAATCTCTACGAGTTACCACCCATGTGTCTTTGGACAAGTCACTGGCATCTCGGTCTTCTCATCTTTAAAACAGACAACACATAGGCCAGGTGCGGTGGCTCACGCCTGTCATCCCAGCTCTTTGGGTGGCCAAGGTGGGTGCATCACCTGAGGTCAGGAGCTTGACAACAGCCTGGCCAACATGGCAAAACCCTGTCTCTGCTAAAAGTACAAAAATTAGCCGGGTGTGGTGGTGCACCTGTAATCCCAGCTACTTGGGAGGCTGAGGCAGGATAATCGCTTGAGACTGGAAGGCGGAGGTTGCAGTGAGCCGAGATCTTGCCACTGCACTCCAGCCTGGGCGACAGAGCGAGATTCCATCTCAAAAAAAAAATTAATTAATTAATTAATTAAATAAATAAAATAAAACAGTTATAGAACTATCGTAAGGAGTAAGTGGACAAGCAAAGTGTCTGACAAATAGCAAAAAGTTTTAGAATCACGAATAGGTATTATTGCTATATTTAGTTTCTTTTCATTCTTAGGGAAAAAGACATAGAAAAGAGATGATAACTTTCTTTAAATACATGAATGGCAAGATGTAGGAAGGCAATGATCCTATGTATTTACTTCAGAAGACAGAACTACTAATAAAGGATATCATATAAAAAGAGTAAGGCATTGATCCAATAAAATGCAAATCTCCCTAATAAAAAGTGTTCCTACCCATAAGAAGCTGCCACCACTAAAGCTATCAGATGTCTGTCATTACTTAAAACAGAGGACAGTTGATTGAGGAATTTTGTGGAACAGTTTTAGTTAGAAGGGTATTAGACAAGGTTATCTGCCAACTCAGATTCTAAGATTTAATGATAGGATTTTTATTTTGTGGCTGAAAAGTAAGGCTTAGCCCATGGTTCTCTGTACTGTATAAACCAATAGTCAGATATGGGTAGGTACATTACAGCAAAGCACACATTGCCAAAAACCCGCCACCCCACTCAACATCCCCATCCTTCAGAAAAATGGCAATCAGGCAGGGCACAGTGGCTCACGCCTGTAATCCCAGCAGTATGGGAGGTCAGGCAGGCAGATCACGAGGTCAGGAGATCAAAACCATCCTGGCCAACATGGTGAAACCCCATCTCTACTAAAAATACAAAAATTAGCTGGGTGTGGTGGCATGTGCCTGTAATCCCAGCTACTCAGGAGGCTGAGGCAGGAGAATCGCTTGAACCTGGGAGGTGGAGGTTGCAGTGAGCCGAGATTGCGACACTGCACTCCAGTCTGGAGACAGGGCAAGACTCCATCTTAAAAAAAAAAAAAAAGAAAAAGATGTGGCAATCAAAGGCAATCAAATAAATTCACAGGGACTAAAAAATTAAAAACCACAAGCTATGTCCTCATTATTGATGACTTTGGAAAAGTACCGGGTGTATCACACCATTACATACTGACTATTTAGATCAAATAAATATTGAGTTGGTAAACGTTTCTTAAGTTTAAAGGTTCATCTGATGCAACAAATCTTTTTTCAGTGTTAGCAACTATAAAGTCCCTCCCCTTTTCCTGGTACCCTTGCATGGAATATTTAATTCAGCATAGTAGGCACTGCCTTTACCAATATAGCTCTACCCATGTATGTACTCATTACATAAAACAATTTCCTACAAGATCAGAAATGAAACGCTGTTTTATCCACTTGGCCCAGACAATAACAGTATCAAATACCAGAAATATTCATATTCTAAACTAAGAGAAGATTTTATCTTTCTCATTTCAGTAAAACTTATCACAGGGTCTCCACTGCCTTTATGCTCATTACTGCTATGATTCTGAGACTTCAGGTAGTTGTAACTCATAAACTTGAACAAGTAGAATCTGCTTAGGAATGAGGCCTTTATTGAACATTTCTATAAGACATCATCTTTGGCTGAATCAAATGATAGTAAAGCTAGCCTAAGAAATGACTGTGGAATCTAAGAAGCAAGGCAAGGACCTTCTACCAAGCAAAATTGAGTTTCTGTGCTACTCAGAACAGCTATAAAAGGGAAACCTGAACAACTTACATTTTTAAGTTATTCTAGAATTAGCTTCCAGGGTCAACCTCCACCAACGGCTGCTGTGCATTTCCCCATCTCTTTCTTTCTAGATATATTTTTGAGAAGGGAAAATATTGCATTATATGCCATTGTATTCTCACGTATTTAAAGAAATCTAAAATAAAAACACGGGTTTTCTGGGCTCATTCTACTTCTATTCTTCCCACAATGTCAGGGACTCTGCAGGGTTCTCTATAAATGTTGGATCAATCACTGCTCCCAACTCAAATGCGTGTTTTGGGACACACTGTATTTTTTTTTTAATTGATTCCTCTTTGGTTTAACACAGTTTGCCACCACCCCTTTCTATTTTGCACTAGCCTGTTTCATTCATGTCTGTTACTTACCTGGATCCAGGGAATTGGGATGAAATTGCTGAGAGACTCTGTGGGGTCAAGGAAGCCTCACTAATGTGCCGAGGTGTTTTTACTCCCAATAAGGGCTGACCATATACCCTTGTAGAGAAGAACTAAGACTATTACGGGTCAGTGATATTTACATGCTATTTGCAGTTCAAATTTACCCAGATTATTTTTAAATCCCTGCCATTATACACATGAATATAGAATATAACTGATCCTCAGAATAAATAGAACTTGATTGCTACTTTTTTAGAGGTAGAAATGTTGAGCAGGATGACAGGTTTTTGGCAATATGTGCTCTGGTGTAATCCACTTACCTATAACTTAATCTGAGAATGAACGAAACTTTCCCTCTTAGCGCTGTTGTAAGTGGGACAAAAAGTCAATTTTGCTTGGTCAAATGTCCTTGCCTCGCTTCTTAGATTCCACAGTTATTTCTTAGGCTAGCTTCACTATCATTTGATTCTGCCAAAAATGATGTCTTGTAAAAATGATCAATTAAGGCCTCATCTCAGCAGATTCTACTTGTTCAACTTTATGAATCACAACTACCTCAAATCTGAGAACCACAACAGTGATAAAGATAAAGGCAATGGAGATCCTGTGATAAGCTTTACTGAAATGAGAAAAATAAAATCTTCTCTTTTAAAATAAATGGAACTTTTTCTATCTTTTAAAATCATGGAAACAAACCAGGCAGGTTTTAAACTTCCTTTTGTGTGAATGGAGGTAAAAGTGGATGATTCTGGTTTTTGTTTCAGTTTAGAGCAAACTTATAATTATAAAAACCCTTCAGACTTCAGTATCCCTTAGGATGACTACTACAAAAAGAAAAAAAACCCAGAAAATAACATGTATTGATGAGGATATGCAGAAATTGGGATCCTTGTGTCCACGGTAATGTAAAATAGCCACTGCTGTGGGGAACAATATGGCAGCTCCTCAAAAAACTAAAAACAGAATTAATATATGATCCAGCAATTCTACTACTGGTTATATGACCAAAAAAACTGAAAGCAGGGTCTTGAAGAGATATTTGCACAGCCACGTTCACAGCAGCATCGTTCATGAAAGCAATCACAAAAGGCATTCTACAAAACGGTGGAAGCAACCCAAGTGTCTATCATGGAGAAATGGACTAATAAAATGTGCTTTATACATACAATGGACTATTATTCAGCCTTAAAATAGACGGAAATTCTGACACATGCTGCAACACGGATGAACCTCGAGAACATCATGTTCAGTGAAATAATCCAGCCACAAAAAGGCAAAACACTGTCTGATTCCACATGTATAAAGTTCCTAGAGCAGTCAAATTCACAGAGACAGAAAGTAGAATGGTGGTTGGCCAGGGCGGAAGGGAAGGGGAAACGGGAAACTGATTAAACGGTACAGAGTTTCAGTTTTGCAAAATTAAAAAGTTCTAGAAATCTGTTGTACAACGATGTGAATGCATTTAATGCTACTGAACCCTTGGCTAAGATGGTAAATTTTGTGTTATGTCTACTAACTGCGATTTTAAATATAGGGGGAAAAAAACCCACCATGAGGGATAAGAAAGGTTATATATTTTTCACTCCACTCCACTTGGGGTTCTATGTGTTTGTTTGTTTTGGGATGGAGTCTCGCTCTGTCACCTAGGCTGGAGCGCAGTAGCACGATCTTGCCTCAGTGCAATCTCCACCTCCCTGGTTCAAGCGATTCTCCTGCCTCAGCCTCCCAAGTAGCTGGCATTACAGACACGCGCCACCATGCCCAGCTAATTTTTGTATTTTTAGCAGACATAGGGCTTCACCATGTTGGTCAAGCTGGTCTTAAACTCCTGACCTCAGGTGATCCACCCTCCTTGGCCTCCCAAAGTGCTAGGATTACAGGGGTGAGCTGTGCCTGGCCTAGGGTTCTGTTTTAATGATGGATTTTGGACTGTGTGTCTCCAGGGCCTTGAAAAAAAGCCATATCTTTTGTTACTCTACTCCACATAGAGAGACAGAGAAACACGAATTAAAGCCTGACATACGATATACGTTCTAAGAGCTCACAGGACATCCATGTCCTTTTTGTGTATGTCTCTACCTAAGTACAAAGAGAAGTTCTGTGCTCCAGAAGCATTCCATAGCCACTGAACAACTATGTCTTAAAAGAAGAAAAAGGAAACTTTAGAATTTATCTTCAGCCAAGTACGCCAAAGATTTCCAAATGAGATTATTTTCTTACAGAACGACAGATCATGTTGTGAAATCACAACATAGTTCCATAGTGTCAGTGTGTTAGGAGGTGGGGTATAGAAAGAACATAAATTTTGGTGGCCAGCCCTAGCATGGGTTCCAGCCCTCTAAATTTTAACTTTCAGAGTCTAAATTTTAAATGGAAAATTTTTTCAAGTGGGAAGGTTTTTGTTTAGAATTGTAAAGCCCCCAGTTTATTAGCTTCTAACAGTAATTATAAAATGATTATTATCCTTGAAAAACGTCACCTTCAGTTATTTCTGCCAGTAGCTTTTTTAAAGTATAGTCAATATGTTAATGTATAATGTTTAATGGTTTAGCGATAGATTATATTACTTGAATAAGAACTGAACTGACTGAATTCTATCTATTCTGTGAATAATTTGTACAACAAATGTAATAACAGGATGTCAAAAACCAGTAACTGTATTAGTCTAATTCAAATCAAGCACTGAGCCCTCCCTAGCTCCATTTAAAAACTTGTGAAACAATGACTACACAACCAACGACTGAGAAAGAGGAAAAGTACTTAGGGTTCTTCTGATTCTTTAACAACTCCTCCCTCTTCCTAGGCACTGAAATAAAAGTGCTGGAAACATCAACGCTGCAGGACTAGGGATGAAGAAGTTAAGGAGAAAATGCTTAACTTTTTTCTATAGATTTTTTTTTTAATTTTACTTTAAGTTCCAGGATATAAGTGCAGAATGTGCAGCTTTGCTACGTAGGTATACGTGTGCCATGGTTTGCTGCACCTATCAACCTGCCATCTACGTTTTAAGCTCCGCATGCATTAGCTATTTGTGCTAATGCTCTCCCTCCCCTCGCCCCCAACTCCTCAACCGGCCCCAGTGTGTGTTATTCCCCTCCACGTATCCAAGTGTTCTCATTGTTCAACTCCGACTTATGAGTGAGAACATGTCCTGTTTGGTTTTCTGTTCCTGTATTAGTTTGCTGAGGATGATGGCTTCCAGCTTCATCCACGTTCCTGCAAAGGATATGATCGCATTCCTTTTTATGGCTGCATAGTATTCCATGGTGTATATGTGGCACATTTTCTTTATACAGTCTCTCACTGATGAGCATTGGGTTGGTTCCATGTCTTTGCTATTGTAAACAGTGCTGCAATAAACATGGGTTTGGATGTGTTTTCCTAGTAGAATGATTTCTATTCCTTTGGGTATATACCCCATGATGGGACTGCTGGGCCAAATGGTATTTCATTTCTGGCTCTAGATCCTTGAGGAATGGCCACACTGTCTTCCATCAAAAAGCGGGCAAAAGATATGAACAGACACTTATCAAAGGAAGACATTCATGCAGCCAACAAACATATGATAAAAAGCTCAACATCACTGATCATTAGAGAAATGCAAATCAAAACCACAATGAGATACCATATCACACCAGTCAGAATGGTGACTATTAACAAGTCAAGAAACAATAGATGCTGGCAAGGCTGTGGAGAAATAGGAACGCTTTTACACTGTTGGTGGGAATGTAAATTAGTTCAGCCATTGTGGACGACAGTGTGCCAATTCTACAGCTTTTTTTCCTAGTTATAGATATTCTCAACATTTTACTGTTTTTAAATACATAAGTATTGTCATTTATGTTATCAGTTAGGCAATTTTGACGTTTCTGCAGATACTTTCGTACACAAAAAAAGGCCAGCTCACTCTTTTATTATTATTATTATTATTATTATTTGTTTATTTTGAGACAGAGTCTTGCTCTGTCACCCAGGCTGGAGTGCAGCGGTGCTATCTTGGCTCACTGCAACCTCTGCCTCCCAGGTTCAAGCGATGCTCCTGCCTTGGCCCCCCAAGTAGCTGGGATTACAGTCGCCTGCTATCACGCCCGGCTAATTTTCGTACGTTTAGTAGAGACGTGGTTTCATCATGTTGTTCAGGCTGGTCTCAAACTCCTGATCTCAAGTGATCCACCTGCCTTGGCCTCCCAAAGTGCTGGGGTTACAGGCGTGAGCCACTGTACCGGGCTTCAATTCACTCTTACATAATGCACATACCAATGAAAAATAGGTAGATACAGTTCTGCTTGAAATGAAACACACAGGCTTCTTCCGAACCCAGAATTTCATGATTTACTAAAGCTATTCATACTGCATATCATGTCTTTAGAGACGTGGAAGATTCCATTCAGCAAATAATTTCAGTAGCTGTTTTAGTGAAATGAACACTGGAAAAAGATTACTTTTCTCTACCATAAAACATTGTTCTGCATACATCACTTTGTTGGAGGCGAAAAAATAAAAATAAAAATGATTGCACTCTTGTTTCTCTTTTTATTGTACTTAATAATAATAAAGAAATTGTTGGGCGTGGTGGCTCCCGCCTGTCTTCCCAGCACTTTGGGAGGCCAAGGCGGGTGGATTACTTGAGGTCAGGAGTTCGGGACCAGCCTAGCCATCACGATGAAACCCTGTCTCTACTAAAAATACAAAAATTAGCCAGGTGTGGTGGTGGGCACCTGTAAACCCAGCTACTTGGGAGGGTGAGGCAGAAGAATCTCTTGAACCAGGGAGGCGGAGGTTGCAATGAGCCAAGATCACACCACTGCACTCCAACGGGCGACAGAGCGAAACTCTGTCTCAAAAGAAGAAGAAGAAGAATAAGGAAATTATACTTAGTTCAATAAAATGAGCACTTTTCTTCCAATTCTTGAAAATAGCCTGAATTCTGATTCATGGATACAAAGTTAGATTTCAGATTATATAGTTCAACTTTACTGATTTCTCTGGTCCAATATGCAATGCATTAAAATGACATGATGAAGGAAAGGCCCATTCTTTAAACAGATGACTCGAACTTTCAATTACAGTTGGTACCAACAACTACAGCTGATGTCTACAGTCCCCACTCCTAGAGCTGCCTCCACTTTAGTAATATCATTCGCCTGCCTTACACCACCAGCATCTCCAACTTTCACCAACACACGCCACAGGAGCTCACCACCAAAAGGCGGCAACGATCAATCAACTGAAAGTAAAACAAAATTAAAAATAAAAATTCAACTCTACTAAATACTTCAAAAACTGAGAGAAATAATGTGGGTCCTCAGGGTTTTTAAAATCCTTATAAAAACTAATATATTAACATACTACCATTACTAGTGGTTCGGTGAGATAAATCAGGCTTTCAATCTTCAGCCACTTGACCAATTTATCTTTTTTATTATTTGTTTATTTTTATTTTTATTTTTTTTGAGACAGAGTCTTGCTCTGTCTCGCAGGCTGGAGTGGTCTCGCCTCACTGTAACCTCCATCTCCCAGGTTCAAATGATTCTCATACCGCAGCCTCCTGAGCAGATAGGATTACAGGTGCCCACCACCACACCCAGCTAATTTTTGTATTTTTAGTAGAGATGTGGTTTCGCCATGTTGGCCAGGCTGGTCTTGAACTCCTGATCTCAGGTGATCTGCCTGCCTTGGCCTCCCAAAGTGCTGGGATTACAGGCATGAGCCACTGTGCCCGGCTCAATTGATCATTTTTAAAAGTAGACAGGGCATCCAACAATACCTAGAGTTAGCAATGCAGGAAGAATACAAAAATATTTTACATAATTTATAAGAGTAACAATAAGGTTGTTTGTCCTTCACATTTCTCTTGTACTCTGTAGCAAAAAAGACCAGAATAATGTAAATATGTTATTCATTATTCAAAAAGTTCATGTGATCCATTTCAGTAGAGAAAAAATGCACTATCAACAGGAATTTTCTGCCAAGTCTGCTCTTTTTTTGTTTGGTTCACTGAACTAAGTGCAAACCATCTGTTATCTATGATAATCAGAAAAAGTAAAAAATTCAAATAGCTTTTTTTTTTAAAAAAAAAGAGAGCACAATAGCACTCCAAACAGAACATACTTGTTTAAAAGCACCATTTATGAGGTTGAAACCCTAATGACTTTAAAAGTCTTTTTATTTTTAGATTAAGACTATATTTTCCCATTTTCTGGTAAAAGTATGCCATTTAATAAACTTGTTCATATCATAAGAATGTCACTCTACGAAAATAGCTTATCCAAATATATTAATTTCCAAGAAATTTCAAAATCTAAAAACTTCCTTTTCCACTCTTCCTGTAACACTTATTTCTAAATGCACTTCATCAGCTTCAAATATCTCTTTGAAAAATAATTTAATAGCTCATCATGAAATCTTTAGGGCATATTTCTATTACATGTTATTGTTAAATTAACAGAGTTTTTAAAATTTACTCATTTGTATTTTTTCTTTTTTCACTGACATGTAATAATTGTACATATTTATAGGACACAGAATATTTCAATATGTATATACTATAAGCAATGATCAAATAAGGGTAATTTGCATATCCATCACTTCAAATATTTTTCATCTCTTTGCATTGTGGATGTTCAAAATCCTTTCTTCAAAAAATTTAAAAAGGCCAGGTACAGTGGCTTATGCCTATAATTCCTGCACTTTGGGAGGCCAAGGCGAGAAGATCATTTGAGGCCAGGAGTTCAAAACCAGCCTGGGCAACACAGTGAGACCCCCGTCTCCACACACACAAAAATAATAATAATGCACACACACACACACATTTAAATAGTTTCCAGCTTTTTAAAATTATATAATAAATTATAGTTAACCATTAAAATCTAAAAATGTTAAGTTGTAATTGTACTGATCCCCAATTTAAAAATTCCACATAGGCCAGACACAGTGGCTCACGCCTGTAATCGCAGCACTTTGTGGGGCCGAAGCGGGTGGATCACAAGGTCAGCAGATCAAGACCATCCTGGCCAACATAGTAAAACCCCATCTCTACTAAAATACAAAAAAAATTAGCCAGGCATGGTGGTGCCCGCCTATGGTCCCAGCTACCTGGGAGGCTGAGGCAGGGGAATCGCTTGAACCTGGGAGGTGGAGGTTGCAGTGAGCCAAGATTGCACCATTGCACTCCAGCCTGGCAACAGAGTGAGAGTCTGCCTCAAAAAAAAAAAAAAAAATTCCACAAATAAGTAGTGCATTCTAGTAATTATTATTTGTTTTCACAAAAACAGAATGGTCTGATTTTTCAACATGCTTGGACTCTAGTCTTCACTCTACCCCTAGCTGTCTAACCTCACATGAGCCGAGATTGCGCCACTGCACTCCAGACAGGCAACAAAGCAAGAGTCTGTCTCAAAAAAAAAAATTCCACAGAAGTAGTGCATTCTAGTAATTATTATTTGTTTTCACAAAAACAGAATGGTCTGACTTTTCAATATGCTTGGACTCCAGTCTTCACTGTATCCCTAGCTGTCTAACCTCAGATGAGTTACACCTCTCAAGATCTCAGTCTCTTAACCTATAAAAAGAGCGTTCTAAAATGTCATTCTGAGGCACTTACTTCTCTTCCATATTCGTCTAGCACCGTGCCAGAAACTTGATAACTGTCCACGGCGAGGGAGGCTAGAAAGGAACGTGTCCAAAGCCTCTGAAATTTCGCACAGGACAGTTTTAAATGTACTGTGAAGTTTACGCTTTAAAATACAAAACCAACTACCACAACAGTGTCTCACCATTTTTATAGTGATATAACCAAATGAATTTCCAGGACACCTAGACTTATTCATGTTATCAATCCTCTTTAAAGAAAATAGTGATTTTTGTTATAAAAATGAAATTCTGCTAAGTTTCAAGAGAGTTTAAAGCAGGCACCAGCCCAGCACTTGTTTTCACAGCTCTAGTACTACAAATTTTATCAACACCCACTATTGTCTCTGAATGGCATGTAAAAGTGCTCTGTGCTATGTTCTTGATGAATTGTACAGACACAAGTCCTACTCCACCTACACAACCACTATGCCACAAATGCAACGCATTTAAAAGAGGGCTTTCTTTTGCAATAAAACATTACAAATCCTAACTACAAGTAAAGCAAGTGTTGCAAGAGATAATTTTTCAGTAGCTAAATCAGCATTAAAATTCCTCACTTCGTCTCAATATTATACCTTAAGCATGTTATTAAACAAACATTAACTGTAAAAGGAAACGCTATGGGTTAGTTATTTTACATTGTAAAAACTGATAAGGCCCTGCAAGGATGCTTCCACTGGTCTTTAGTATGATTCAGTTCTACTCAACTGTAAGTTTATTAAATCTCAGAGATTTCTACAAGAATATCCGTATCAGACTGACATTGAACTGGCAAGATTAGATTTCAAATGTCACACTAAAGATGCTCCAATTTTAGATAAGAAAAGAGGGCACTGACTATGCTTACCCATTTTTTTTCTGTTTATGTCAGACATTTACAAATACTCAGTTTAAATTATCTCAGCCAAAACTCAAGTAAATTTGTTTCTGGCCCATAGGAAGACATTGAAATCTACGAGTCTAAGAATCTGGAGGAAAGAAAGATGGCGAGGCTGGAGATCACTGAAGTCAAGTATACCCTTGAGGCCAGGGAACAGCATCCACCATGGCACTAGTTGAGAAGGGTCATTGCTATGTTACTGTCATACCTCTGTGACTCAGAGTGACCCCAACTGCCACATCTACCTCTGGGCCAGTTCTCAGCCCCAACTTGGAGGCCATAAGCGGTCTTCTTCAGCAAGAGGAAAGGATGCATGACCAAGAAGGCCCCATCCTGCTCACAGGATTCTCTCCTAAGATATTTCTTCGAGAAGTTGAAATGGTTTCTGCATTCCAAGGTTCTTATCTTGGGTTTCTGAAACCCTAGTTGCCCACTGGTTGGAATGTGGGAAGTCTTGACCTTCCAGAAATCTTACACAAAATTGCCAGAGGGAAGAGGCACAGTTTACATACAGATGTGCATTCTTTTTTACAGGGAAGTGAACTGGATGGGATCGGGTGGGCGGCGGGGGGGTGGGGGGTGGTACATGCTTCCATCACTTAATTTCCTTAACTCCCCTAAAACATCAAGGGAGCCACTGCTGCACAGAACAGCTGCTATGATCTTAGAGTTCTTCTTTCCCACAGAGGCACGAATGTAAACAGAATGGCCAGCAGATCGGAGTAAAGGAGGAGGAGCTCCTTCTCTGTGTATCAGGGAACTATGGGAACCATTCATGCAAATGCCTTTCATTAGAAAAAACTGTAAAAGTCACGCAATCTTTTCTTTTTCTGGACCTGAATTTCTTTAGTTCTCCTGTTTGAGTCAGTTACTCAATCTTTTAAGAGTTGCAGTAAAATTTCAGAGACTGCTCAAACAGTATGGCGCTTAAGTTGTAAATATTATACAATTCTACCTAAAAAGAGTATGACCTTTAACTTCTCCAAATGTATTAATAAAAGTTGGTAATAAAGATGAAAGCCAAAGAGAAGACGATGTGGTAGAAGAGTAACTGAGAACATATATGGGTTCTCTAAGGAATGCATATAGAAATACAATTGATAAACCGGATAGAATTAATTGTTACTTTGGTCACTCAAAATGACCTCAATTTTATCCCATAATAAGAACCACTGGCAATTCTATCAAGTATGGGCTCCGCCAATTAGAATTACATAAACATTTAAAAATATCACTGCAATACAAGACTTTAAAGTATGAAATAATTTAAAGTGCAACTAATTGAAAGGTAAGGGTTTCAATCCCCTAGACACTGAACTCCATAAGAAACTGACCAGTGGTCCAGGAGAGCCACAAGATCTCATTTACCACCGGCCTCAATCTCACTAAGCACTTGGCACATTCTCAGAGGGCACACAGCTGGTGCCCAATACTTACTCCTCACTGAGGCTCACTAAACACTCAGCAGTGCCATTTTGTTTCAGGATGATCAATAAACTGAATTCTTAGTAGTTTGTTATTCTTCTACCAATGCCTTCACAAAGGTCCAGATCAATGCAAAACGCCAGGCCTCTGAGTTGAAATCGAAATCTCACTTTGCTTGGGGAATCACAGCCAATGTGACTTCACTTTCTTGCCATAGGCTGCTGTGGAACAAAGGTAAATTCCTCATGTGGCCAAAACACACCTGAGTGTTGCTGAGGACTTAAGGATGGAGGGTCAAAACTCACCCCAGGCTCCTTCTAGGTTTCCCCAGAACTCAAGAGCAAAGACGTCTCCCAAACAATTGCTTAAATCACAACTGAATTAAAGAAACCACTTAAAACTTGCTGGTGAATTCAAACATAAATATAAAATTGTATTGTTTCATATGATCATTAAACAAAAAGTCCATACAGAGTAGCCTAAAGCTTTGAGCTCAGGCTTTTCCCACAGGAATTCATACCCACATTGATACAAATTATCATGAAGAGTTTCCATTTGAATTTTTGTCAGGACAAGTACCTTGGCAAGTTGCAAATATTCTGCGAACTATGAGCGCCGCGTATGAATAATAAGTACTCTTTGATACAAATTATCATGAAGAGTTGCCATTTGAATTTTTGTCAGGACAAGTACCTTGGCAAGCTGCAAATATTCTGCGAACTATGAGCGCCGCGTATGAATAATAAGTACTCTTTGCTAGAACAGATAAGGAACACCGCGGGAGTGAATATAAAGTGAATTTCAGGAAGGAAAAAACTCGCGATCTAAAGAAAAAGCCACCCTTCTGAAGCATAAAATTTTTTTCAATAAAGATGTTTTCAGCCGGGCGCGGTGGCTCACACCTGTAATCCCAGCACTTTGGGAGGCCGAGGCGGGCAGATCATGAGGTCAGGAGATCGAGACCACCCTGGCTAACGCGGTGAAACCCCGTCTCTACTAGAAATACAAAAAATTAGCCGGGCGTGGTGGCGGGCGCCTGTAGTCCCAGCTACTCGGGAGGCTGAGGCAGGAGAATGGCGTGAACCCGGGAGGCGGAGCTTGCAGCGAGCCGAGATCGCGCCACTGCACTCCAGCCTGGGTGACAGAGTGAGACTCTGTCTCAAAAAAAATAAAATAAAATAAATAGAAATAGAGATGTTTTCTACTTGAAGCAAAAACACACAGAAGAAATTTGTGAAAATTTTATTTACGAATTGACTTATGGAAAGTTCATTTAAAATTTTATTAACTTATATAATATTTTTAAATAATAATATAATGAACATGCACCCAGCACCCAACCCAAGACCTAAAATGAATACTATTTACTGCCCATGTAAGAACCAATCATGGTATTATAGCAGTGTGCCGTGAAGAATTATGATTAAAGAATTTGGAGCACCTGAGGTCCATTGAACAAAAACCTTGTGAAGTGATTCCCCTAGGAAAAATGGACTCATTCCAGGATTCCTTTAAATAATCTGCCTGAGTAGACTAAAAACTGTGAATCAATTTCTTGTCCAAAACCCCCTCCACCCAACCTCTCAGGAATGATTATCAAAAATTTTCTAAAAGGTACATTCACAAGAACCAGGAACCTGGAAAGTGAATCAGTGATACTCAACTCCGTAACTTCATGGAAATCTTCCTTGTGCAATGGAAGAGCAATATCTTATAGGAATTGAAGTCCAGTAAAGATTCTTTTAAAATATTTTTTTCTTCTACTAGGCCAATGGTAGGACACTAAACTGAATGTGTTCCCTTCTAACAGAAGAACTCTTCCCTCTCTAATATGGAATAGGCACAAATCTTTCCACTGTCAACATTTTTTTTTTATCAGTCCTTTTTCCATTCCAACGTGCAAGCCAAGATTGAAATCAGCACTAACCTGTAAGGGCTCACTGCTTTCCTGCTGGTCTTCAGAGAGTCTCCTGCTGGGAGAAGCAATGATGGGAGTGATAACTAAAGGACTCATGTGATTTCTCCATTCTTTTTTTTTCAAACCTCCACCTCCCAGACTCAAGCGATCCTCTCACCTTAGCCACAGATATACTCCCACCATACATATATATACGTATATATATAATTATATATACATATGGTGGGAATACATATATATATATAATTGTAGGACGACTTAGGAGGACTTGATGAAGCCAAAATGGGTTAAGGAAAGAAGAGAATTTTCCCCACAACTGTGGGAAAAACTAGTAAGAATCAACAAGGGACATACAAATTCTTTGTTGTGTATTGTTCACCAAATATTCCAAAAATGAATATAACACAGTTGGGACTTTTTTTTTTTTTTTAAGCTCCTGTTACAAAGGTCATGGAATGTTCTCGCATCACTCGCCTTCCCGATACTGAATCCCAGATTAGGCTCAGTTCTGTAGAGGGGGGCTAGTACGCAGCAGTGCCAGAATGGGTGTGTGGGTATTGCTTTCATTTTTTTATCTCATTTTACATATTTTATATTTTATGTTTTGCAGGAGGATGGGGATACGGTGAAAAATTAAATTCATGACATTTGCAGCACTAGAATGCTCCAGCTTCATGATTCAGTCTTGGGTGTATAAAGTCCCGTATCAAGAAATTTCAAGATTTTCCACAACACATCACATCCATACACACCCAGAATAACAGGGGACCACATGTCTCTGAAGAGAGAGATTCATACTAAAAGTCTAAATAAAAGTCTAAATAATACTAAAAGTCTAAATAAGAGACGTGACCCACATATTCAAATCCAGCCTCTAAAATAGCCTTATTAACTCAAATCTTCTCTCAAGTCAATACTAATTATACTTACCAGTGAGGTCAGCGTAACAGCAGCAGAGGCCTTTCTCAGAAATATTTAAACTTTAAGAGTCCATAAGAGGCCGAGCACAGTGGCTCAGGCCTGTAATCCCAGGACTTTGGAAAGCCGAGGCAGGCGGATCACTTGAGGCCAGGATTTCGAGACCAACCTGGGCAACATGGTGAAACCCCATCTATACTAAAATTACAAAAAGTAGCCGAACATGGTGGCACACGCCTGTAATCCCAGCTACTCGGGAGGCTGAGGCATGAGAACTGCTTGAACCCACGAGGTGAAAGTTGCAGTGAGCCAAGGTCGCACCACTGCACTCTAGCCTGGGCGTCAGAACGAGACTCTGTCTCAAAACAGAAAAAAAAAAAAAAGTCGATAAGAATGTGAAAAGCAACAGCATACTGCTTGCTTCCATAGACTGATATATAACAGTTTCCATTACTAAGATGGACAAGAAAAATTAATAGGTGATTCATGCTGTGATTACCTTAACTAATTGAAGCCTGATGGAAATGAACTCCTACTTGGCTGGGATTCTGTGTGTGTGTGTGTGTGTGTGTGTGTGTGTGTGTGTGTGTGTGTATGTGTGTGTTGAGACAGAGTCTCGCTCAGTCACCCAGGCTGGAGTGCAGTGGCACGATCTCGGCTCACCGAAACCTCCACCTCCCAGATTCAAGCAATTCTCCTGCCTCAGCTTCCCAAGCAGCTGGGATTACAGGCACCTGCCACCAAACCTGGCTAATTTTTGTATTTTTATTTTTTATTTTACTTTAAGTTCTGGGATACATGGGCAGAACACACAGGTTTGTTACATAGGTATACATGTGCCATGGTGGTTTGCTGCACCTATTAACCCAATTTTTATATTTTTAGTAGAGACGGGGTTTCACCATGTTGGCCAGGCTGGTCTTGAACTTCTGGCCTCAAGTGATCTGCCCGATTTGGCTGCGTTTTGTCAATATCATCCACAACATTTCCATAACCACAAACACCACTTCTAAAACAAGAGCTAGAAAGTCAAGTAAAAGGGAAATATAAGAGGAATGCGGACAAATTTGTTACTACTAGTAAAATAAAAATGTCCAGCACATGTGATTTTGATGATGAAATAGTAGCATCGCCTTCATGTATTAGAGAGAGCATGTAAATTACTTGCTTTGCGGCACAGACAGGTCTGAAATCGTCTGCTTAGAAGTGGTGGTATTTTTTAATAGAGTACAGCAAAATAAAAAACTGCTCTTAAAATCCATCAATGGAGTTCCCCAAATGTAAACATAATTATAGAATCCCTCTAAAACCGGAGTTACACATTACTTTTTTGATTTTCCAGTGTACAGAGTAGAAAGTAAGTTTTCAATGAAGGAATAAATACATTTGAAGACAGATAAAACATCTTTTCTCAAACTGTTGAAATCAGTGGCATTCACTCAACAATAAAGACATATAAGCATGTGTTATGTGACACATACTATATTAGGTACTAAAATGAAAAGTTATTAAAATGGAAGACAATGACAAGAACAATTCCATTAGTTTTCTGTTGTCATTCAAGGTTGTATCTATATGGTTTTTAATATCCAGATTAAAGTTTTAGAAATTAATTAACAGCTTCGATTTTCAAGCCCATTTAGACAAGTGCTATCACTTAAGTGAAATCTTAGTTAACTAAGTTTTTCAGGATTCATTTGGATGACAAAGCATTCAAATGATGCACCCAAAACTAAATATGTGAGTATTTAGAAATATATTCCACTGAAAGCTTTTGCTTTTGTTCTAAATGTTTGGCATCTAGTAGGTAGTCTATAAGAGTCTTTAAAATCAGTGTGTTCATATCTACATGTTTGGGGGAAATAAAGCAAACAGCAACATGAAGGTGCTCCCAAGATTCTGTTCTGAAAGTTGTCCACCAAAGGGCACCAAAGTAAAACCAGCAGATGGCTCTGAACACACAGAGAGAGAAGGGGGGAGAGAGAATGGAGGGAAGAGGGACAGAGAGAGGGAGAGAGAAATGAGGGAGAGAGGGGGAGAGAGAGAGAGAGACAGAGAGAGAGGAAGAGAGAAAGGAGGGAGAAGGAGGGAAAGAGGGGGAAAGAGGGATAGAGAGGGAGGGAGAGAGGGAAAAATAAAACAAGAGAAGACAGAGGCTAGGTGAAATAGAGAAGTTGCCAGAGGACTTCTGGGAAAAAACATTTGAAAAGGAAGGACTGAAAAGAGAAGAAATGGGCACAACGGGGACTCCGGGTCTGGCCATAACAGCCAGGAGAAACAAGGGCTTAAGCCAGGAGGTCTGAAAAGAGAACAGAAGGTAGACCACCTAGAATGGGGACAAGGCACTTCCACTCTGCAAAGGTGAGTGTGCTTGCAGTGCAAAGCAAGAAACGTGAACTTTAAAATTCTTCAGGCACATGTGTTCAAAAGGCAAAGATACATGAGAATGCAAGATGAAAAACTCCAGCGCAAGATCAGGCTTTTTAAACTGCCACAGCTCCCCTGTCTCCCCAGCTAGCTTCTATTCGCCTTCCCAGGCTCCTAAGCCCAGTGACAGGAGAGACTCTGGAATGATCAGAGATTCTGGAATGAAAAGAGCTATGCCCACTGCTTAGGAGGCCAAGGATTCTGCAAACTGATCCCCGCAGATACCACAGCGCTTTACTCTGGTCTCCAAGGCCATGGCACACCCTAAAAGATTAAAATGCCTTAAGGTAAATGACCATTCCCAGATGAAGGCACAGAATGTAAACAAAGTGTGGGCCGAGGGAAGAAACTTGAAAAATCACAATAAAGTGGCCTCCCAGAGCAGGCAACTAGCAACTTTGTAGGAAAAGGAGAGGGAAGAAGTCCTGTGTTCTGCACTGAGAGATCATTTCATGTCACGCTTCAGTGCAATTAAAATAAAAAAGGATTTACTAATTACAAAGCAATCCTAACAAGGTACATAATACAGAATATTCACATCTTATACATCTCCTAGAGAAAGATTACAAACACAGAATGTTTCACCTTCCGGAGGAGATAATTATTAACTTTTAAAGACTAGCTCAGGCAAGAATGAAAAAGTATCAAGTCAAGGCCACATACATTCTAATTTTATAACCCAGGCGGCCCTGGATGGGATTCAGAGAGCTCTTATTTGAATAAGATCTGACGATATCCTCTCATTAAAAGGATTAGTGTTTCTGCACAAACGTCTAGATAAATCTTATTACTGGTCCAAAATTAGTCACCTAAAGGCTTTAGCCAGTTTTGCACAAATATTTACAACTCTGAAGAGGCTGAGTACTTTTTCTCTTGAAATCCAGGCACTATATCCACTTCAAAAGCCACATATGATTGTGGCTTTTGCTGAGCATATTTCTTTTCGACGAGTTGAAGATGACAATCTCTCAATACCTTACTCCATAGACTGGATGTAAGCGTCAAAAGAGGATGAAAAGGTACTTTCTGAACGGACAGGTACTCTGGGGTGATGGGTTGGGAGATTCTCTAAGCCTCAAGAACAGCGTTTCATGAAACGGGCTTATAAAATACAGCCCATCTCAAACGGATTTTAAAAGGCACCCAGTTACTTTAAAATACCCAATACAAACACCAAGACGGGCTATTTTACCAGGTCCCCTGCAGAATGTGAAGGGGCTTCCAGCGCTCCAAGCCGGCTTTCTAATTTAAGCCAAGAACCGAAAAGGAGCGAAGGCGGCTTCGGGGACCCCGGCAGCGTGCAGGGCCAGGAGGTTCAGCCTGCCCACCCGGAGAGGGGTGCGCCGAGCTCCTCTGGAAATAGTGACTGAAGGGTCCCCGCGAAGTCGCCGTGCCAGCCCCTCTCCCAGTTCCAGCGGTCCCCGAAGTCCCCGGGCAGAGCCGGCTGCACAGGGACCGGACGAGGCGAGGCGCATTCCGGGGCGCAGCCCCGAGGACGAAGGTCCACGGCTTCAGCCCCAGCCCACGGCCCCGACTCCCTGACGAAGACTCGCTGGAGCGCGGCCTCAGGGCAGCTGCGCGCAGCTGGACTCGTCCCCGGGAGCCCTCGACCCTCTAGTTCCCCGCCGGCCCCAGGGCGCCCTCGCCCCGCTCCTTCCCCGCCGGCCCCAGCGTCCGGGCTGCCCCTCGCCCGCGGCCTCTCGGCGGGGCTGGAGACCTAGCAACTTACTGGGGCTGGGTTGGGGTCGCGCCAAGAAGGCGGCGGTGGGCTGCCGGCTGCAGCGCGTCGGGGGCCCGCGGCTGGGGGACGCTGGAGCAGCGGCCGCCGCCTCGCTGGTCCCGCGAAGAGGAGCGCCCGCCGGCCGCGCTGCAGAAGGAGGGCTGGGCACGTGGGCGCCCCTCTGTGTAGCCACCCGGGGCGGGGGCGGGGCGCGGGGCCGGGCGGCACCGCCTCCTCCGCGCTCCCGGAACGCGACCCCGAGCCCGCCTCCCGCCGGGCCCCGGCCGCGCTGACCAATCCCCGGGGTGGGCGGTGTGCGGCCGCTGCTCAGCGGGGTTTGCCTGGAGCCGAGCACACGTGGGCGGGCGCTAGCCCCGGGCTAGGCCGGTGGGCGCGGGCCGGGGAAGAGAGGCTGCGCGCGAGGATAAACTTCGTGCTCTCCTGGGAGGACCAAACCTCAAGGGCATTTCCGAATCTTCTAAGCAGAGTTCTAAGTGGGGTTTTGGTCCCCCCGTTTACTTTCCATTCTACAAAGATTTTGGAAATAAGAAAATAATAATAAAATATAATAATAGCAATGATAAATGGAAGCCCAGGTGGATGTGCTTTGTCAAATGCAAACTAAACGTTGATAAATAATGTGCAGTTGCTATTTTGGAAGACTCCAGTGGTATGAATACGTAGTCACGATTGTTTGGGGGTGGGTTTATAGGAAATGACATTATTTCCAGGGGAGCAAGAGCAGAAGTTACACAATCAGGGTTTCTCCTACTGCGCTATTGTTTACTTTAGGAGTCTCTGATAAGATTAAGTCACAATGTGAAAGCCTGTTAATTTTCATCCAAAACGAAGCAAAACACGCACTGAATTGAACAATAAGTGTGTGTCAGTGTGTGTGTGTATATGTGTGTGTGGTTTGTCTTTAGAGACAGGGTCTCACTCTGTCGCCCAGGCTGGAGGGCAGTGACACAATCGTGGCTCACTGCAGCCTCGACCTCCTGGGCTCAAGCTATCCTCCCGCCTCAGCCTCCCAAAGTGCTGACAACTACAGGCTTGAGCCACCAGGCTGAGAATTACAGGCTTGAGCCACCATGCCCGGCCTATTACTATTTTTGTTTGACAGAAAGGTCCACTTTACTTTGCATAGTATTGGAGTAAACGTCCCTTTAACCCACCTACTAGTAATAACTTTGGCAAAGTGCCAGATTTGTATTGCTGCCTCACAGTACATATACAATTTTAATGTGATATTCTAAATCATTCTTCCCTTCAAGACATATATCCCCAAGATCATCTAATAAACGGTGTGGGGCTTCATTCCAGAAGATAGCACACACACAAAATCTCAATGTATCTCAGGAAGCCATCCATGGATTTCATCAAAAAGTGAAAGTGTAGGCTGGGGGTGGTGGCTCACGCCTGTAATCCCAGCACTTTGGGACGCCGAGGCGCGCCGATCACCTGAGGTCAGGAGTTCGAGACCAGTCTGGCCAACAGGGTGAAACTCCGTCTCTACTAAAAATACAAAAATTAGCCGGGCGCGGCGGCGGGCGCCTGTAACCCCAGCTACTCGGGAGGTTGAGGCAGGAGAATCGCTTGAGCCCAGGAGGCGGAGGTTGCAGTGAGCCGAGATAGTGCCACTACAGTCCAGCCTGGGCGACAGAGTGAGATTCCGTCTCAAAAACAAAAGCAAACGAACAAAAAAACTGAAAGTTTAAACAGCACTATGATTACGAAGATATTATCTGATAGACCAAATGTCTTAAGTAATAGAGACTGTCAAAGTAAACTTATTTTTACAGTCAAAAAAAGATTCCTTATGCAAATTATCATTAATAACATTAAGGGAAATGATGCGTGTGGACTTTTAACACCAGATTCCTCCTCAATCCCACGGCTAGGAGGCGTTGTTCAAGGGAGCGATGACTCAGATACTTTGTCTAATTTTTAAGGGTGAGTAATCTGGTCTAACATTTTTCACCTGGTTTAAAAAAAATAGAGATTCCTGGGAGTCGCGGTGGCTCAGGGCGGTTGCCCTGGCACTCGAGGAGGCGAGGCTACACGTTCGAGGCCAACCTGGTCAACATTGATTAAAATAAAGAAAGAAAAAATAAAAAAATAGAGATTCCTATTTTTAAACTTAAGCAATTATTTCCCCACATATTTTTACTTAAAGGCTCTGTGTTTAAATCTGTTTAATTTGTGATTAAGTTACAACACAATGATTTGGGATAAACAAATTTATCTGGAATTTGGAAACTGCCAATTTTGTCAGAATACCGATCTTTGAATTTATCCAATCTGCCCGCCGGCGCACTTCCTGAAGCAAGAACGTGCTGTGTTCATGTGTGTGAATAAGAACAACAACTTCATCTCTAAGCAAAAAAAGAGCAAATTCTTTCAAACAACTTTCTAACAAGATTGCTGAATATCTTTACACACTAGTTCTTGACTTAACATATTCCATTTCGTGTTTGAAATTATTGATTAACCCTGAATCCTGCCTCATAACTTTGGTTATTTCTCACCTTTAAAAATGTGTTTAGATGAGGAAAGAATAGGATGCCCACGGATTTAGTATGAGTCTCTTAAGACAGACTATGAGACAAGAGAAAATAGAATCGAATTTTTAGAAATGAAATATTTGAAACAGGTTAAGCTCTTTTGACTTCATCTTCATTTGCATTTTCTCTTGCTGCCCGGGGTTGAATTAGCATCTTTTTCCCAGTTGAGTAAAATTTGCACCCACCTTCTATTTCACGCTCCCTGGTTTATTGCCATCACTTTTCACTTTCAGCCGTCAAGTTTCCTCCTTAGGAATGAAGCAGAAAATCCAACTTAGTCATTTTCAGCAGAGAGAGTAGCCTAGGTTGTCATCTTCCAAAGATTTCACAAACATTCTTGCATGTCTGAACTCTTAAGGGTTTATGAAATTGCGGGGAATTTTAAGGGACTTTTGTAGCTGAATAAATTCCACACCCTGTACTCCCACACTTGCCAAATACAACCTAAAGTAAATCTCATGTCCACAAATAAGGGATTTACTTCAACTAGCAAGACTGAAGGAATGGATTCTTACTAGTTCTAATTTGTGACTCTATTATTCCCCAAACTATTTTAGCGAAGACAAGCTAAAATCCTCCAATTTTTTTCAGATGGTTGGATACTGGATACTAATGCTTGTGCTGTCACTGAATCAACTCAAAAGGGAAAAAGAGTTGGACCAGAGTCAGAGCACTAGCTATTTGTTTGTTTTTTGAGACGGAGTTTCCCTCTGTCACCAGGCTGGAGTGCAAGGGCACGATCTCAGATCACAGCAACCTCTGCCTCCCGGATTCAAGCGATTCTCCTGCCTCAGCCTCCGGAGTAGCTGAGATTACAGGCGCTCACCACCACGCCTGGCTAATTTTTTTGTATTTTCAGTAGAGACGGGGTTTTACCACGTTGCCCAGGCTGGTCTCAAACTCCTGACGTCAGGTGATCCCGCCCACCTCGACCTCCCAAAGTGCTGGGATTAAAGGCGTGAGCCACCGCCCCGACCCAGAGCACTAGTTTTAAGAGCTTTCAGGCCACCGCTGTTCTCCACTCGCCTTTCAAAAATGTGTAAAAACCTAGAGGTGACTTTCCACTGGACAGAGTCCATATCTGCCCATCCCTTAAGGCAAGCAACAAAATATTGAAAAAATGGTTGGAAAAAAAATACAACAAGTCCATATAAATGACAAGTCGTCTTTCAAATTCATCTTCTTCTACTTGTCTTTCAACTAAGACCAAATCACCGTTTTGCAATGATTTTCATTCTACATTGCTCTTCCTACAAATTTCCCTGCCTCCTGTCACTTGGTGTCTTTCTGGGGTTTCTTTACATTGGCCATTCATCAGGAATGGCCCTGAGCTCCACCCGCCCCGTGCTAGTCTCTAATTCCTTCTGCCAGGATTCCTGCTGGGCCTCTTATCTGCTGGAAAAAGTCAGTTTTCTTAATCTAAACATCAGTTAGCCTGTTGCTCTAAGGACTGAAAACCAGGGATTTAGGAGGGAGCTCAGATAATCTAAATCCTCTCTTTTCTTTAACCTTGATGAGGGTCCTAATTGCTCCAGAAATCTCTTCCTAATCATATGCAATGGACCTTTCGCAGTTCTCTTGTGCCTCAAACTCGCTCCTGCTTTCTTTCTTTCTCGAAACTATCTCCTCCTTGGCTTCCACGGTCTCTTAGTTTTCCTCCTACTATCCTGAATAACCTTTTGTCTTGCTTGCTAACTAAGGCACTCTTAAGATTAAATTATTGAATCATTCTTAACTCCATCAATCTTCACAATCTAGGTTGTTATGCTTTTTTTTTTTTTTTTTTTTTTGAGACGGAGTCTCATTCTGTCACCCAGGCTGGAGTGCAGTGGTGCACTCTCAACTCACTGCAATCTCTGCCTCCTGGGTTCAAGCGATTCTCCTGTCTCAGCCTCCCGAATAGCTGGTATTACAGGCACGGGCCACCACGTCCGGCTAATTTTTTGTATTTTTAGTACAGACAGGGTTTCACCGTGTTAGCCAGGATGGTCTCGATCTCCTGACCTCGTGATCTGCCCGCCTCGGCCTCCCAAAGTGCTGGGATTACAGGCGTGAGCCTCCATACCCGGCTGAGAGAGTAATTTTTACCTCCTTTTCTACAAAAGAAAAAAATTAGAAACCACTCATCATGCTGGGGCAGAGAACGACAGAGAACGTGCCACTGCACTCCAGCCTGGGCGAAAGAGAGAGACTCCGCCTCTAAAAAAAAAAAAAGGAGGGGGTAAGGGGGTAATCCCCTTTTATCCGCGGGGGGGTATATGTTCCAAGACCCTCAGTGGATGCCTGAAATCACGGATAGTACCAAACCCTATATGTACAATTTTTTTTCTATGCATACGTACTGTGATAAAGTTTAATTTATAAACTAGACACAGTAAGAGATAACAACAATAACTAATGATAAAATAGAATAATTATAACAATATACTCTAATGAAAGTTACACGAATATGGTGACTCTCTCAAAATACCTGATATTAACAAAAATAACTATGATTTACTGTGGATAACTGAAAACACAGAAAGCTAAACCGTGGGTAAGGGAGGGGAGGTACTGTTGTACTCATGTGAAAATGTTACTGTTTAGCGCCCTCCAGGGCTTCTCTGAAGCCACATCAGAACATTAAATTCATTGAGCTCAAACAATGACAAGTAAAATTACCCTCTGGTAGTGGGGGAAAAGGAGGAAGGACTACTGGTTTCTTGCTTTTAAAGGAAAAACTTTAGCCAAAATAAATTTAAAGGAGCTTAATTGAACGAGGAACAATTCAAGAATCAGGCAGCCCCCAGAATCACAGCAGATTTAGAGAGATTCCAGCAGAGCCATGTGGTGGAAGAAGGTTTATAGACAAAAAAAAAAAAAAAAAACCCAAAAAACAGGAAATGATGTACAGAAATCGGAAGTGAGGGACAGAAACAGCTGGATTGGTTACAGGTTGGCGTTTGCCTTATTTGAACACCTTTTGAACACCGTTAGAACAGTTGGCTACATTTGATTGGCCAAAACTCAGTGACTGGCACATGTGTGGGCTACAGGCAGTTTACACCTCTACTTATTATAGTTCACAATGTACAGAAAAACCTTTAGGCTGAACTTAAATATGTAAGGAGACAGCTTTAGGCTAAACTTGATTAACATTGTCCAGCATGACTTTGATGTCTTTAATTGTCTGGCTCAGTCTCACCCAACGCATCCTTTAAAATGCTTTATGAGTTAGTAAAGTGTCCTAATGTATGAGTGCTTCAGAGAGTATGTTTTTAAAAGTTCCACCTGTTTTATTTTTATGTTTGGATTGGCACTAATTGATGCCCTTCAGCAAATTAAGCAGCCTTTTTTCCCTTTTGTGACCCAGACAAAAAGGCAAAGTCCATTTTAATGATAGTCTGGTCCACCAGCTTCTTTATAACAAGTCAATGCTAGCTTACTCAGTCAGAAGAACATCTGGGGTTCTTCCTCAATTATACAGAAGAATTGAAACTGCTGGATCTGATGGGGCTTGTCCTCTAGTCTTAACTATCCAATTAAACTACACTGTGCAGGGTAACTGTGCATTTTCTCCAGAAGCTTTAGAGGAAACTTGCTCTTTTGTGCTTTTACCTGGTGCTATGGTTTGGATATAGTTTGGCCCAGCCAAAACTCATGTTGAAATCTGACCCCTAATGTGTAGTGTTGGGAGTTGGTGCCTGATGGGAGATGTTTGGGTCACAGGGCAGGGCAGATTCCTCATGAATAGATGCTCATGCAGGAGTAAGTGAGTTCTCACTCTGTGGGAATGGATTAGTTCCTGTGAAAGCAAGAGCAGGTTGTTAAAGAGTCTGGCTTCCACAATCTCTCTCATTTCCTCCCTCGCCATGTGATCTCTTTGCATACACCACTCATCTTTCACTTTCCACCATGAGCGGAAGCAACTGAGGCCTTCCTCAGATGCAGCTGTCTAGCTTTGAACTTTCCAGCCACCAGAATCACAAGCCAAATACACCTCTTTTCTTTATGAATCACCCAGTCTCAGGTATTCTGTTACAGCAATGCTAAATGGACTAAGTCACCTGGAAATGGGGAGACTGAGCTCTTACAGCCAGGCTAAACCTGAAGAAGATCCTGGCCTCACCTGGAGGGCACTCCAGTTCTGCTTAGGTTTTTGTTTTGCTCTTTCCTAAGATTCAATGCTGGAGAAGAGATTATAAAATAAACAGATATGATTTCATATAAATGTGTAGTATAATAAAAAAAATTAATCCTACTGGATGCTAACTTAACTAAATTTATGATTTTGAGCAAAAAAATTCCTCACTTCCATATTTTTAAGTTTCTTTTTCCTGTGAACTGGGGCAATAATAGTTAATTTCTACAGAAGATTGTAAGGAGTTACACAAGGGAATGAAAACACTGTGAGGAAGTTAAATCACTAAATTTTTACTCTTATATCCGTTTATACCTTCATCAGTCTAAAATTTGGTTCCAAATACAATTTAAAGTTAAAAATCTAACTCTTCTCAGGTCATAGATGTAAATCATGTAATGAGGGATTATCTTTATCCATTACATTAAGACAAATAAACTAATGCTTTAAAAAACCTGACATTTTTAAACCAGATTGCTCTATCCAAGGAGTTGTTCAACACTAGTTCCATCTATGAGGCCACCTTTGTGTGTCAACAGCAGTGATTGCCAGAGCGTGACCTATGAGCGTTAACTGGCAGAAAGGTCGTCAGCATGCTGCTCTTGCTGTTTCCCCTCCTGCCCTGCTGACCTTGTGTCTACCTGCTTCCCGGCATACTTGGAGATCAGAGACTATTGGTACAAAAAAATAACAAGAAGAAGAAAAATAGGAGAGGGGAGAAACATCATGAAATTATAATGTTTTAATTTTAAATGCTCAATCATGTCACAGCCTATGTAGGTGTTAGAGGCATTTGAACCAGAGCAACCTCATCTTAAATAGGAGCTGGGTAAAATGAAACTGAGATCTACTGGGCTGCATTCCCAGATGGGTAAGGCATTCTAAGACACAGGATGACATAGGAGGTCAGCATAAGATACAGATCACAAAGACCTTGCTGATAAACAGGTTGCAGTAACGAAGCATGCCAAAACCTAGTAGGCAAAATGACGATAAGAGTGATCTCTGGTTGTCCTCACTGCTACACTCCCACCAGCACTATGACAGTTTACAAATACCATGGCAATGACAGGAAGTTACCCTATATCGTCTAAAAAGGGGAGGCATGAATAATCCACCCCTTGTTTAGCATATAATCAAGAAATAACCTTAAAAATGGGCAACCAGCAGCCCTCGGGGCTGCTCTTTGGAGTACTCTTTCTTTTATTCCTTTACTTTCTTGGTAAACTTGCTTTTGCTTTGCACTATGTGGACCTGCCCTGAATTCTTTCTTGTGAGAGATTCAGGAATCCTCTCTTGAGGTCTGGATCAGGACCCCTTTCCCCCAATTTAGGCATGTGATCATTATAAAAGTATATAAAAATATGTTCAAATATATTATTAAATGCATCTAAGTATGGGTCTTAGAAAAATCCACTGGATCCCTTGTTTTAATGCAGAGGTAAAAATCTCAGCCTCCCTGCGCGACCTGGCAGGTAACACCGAAGTTTGAATTTAGTTGAGTACCAGACAATAGCGAGGTACTGAGAGAGTGGCTACGGAACTGGGAAAGCATTTGAAATGCAAACCTTGAAAAAAACCAGGCAGACAGGTAATATGCAATGCAGGCTGAAAATGTTTAACATGTTCTCTAAAGTTTACTCATATCATCATGTGGTCAATGGAAATCACTTATGAAAATGATTTTTAAAACCTCAAAAGGTGACTTACTCATTTGCAAAAGGCTTCGTAGAGATTTAATTTTCTGTAATATTCCAGTAGTGTATTCCCTTTAAGGTACTGTTTTGTTGATTTTTAAAACAAATAGAAAGCTTAGTGTATATTTCTTTCAAAAAAAACTGCAAAAGCTTATTTCCCATGAGAAACTCTACTTGTTTGTGTGGGAAACTATACAAAGGAGTTTATTAGCAATAAGACTGTGCATGATCATCAGAATGGCAAAGTAATCTTTTTTAACTGAGTGCATATTCTAATCCTCCTGTATGATTTATGTGAATAAAATGTTTGAAGTATTGTTGAGGAGGTAATCTTGACTAAATTGAACTTGACAGTAGCCCTTTATCCAGTTCCAATGTGCTTAGACTTTGAGGCGCATATAGAATCGGAGAGAATACTGGTTTAAAATATGATTCAGTGAGTACATTCCAGCAGTAGATAAAGTGCCTCAGGGCAATGAAAACTGCGTTGAATAAAATTAGCTTCAATATCCACAGTCTAACATTTCTTTTCGGGCAGGGGAGCGCTTGAGTTCGATGGGCTGGCTCACTTCATTTTGTGTTGTATTGTGGTGGTAATATCTAAGGAGATAGATAACCATTCATTTTGCATTGTGGTGATAATATCTAAGGAGATAGATAACCATTTGCAAAGGCATGCTGTAAATCCAGTTGTGCCAGAATTCCAGAAGGTTCCAGAAGATGTGGGCTACAGGTTGCAAGTCACCCTTGAGTTATGCAGAATACAACTTAGACAGCCTTATAAGCAGCCTCATCGAGGATCTAAGACTTAGATGAGCTGTTCCACGTAGGGAAGTTTCTCAAAGAAAAGAAATTTGTCCTTCTAAGTATCCAAATTTAAAATGGCTGTGTGTGTGTGTGTGTATATATATATATATATGCAAATGTTTTTTGCATGCATTTTAAAATTTAGTGTATAATTTGAGCCCTCTCAAAGAACATTTTCTTGCATCTTTCATTCATGACTATGAGCATGTAAGCAATTAGATCATTGCTTTGTAGGATGTTATCCCAGCAATTATTGAAGCGTGTATGCTGGCTGGGCACTACAACAGTGTTTTTAAAATGGTAACATGCTTTTTAAAGAGAAAACAAAATTTCAAGGACCCTGCCTTATTTGGAGTACTCCTAGAGACACTGAAACAAGGATTAGAGTGCAAGAACTTTATTTGGAAGGCGTAAGGGAGTAGGGAATGAAGACAGAGAAGGGAGAGAAGCTCACTCACAAGTAGAAGAGTGTGTTTTCAAGAAAAGTACTGCAAGGACTACTGTAGCTTAACCCTTCTCAGGAACTTTGGAAAACAGTGTAGATCATGTGTCTTGGAGTTAAGTAAGGGTGAGAAAAATGAGATGTTTATACAACAAATTCCATCAGCTTTGGAACAGAGCTTCTCCTGGGAGGTGTTAACTTCTCCAGAACATGGACAAGCATGCTTTAGTAGCCAGAGAAACCCCTAGCAAAGGGTCACAGGACATAGTCTTCCCTGCCCTTATAATATCATAGCAACCATGTATCCTCATTAATGAGGGCTTCTTTATTGCATCTTGGTCAACTGGAATAAAAAGCTGAAAATGCCAAGGGAGAAGATATAACTTTAAATTTAGTGGAAACTTTATTCTAGCTCCTTGTAGAAGGATCCCTCTCCCTACCAGGAACCAGAACCTCTGGCCCGGCATGGCGAAAAGTTGTGGAAATGAGAAGCACAAGTTCTCCAGGTGGTTCCTTGACCCATGCCTTTACAACACGGACACTGTGGTGGGCTAACTTGTTAAATTAAATCAAGATGGGGTACGAAGGGGACCATAGCCCTTGCTTCTGACCATCCTGCCCAAGATGTGATATTACTTTTGTTATTGTGGAGGGCATTTTTAGGTGGCTTCCATTTGGCCTTTCAAACTATACAGACCAGGGACTAGTGTGATGGTTGACAGCTATAAATACAGCCATTTTGATTATGTATTTGGGCAACAGAGAAATTTCTACTTGGCAGTTCCAGAGATCTGCTGGATCTACTGTGAGATGAACTTGGGTCAGGACTTCAGACTTCATTTTTCCTCTAGCTGCTGTGTACCCCCTCTTTAAAAAGGGGCCCTGAGGTTGCCTTAGGTCCACTGCATAAGTGTCCTGCATCCAACAACTGGAGCTGCATTCTGCTGAGAAAATGTAGGCAACAGCGTAAATGTGTGCCTCAGAATTATTTCAGTCACGGGGAGGAAGAGCTGAGGTATTTATACTCCAATTCCCTTCAGTCATAGATTGAGGGCTGCTGCCAGGAGGGTTAATTCTTTTCAGCTTATCTGGCCTGCTATGTGCGTGGTGGCAAAGAAAAAAAGGCCTCAGTTGCAGGCATTGGTAGTTGGAAGTGAGTACTGCATGCACTACTAAAACTGTAAGAGCCAGGGAGATATACATGGAACAGTGTCATTACCTGCTATTTTTTAATCAATTTAAAAAAAATTGTATTTGAATTTTATTCATTGCATTTAAAAAATACCTTATAAACATAAAACTAATTATTAGCTCTTCTGTTTATATCTGTTAGAAAACTGTAAAACCTACCTACATCATAAATTAAGAGCAAATAAAATTGCAAACCAACAAATAGCCCAGCTATTTGGGAGGCTAAGGCAGGAGAATGGTGTGAACCTGAGAGGCAGAGCTTGCAGTGAGCCGAGATCACACCACTGCACTCCAGCCTGGGCAAGAGTGAGACTCTGCCTCAAAAAAAAAAAAAATTTAATTTAATATGAAATGATGGTGTGCTAAAACTAAAATGCCACATAAAATTATGGATATGATACTGACTACTAAGACTTTTCTTAGTTTGTGTGCTTTTATTATATATGAAGACTCAACTTTGTCTGCCATTTTTGTTTGCTTTTTTTCCTTAACAACTAAAGAACTCTCATTCTATATTGAACCATAAAATCATTTACTTTCACTTGGCTTGAATGCATTATTTATACATTAGGCCCTTCTCTGTTCTTTTCTTCTCCAACAATTAAGGTATTAGGATAACATAAATGTAAATGCAAACACTGGAAGAGAACTTTAATAAAAATATGGGCCAAGCGCAGTTGCTCACGCCTGTAATCCCAGCATTTTGGGAGGCTGAGGCGAGTGGGTCAAGAGGTCAGGAGATCGAGACTTTCTTGGCTAACACGGTGAAACCCCATTTCTACTAAAAATACAAAAAATTAGCCAGGTGCGGTGGTGGGTGCCTGTAGTCCCAGCTACTGGGGAGGCTGAGGCAGGAGAATGACGTGAACCCGGCAGGCGGAGCTTGCAGTGAGCCAAGATTGCGCCACTGCACTCCATCCTGGGTGACAGAGCAAGACTCTGTCTAAAAAAAAATAAAAATAAAAACAAAAATATGGAAGTTTTACATTTTCATAGATAACTTGTATACTGTAATATGAGAAACAGTGTTGACGTGAATTGTTAGTGAGTATTATATCCGTTCTAAGAAATCTAAGTTGGTCAATATGGAAATTATGGTTACAGAATAGAATATGAATGGTATACTTCTTGACTATATATATAACGTATATATTATATAATACATATACAAATTTATTTTAAAATATGTAAAGCTCAAAACCGTTTTTCATATTAAGAGTCTAAAGTTATCTTTAGGTATCTGCAAGTATCTAAATATTGATAAATTAATAATAAGTTATAAATATCTAGAGATTCCAAGAATATCATAATAATACCATAAAGTTGAATATTACTCAAACCTCTTAAAGATTTTATTGGTGGCCACGTGCAGTGGCTCATGCCTGTAATCCCAGCACTTTGGGAGGCCAAGGCAGGCAGATCACGGGATCCAGAGATCGAGACCATTCTGGCCAACATGGTGAAACCCCGTCTGTACTAAAAATACAAAAATTAGCTGAGCCTGGTGGCTCATGCCTGTAGTCCCAGCTACTCAGGAGGCTGAGGCAGGAGAATTGCTTGAACCCAGGAGGTGGAGGTTGCAGTGAGCCAAGATAGAGCTACTGCACTCCAGCCTGGCGACAGAACGAGACTCCATCTAAAAAAAGAAAAGAAAAGAAAAGAAAAAAGATTTTATTGTTTTTCTTAATTTTAGACTTATTTTTAAAGAGACATATTTTACAATAAAGAAATATTAATCTCAAATTTGTCAATCCCTTCTGTTTTACTTCAATATCTTTTTCTTTGGTGGAATTAAAATTAAATCGAATAATATTAAATTTGAAATAACAGGTACACCACGATCCCTGGTTTTTGAAACGCTTTTTGTCTTCCTTCCTTCCTTCCTTCCTTTACTCTTTCCTTTTGGCTGAAATTATATTTACTTTAGGCTATTACTGTTTTGTAATGATGAGAATTGGAGAAATTTTAAATTTTCTTCAGTTTTTATTATTAAAGGATATTTTTACAAAAATTGGAAAAAGTGTTAGAAAATACAGTGCAATTAAACTTAATTTTCATCATTTTAAAAAATACTTCACAGCCTCTGTATTAATCTAAAGATCTAGACATAGTTTTAAATGAATCCACATTATCACCCAATCTGATTTCTAGAAACCAGCTGTTCCAGACACAGGTGATATTGCAAAATACATGTCTATTTTATGTATTATGTATATATTTTACATATTTAAAAAGTATATATGTATATATATGTATTTTGCAAGGGTCAGGAAGGAGGTGTTTAATTAATTGAGAGTTTCTCTCTTCAACCTGAATAAATGGAGGAGGTTCTTTATTATTCTCTACCCATTTATGTTTAAAATCTATCACTCTTTTTGGTTAAACCCATGGTTTAGCTCCCTGAAATTTAGGGTTATTATTAGTGCATTTAGAATTAACAAACAAGAGCCAGTGTGACCACATGACAGGGTGGTTATATTAGAAGGCACAGGAAACTAAGAAGTTAATCCTCCGTGTAGTTCTTGAAGTGAAATGGGATGAAAATCAAAACCATAAGGAGAAAAAAGAAACTTTTAGAAAAAATATGACCTAAAACCTTAGATACTAATGATTTCTACCCCATGGGCAATTAACTGCCTTTGAAGTAAGGTTGATGTAAAAGTAATTGCGGTTTTGCATAATAGCAAAACCGCAATTACTTTTGCACCAACCTAATATAATGTCCTAATTCTTCGCTAATAAATAGGCAACAAGGATCAAGAAACTTCAACTCACCAATACCTAAAAAGTCCATATAACTGAAAGATCATTTTACTCAAAATCTAACGCCAACCTCAGCAACAACTGCAATTCCACCCCTTGGGTCAGCTGATTATGCTAGGTTATATTTAGCCACTGAAGTTCACATGTGAGAGCTTACTAAGTTTCAGGCCTATTAAAAACAGGCTAGACAGGATGGCTTCAGTCCAGGAGTTCAAGACCAGCCTTGGCAACACAGAGAGACACTATCTCAAAATGGAATCTTTTTTTTTTTTTTTTTCTGAGCAGTAGATCTCGACACTGGGCTTAAAATATTCAGTAAACCATACTGTAAGCAGATGAGTTTCACTTAGGCTTAAAATATTCAGTAAACCATACTGTAAGCAGATGAGTTTCACTTAGGCTTTATTATTCCACGAAGAGCACAGGCAGAGTAGATTTAAGCATAATTCTTAAGGGCCCTAGAATTTTTGAAAGAGTCAATGAGCACTGGCTTCAACTTAAAATCACCAGCCACTTTAGCCCCTAACAAGACAACCTGTCCTTTCAAGCTTTGAAGCTAGGCATTGATTTCTATCCTTGAAAGTTCTAGATGGCATCGTTTTCCAATAGAAGGCTGTTTCATCTACCTTAAAAATCTGTTGTTTAGTGTAGCCACCTTCATCAATGATCATAGCTAGATCTTCTGGATGACTTACTGTAGCTTCTATATCAGCACTTGCTCTTCACCTTGCACTTTCATGTTATGGCAATGACTTCTTTCCTTAAACCTCACGAACCAGCCTCTGCTAGCTTCCAACTTTTCTTGTGTAGCTTTCTCACCTCTCTCAGCCTTCATACAACTAAGGAGAGTTAGGGTGCTGCTGTGGCTTAAGAGAAAGTTGTAGCTGGTTTGATCTATCCAGACTGCTACAACTTTCTCCGTTTCAGCAATAAGGCTGTTTTGCTTTCTTATCCTTTGTGTGTTCACAGGAGTAGCACTTTTAATTTCGTTCAAGAACTTTTCCTTTACATTCCCAATTTGGCTAGCTGACACAAGAGGCCTACTTTTGGCCTATCTTGCCTTTCGACATGCTTTCCTCACTAAGTTTAATCATTTCTAGCTTTTGATTTAAAATGGAAGATGTGTGACTCTTCCTTTCACCTGAACACTTAGAGGCCGATGTAGGGTTATTAACTGGCCTAATTCCAGTATTGTTGTATATCAGGGAATAGGGAGGCCAAGGAGAGGGAGAAAGATGGGGGAATGGATGGTTGGCGGAGCAGTCAGAACATACATGTATTGATTATATTCTCCACTTTACATGGGTGGGGCTCATGGTTGCCCAAAACAACTACAAGAGTAACATCAAAGATCCCTGATTACAGACCACCATAACATGTATATTAATAATGAAAATGTTTGAAATATTGAGAGAATTACCAAAATGTGACACAGAGAGCAAATGTTGGAAAAATGGTGCAGATTGACTTGTTCAATGCAGAGTTGCCAAAACCCTTCAATTTGTAAAATGTAGTGCCTGTGAAGCACAATAAATCAAAGTGTAATAATACAAGATATGCCTGTACTGATACACACATCATCATGGACAAATCTCAGATATACGCTTTGTGAAAAAAGCCAGATCAAAAAAGTGCCTGCATGCTGTACATGGAAAGGAGGGTGTGGGTAGGGGTAGGAGTAAGGAACTACAAGGGGCAAGAGGAAATCTTTTTTCTTTAATTTTTGAGACAGAGCCTCACTCTGTGGTTCAGGCTGAAGTGCAGTGGTGTGATCATGGCTCACTGCAGCCTCAATCTCCTGGGCTCAAGTGTAGGTTGAGCCTCCCACCTCAGCCTCCAGAGTAGCTGGGTCTATAGGCACGTGCCACCATGCCTGGATTTTTTTTTTTTTAAATTTTTATAGAGGTGAGATCACACTATGTGGCCCAGGCTGGTCTCTAACTCCTGAGCTCAAGCAATCTTCTCCCCTCGGCCTCCCAAAGTTTTGGGATTACAGGCATGAGCCACCACACTCGACCTAAGAAAAAACTTTTGAGGGTGATGAATCTATGAAACTATCACCCCAATGAACGTAACGAACACCACTCTCTTCAATGTGGTCAGAATATCATGGATGTTTGCATGTGTCAAAGTGTATCAAACCACACACTTTAAACATAAGCAGTACATCATACGCCAGTAATACCTCAATAAGATGAACCAGACTGAGGCTATAAGGAATGAAATGAAACTGATCTAATAAGCAAAGTTATTGAAATGTTATGGGATTAAATTGAGAGAGAATTAGGAAAGTCCTTCTTTGGGCATTAATGTAGTGAATTAAGGAACACAGTAGGAAGAATCATTATTCCTTGTGCTCTAGTGAGTTGAGACTTCACAATGTATCCATTACAAAAGTAGCCGCTCACTTCCCGTCAACAAATGCTGTTGCCAACCCAAGAGTTTCATTATCCTTATATACTATCTTGATCAACAAGTGTGAGTTCCACTAGTGCATTTTAAAGTCTCTTGACCAAAGCATCATGTGCTGGGGCTTAAGAATTAATCTCATTTCTTTTCCCTCAGAATTCTGAGCCGATTGAGAAACAGACACAAACGTCGGGTTAAGTATTAGCTTTGATTTATTGTAACAGATTGGCAGACTTATAGTCCAACACCCTCTCTTATGATATAAATGTATCCTACCAACACCTGGATAACTGCAGTCCTTCCCACAGCTCTCCAACGCAGGGACAGTTGTAGCAAACTCACATTTTAAAAGCAGGTTCAGAGGGAGAGTGACAGATTCTGTCTGTTCAAGCAGCTAAAATGTCACTGAGAGAGCTACTTGAAAAAATGTTTGGAATTGTAGAAGGAGTTTACTATTGTTATATACAGTAAGCTAATGAAGAACTACAAATACTTAGAAAGCACCACTGTAGGAAGCGTACTCTAGTGAAAAGAGTTTTACCTTGATTGCTTTTCCTTCACACAGACTGAAAAGTCACACAGTGAGTGACCACTTCAATACTGAACCAAGATTAGGAGGCATAGTTTTGAATCACCAACTGTTCTCTGTAAATAAATCGGTGAATTAGTATTCAGGAGCAAGTTCTTTTTTTTTTTTTTTTCCTACACTGGGATCAACACTAATCTCAGTAGTTTTCTTCATGTGATACCTGTTCATAAAATAGTCTTTAACAAACTGAAATATATCTCCTCCTGTATTTGCAGGAGAAATAAAGATGACAAAACTAATTAAACACATATTACGTATTTCCTTTTTTTTTTTTTTTTTTTTGAGACAGAGTCTCACTCTGTCACCGGGGCTGGAGAGCAATGGCACGATCTTGGCTCACTGCAACCTGCACCTCCCAGGTTCAAGCAGTTCTCGTGCCTCAGCCTCCTGAGTAGCTGAGACTACAGGCATGCACCACCATGCGCAGCTGATTTTTGTATTTCTAAGACAGACGGGGTTTCACAAGGTTAACCAAGCTGGTGTTGAACTCCTGACCTCAAGTCATCCGCTCGCCTTGGCCTCCCAAAGCGCTGGCATTACAGACATGATCCACTGCTCCCAGTCCTCACAAACTATGTACTTCAATTTAAAAATGAGTGCTACATTTCTGTTTCATAATACAGTGGGATATTTTGCTTGTCTGCTTATTTTTCCTTAATAATACTATTCTGATGATAATCATACTCAATGCATCTAAAAAAGCAGGAAAAATAACAGGAAAAAATAAGGCTGGGCGTCGTTGCTCATGCCTGTAATCCCAGCATTCTGAGAGGCTGAGGTGGGTGGATCACCTGAGGCCAGGAGTTTGGGACCAGCCTGGCCAACATGGCAAAACCCCGTCTCTGCTAAAAACCCAAAAATTAGCTGGGTGTGGTGGCACTACAGCCTGGGCAACAGAGCAAGACTCTGCCTCAAAAACAAAAGCAACAAGAAAAAGAACAGACGAAAAATATTGAAAACATTAAACAAGACGGAAAGTTGTTTAAATGATCCAAATAAAAGGCAGAGATTATAAATTAGATTAAAATTAAGTCCCAACTATGTGCTGTCTACAAAAAAAAACTACTTTAAATGTGAAAATTCATATATGCTGAAAGTAAGAATATGAAAAATAATATAGTACATAAACACAAATGACCAAAATATCTAGAATGGCTATAGTAATATCAGATAGGATAGAGAGAACAAAAAATTTAGCAGCCATAAAAAGACACATTCCATAATGAAAGCGATGACAGGTTATAAAGAGAGCATAAAACTCTTATATGTCCATGAACATAAGAAAGAGTGTCAAAATACTCAAAGCATAAAACCAAGGAGCTGAAAAGTAAAGTAGGTTAGTCCACAGTTATAGCTGGATATTTCAGCCCTCATTATCTTAAACAGCAAATAGACAACAAAATCAATAAAGACATAAAAAATTTGAACGAAGCTATAACCTGACCTTAACAACTTTTATGGAATACTCTACCCACAAATTGCAAAGTACACATTCTTTTCCAAGGTACCCAGATATTTTCAAAGACGTGCCATACTGAAACCATACACATTACATTCTCCATTAGCAGTATAATTAAATTAGTAATAAAGATAAAACTCTAGAAAATTTTCAAATGTGAAAATTAAAGAGCACAATCATAACTGTAGGTTGAAGAAAAATGTCACACAAGAAATTAGAAAGTATTTTTGAATAGTATGAAAATGAAAATACTTGTTAAAAATCATGTGACACAGTTCAGAAAATGCTCAGAGATAAATTCATAGAATTAAATTCTTATATCAGAAAAGATCTCATACCAAAATTCTATACCTCTACAACAATAAACCAGAAAATGAAGAAATTAAATTCAAATAATAAAAAGGAGTATAATAAAGATAATAGAAGATACCAATAAAAGGAAATTTAGAAAAGAGCAAAAAAATAAGAAATAAAACCGAAACTGGTTCTTTGAAAACACACAAAAAAATCATTAGTTATAATTATTAGAGTAGAGAAGATGGAGAGGGAAAGCATTTGGAAGACAGAAACTGAATACACAAATTGCAAATATTTGAAATGAACAAGAGGTCATTTCCTACAAATTATAAATGTTAAAATGATAAGGGACTATTATGAGCAACCATATGCCAATAAATTTGTCAATTTAGCTGTAATAGAATATTTCATATGAAGATTCAAAGTACTGCACGTAAGCAAGATGGCAGACTAGGAGGTCCCAGCCCTTGTACCCTCCAACCCAAAAACAACTTTACAACCATCCACAGATAAAAATCAGTCTGTGAGAGCTCTGGAGTCCAGTTAAGAAGCTGCAGCAACAAGTGAAGCAGAAAAAATTGAGGATAACTGCAAAGAAAGGAGTAGAAAGAAGGGTCTAATTTTACTTGCATTACTCCATTCTTCAGACTAGCAAAGCTCAGCACTGAGAGGAACCCATCAGCTGCAAGTTCCCCAGTGGGAGAAAAGCAGAGCAAGAAAACCACTGAGGACCTCATCTGGCTTAACCAATGCCCCTGTGTCCGGAGTTGGTTCCTTCCAGTGAGTTCGCAGTCTTGTTGACTTCAAGAATGAAGCCACAGACCTTTGCGGTTGAGTGTTACAGCTGTTAAAGGTGGCACGGGCTCGAGGAGTGAGCAGCAGCAACATTTACTGTGAAAAGCAAAAGAACTAAACCCCCACAACACAGAAGGGGGCCCCAGCCGGTTGCCACTGCTAGCTTGGGTGGCCAGCTTTTATTCCCTTATTTGTCCCCACCCATGTCTTGCTGATTGGTCCATTTTACAAAGTGCTGATCGGTCCACTTCACAGAATGCTGATTGGTCTATTTTACAAACCTCTAGCTAGCCACAGAGCACTGATTTGTGTGTTTTTACAGAGTACTGATTGGCGCATTTTACAAACCTCTAGCTAGCCAGAGAGTACTGATTAGTGCGTTTTTACAGAGCACTGTTTGGTGCATGTTACAAACCTCTTTCTAGCTACAGAGCGCTGATTGGTGCATTTTACAATCCCCTTGCTAGACAGAAAAGTTCTCCAAGTCCCCACTCGACCCAGGAAGTCCAGCTGGCTTCTCCTCTCACCATGGTCCCGGATCCCTGCAGCCTTCACTGCTGAGGATGCAGTCTTTGCTGATGTGAGCTTCAGCTGCTGGAGCCACTCAAAACCCATGTTGCTGCACTTCCCTGACGCTGGGGCTCTTGACCTCTCCGTAATTTTGACAGCTGGCACCACTGTACAAACCCAGAACTATTGACCTTGTGCACCCACTGAACTAGCATTGCCATGCGTCTCTGAACCTGCCATCACCACGAAACTTATATAGCCAGTGCCCTCAAGTCTGTCACTGGTTAAGGTCTTTCTCTACTGAAGCTATCTGTAAAGTCTGAAAGAAATGCTTGCTTCTTCAAATGTGCAGACACCAACACAAGGCTATAGGTAACACTAAAAATCAGGGAAATATGAAACCACTGAAGGAACATAATACATTTTCAGTAACCAACCTCAAAGAAATGGAGATCTACGAATGGCCTGACAAATAATTCAAAACAATTGTTTTGAAGTTCACCAAGCTGCAATGGAACACAAATAGATGAATCAGCTATTTTAGGGAAACAATACATGAACAAAATGATAATTCCAACAAGAGATAAAAGTCATAAAAAAGTTCCAAACAGAATTTCTGGAACTAAAAAATACAATGACTGAAATGAAAAATGCAATGGAGCTTCTAAAGCAAACAAGCAGAATAAAGAAGTAGTAAACTCAAAGGCAGGTCATTTGAAATTATTCAGAGAAGAAACAAAAAAATAAAAAAGAGGGAAGAAAGCCCATGGGACTTACGTGACGTGATAAATAAAATCAGAATACGCATAATGGACTTCCCAAAGGAGAAGAGAGAGAAAGGAGCAGAAAGCTTACTGAAAGAAATAGTGACTGAGAACTTCTCAAATCTGGAGAAAGAAATAGACATTCAGATTCAAGAAGCCTGAAGGACCCCACACAGGGTTTTTGAATTTTGAAAGCAACAAGAGAAAAGCAACTCCTCATATAGAAAGGAACCTCCATAAGATTATCAGTGGATTTCTCCTGAGAAAGTGGGAGAGAGTCCAAGAGAGAGTGGGATGATATATTCAAAGTACTGAATGAAAAAAAAAAATGCCAATCAAAAATACTATACCTGGAAAAGCTATCCTTTTAAAATTAAAGAGAGATAAAATATTTCCCAGACAACAAAAACTGATGGAATTCATCACCACTAAACCTTCCTTACAAGCAAAGCTGAAGAGAGTTATTAAAATTGAAATAAAAACATGCTAAATATCATATACATAGGCATATGAAACCATACATCTCGCAGGTAAAGGTAAATATATAGACAAATATGTAGTAACATAACACTGTAATAATGGTGCATAAACTAATGTTAACTCTAATATAAAAGTTAAAAGACAAAAGTATTATGAATAACTATAACTATACGATTTGTTCATGGATATGCAATATAAAAGGAAGTGAACTCTAACTGCAATAACATAGACTGGGTGGGTGAAGCAGAAATGTAGAGTTTTTTAAATGTGATTGAAGTTGTTATAAATTTATGTAGGTGGTTATAACACAATTACAAGATATTTATGCAAACCTCATGATAGCCACAAAAAACTGTGACATATAAACAAATGATAATGAGAAAAAAGGAAAATCATTACATAAATCATCAAATACAAAAGGAAGACAACAAGAGAGGAGAGAAACAAAACAGCTGCAAAACAACTGAATGACACTAGTAAGTCCTTATATATTAATAATTAATTTAAATGTAAATACATTAAACTGCCCAGTCAAAAAGTAGAGAGTCTCTAAATGGATAAAATACAAGATCAAGAGATACACTTTCTATGAGACTCACTTTAGGTGTAGGCACAGATAAACTGACAGAGAAAAAATGGAAAAAAATATCCCACGCCATTGGTAACCAAAATAAAGCAGGAGTGGTTATATTTTTGTATCATAGAAAATAGACTTTTCTTCAAAAACTGTTACTAGGGTCAAAAAAATTGTATGGTGATAAAAGGGTCAAATCAGCAGGAAGATATAATAATGTATATACAGCGAATATCAGAACACCTAAAAATAAAAAGCAAATATTGATAGATCTGTCTATCTATCTATAGATAGACAGAAAAATGATAATATGAGACTACTTCAATACTCCACTTATAATAATGGATAGTCTATCTGGACTCAAAAAAATCAGAAATGAAAGAAAAGACATTACAATGGCTACCTCAGAAATTAAAAAGATCATAAGGAGCTATTACGAACTATACATCAACAATTTAGATAACCTAGAAAAAATGGATAAATTGCAAGAAATATGAAACATATCAAGACTGAATCAAGAGAATTGGAAAGTTGGAAGATACTGATAACAAATAAGGAGATTGAATGAGTATTCAAAAAGTTTTCATAACAAAGAAAAGCCTAGGACCAGGTGGCTTCACTGATAAATTCCATGAAACATTTAAAATATTAACAGCAATCCTTCTCAAACTCTTCCAAAACGTGAAAAAAGAAGGAACACTTCCAAACTCATTTTATGAGACCAGCATTACCCTTATATCAAAGACAAACAAAGCCACCACAAGAAAAGAATGCTACAGGCTAGTATCTCTGATGAACTTACATGCAAAAATCCTCAATAAAATACTACCAATTCTAATTCATCACCACTTAAAAATGATCATACACTCTGATCAAGTGTGATTCATTGCTAAGATGCAAGGATGGTTCAACGTATGCAAATCAATCAATGTGATGTATCAGATTAACAGAGTGAAAGATAAAAACCACCTGATCATCTTGATGGATACAGAAAAAGCTTTTGACAAAATTCAACACCCTTTCATGATAAAACCTCTCAACACATTATATATAGAAGGAATTTACCTTCTATAATAAAGGCCATATATGAAAAAACTGGAACTTAACATTACACTTAATGATGAAACATGGCAGCTTGTTTTCTAAAATTAGAAATGAGAAAAGGATGTTCGCACTATTCATTTTTATTCAACATAGTACTGGAAGTCCTTGCCAGTGCAATTAGATGAGAAAAAGAAATAAAAGCCTTCTGAATTGTAAAGGAAGAATTAAAATAATCTCTCTTTGCAGACAACATGATCATATATGTACAAAACTCAAAAATTAAATACACATACACACACAAGTTAGAACTAATGAATAAATTCCTCACTGACTCAAGACGTTCAAACACAGCTTCTTATCAAAGGTATGCTATACAAAAAGCCACCTTCAATATCAATGAAGAGACAGAAATTGTATGTATCAAAGAACTAAATGGAAATTCCTAAAATTAAAACTGTAATAACCAAAGTAAAAAGTTTCATAGAGGAGAATAGAAGATTTGAACAGACAGAACAAAGAACAAACAGACTAGAAGATAGGTTATTAGAGAGGACACAATCTGGAGAAAGGAAAGAAACAAGAAAAAGAAAAATTCAAAGAGCCTCTGAGAAATATGTGGCCCATTATCAAGCAGTGGAAGGCAATATTTTCTCCTTTTTGAAACAATTACCAACAAAGAGCTGTTTGAATATTATTTCTATTCAATTATCTCTTTTTGCTTTCTCTGGAACACCAATATTAGGGTTCTTAGAACTGTTCATGTATTCCATAAACTTCTTGCTTTCTTATTTCTATGCTTTTTTTCTGTGTGCTTTGGGGTGGGGATTTTTTCATTGGCCTGTCTTCCGCTTAATTCTGTAATCTGACTGGTACAATCTACTGTTCAATTCATCTACTGAGTTCTTATAATAAATTGTAATTTCTAGTTCCAAAATACCCATTTGATAATTTCCAATTCACTGAGGAAACTCTACATTCTCTCTTACATTTTGTACATTTTTCTCTTTTTTTGAAATGTATTTATCATAGTCATTTTTTCATGTACTTTTGCTCCCCTGTCTGGATTATCTTGATGCTATTAAAAATTTCTCCTTCTTCTTTTTTTCCTTTTTCTCTAATAACAGGTAATAATTATTTTACTGTTAGCGTAAATAGAAATGTTTTATTATATGCAGGAAGTTGTGTAGAAAAAAACTGCAGAAGCTCTAGGTGTCTTCACTAGAGATTTTCTCCTCTTTCTCCTGTTAGGAAGATAGCATGAGGAGATGATTACCTAAACCAGTCATGGACTGAACCAGGTCACCGGTAAATGAGTTTTTTATTAACGCTTGGACTAATTCTCTTTTTTTAATACTGCTCAGACGTGGGTCTGCTAGATCCTCAACTAGGAGTCTACCTGACTGTATTTCCTCAGCTTTGAAAGATGTTGGGGACGAATCACTATCACTCAAAGTTTCCACCCCAGCTGTCCAGCCTTTTGCTAAAGAAAGTTCAAAATCAGAGAAGCATCTTAAAGAGACAGTACATATGCTGGAGACAAACCTATGTCTTGTGTCCAAAATATAACATGATTTTAGCTAACTAGTCTTTTTGAGAAAATGCAAGCTAGCTCACCAGCATCCCACAACGCCCTCAAATTCAGCAAATGTGAGTTGGGGGGAAATGGTTACAAATTGAAGGTTCCAAAATGTCTAATGTTTGAATTTAATCCTGTGTAGCAATTAAGAGGATTGGTGGGTTTTTCTCTCGGCAGAGGTCCTCGGACTGGGCTAAGCCTAATCCTTACTTCATATCCCACATCAGCAAGCAAACCAGAGGAAGAAACAGCTGGCAATACTCAACTCGTTTCACAATTGCTTTCCATGCCTGAAATTTAGTTCCTCTAGTCCTCCTTGTTGCTACAGCTCTCTGATGGCTTTAAAATATGATTTTTAAAGTTTAATTGGGATTTCCCCATTTTTTTTAACCTAGGGGAAACATGATTTGCTAAAATTTATTACATCCTACATAGAATTGTAAGCATCTTCTTTATCGTATTTTATAATCAAAGTTCCAAAGGAGTTGAGTGGCAAGTGTTAATAAGCTCTTTTTAGATTTTGAAGAAATTGAAGGGGATAGTGAGAAAAATTCCAAGCTTTCTGAGATCTGACTCCTTCCTCTGTTCTCTGCTTTACCAAGGTAGGCACTGTATCACGTAGACTTCAGACAGAAAATGGGAAACCACACCACTGAGATAGCCACGAATTACTAACAAGATGTAGCTCTCATGACTAGAGTGGAGATCAAATGGAAAAGATTGGAGTTATTGGAACCTAAAGCTTTGGAAAAGGTCCCCTGGTTCTAGGACTCCAACCTTGGAGGAGTGGGTCCAGCCAACTTGGGGTTGTAACCTCTGAAATTTGGTGTAGGGCTCAAAGACCGGGGACTCAGAACTGTGAGTGTAAGCTGTTTGTAGCTGTGCTAGTATCTCTGGGGCTGGCAATACTGTTGGTTCTGGGAGTTCCTAAATATATACAAAAAATAATGCAGAGACTGAAAGCTACTGTTGCTGCCAAGGTGAAAGCTGTTACTGTGGCAGCACTGACATAAACAGGAATCAAACTGTTCGCTTAGGTTTCCAGTCTCTCTCGTTCCTCTATTGACAGAAATGAATACGGAGAGGACTGGCAAAGAATTGCGATTTGTGGGTTCCCATTTTCCATGGGCACAGTAGGGACAGGAAGAGGGCTTGGAATTGAGACCGAGCAAGCTCACACACACACACACCCCCACCCCATCCACAAGTCGTGTCTTTGCTCAGAAAAAAAAACAAAGAGAAAAGTTCCACGAAAATTGCTTAAAGTGATGAAAACTAGAAATACACTGGGAATTACCTTTCTTTAATGGTGATTGTTAATCCTGAAACATGATAGATCTCTGGGTTTTTCTGTCAGTGGTCTCTGACACCGGCAATAACATTTCTACTGCCAGGAACTAAAAATTAATACACAGGATATTTCATTAAGGATTGAGTTTCTTTTCTGAAATTGTAAAAATTTCCTATTCTGTCTCAGATGGAGTCTGAACGTTTTGCTTTTCTTTCTCAGGTGAAGTTTGAACATTTTGCTCTTCTTTCTGATGTGGTTTTTGGCTCTTACTAAGCAAAATTAACAAATGTAAACAGAGACACACAGGAATTAATAAAAGTAGTATCAACAAAATTTTCTTGTGCAATCATAGTTTTGTTTTTTTCCTAGGGGATGGGCCACTGTCAACACTTCCTCCTGTGCCTTTTAACAGGCAGTAGGGTGGGGCCCACTTATAATTGCAATGACGATGTCTATTGTTGCAGATGCCTCTCATATTACAGGTCTCAGGTGAGCAAGTACTTTCCTCAAATGGCAGAGGGACACACTTCCTATGTGTACACACATGTTTTGAACCACACTCTGTGCCATCTTTCATTTCACCAATATCAGGTATGGTCATTCCAAAATGGTAGTCAGTACTCCAGCAGTTGATGCCGTTGAAGTGAGCCCAATGCATCATAGAATGATCTCTCGGAATGGGAATTTCTGTCACATTCTCACACTGAACTCTCCCACACAGGATATCTGAAATATTACATCTTACATATTTAGTGTTATTGAAACCACAGTGGCCAAACAGTCACCGTCGGTGTTCACCCTGTAGCAACTCTGATTTGCACTCTTGGCTACCTTCTCAAAAATGTGTTTACACTGTCCATCATGGTTTCTACATGCCTTTTGACAGCGGTAGCCACTGTCCATGCAACCAAGGCCATCCTGCACATACACATCTTCTGGACAATTATGCAAAGTTCCATCGCACCTCTCTGAAAGATCACATTCATTGTGCTTTTCTCTACACCAGTGTCCTGATGGAAGAAACTGTCAGTCTTTGCAACAAAGTCCAAAAGCGCAAGCAGCCCCAGGTTTCAGAGTACAGTTTGCCAAACAACACAGATCTTGAGTACACAAGAATAAAGATCCACAGTCACACTCCTCTCCTTCCTCAAACACACCGTTCCCACAGTACTTGTGTGTGAAGATGTTCTCTGGATTTGGCGAACCACGCAAACAGGTCGTTTTCACAGTGGTTGCGAACAACATCTCGTAACAGCAGTTGCTGAACCTATATGTGATGTTTACTGTCGGACACATTATGCATATTTTCTCCGCACATGTACATGGGATTCTATCATGTGGCGTACCCAAAGTATGGCCAAGCTCATGTGCCATAATGAATGCAAATCTAAGCATTTGGTCATCCAGGAAACTAACAACTCCACAATTACCAGCAAGACTACATCCTGTTCCGAGGTAGGATAAGCCAGCAAATCTACCATATCCTTTCTTCACAATAAGATGTACAGCATCATGTTTTATGTGGGAATTTAAGCTGACCTTCTTCCATTTGCAAAATTCTGGCAGGACTGCATATAGGTCATTTATTGCTATGGGGTTTCCTTCGATCGAAATCTCAATTCCAAGTAAAACCACAACAACTTCTACTGAAGAATAAAAGGCATCTACTTCATTGATAATAAGGCTTACATCCTTCTGCACATTTGAAATATTCCTTTTCTGATAAAGGAATCGTGTGCGGTCTACCACCACTGCCAGTTCAAGAAGCCATCTGTGGGTCCGCTAGCCCTCATAGGTGCTTTGCATCAGAGTGGAGTTATCACTGTCTTGAAACTTCAATTGTCGTGCTATTTCTTCTTCTGTTAATCCACATCCTAAGGGTGGGAATTGCGTCTCCTTGCTATCTAGCTTATACACCAGATGTTCAAATGTGGCAGAAAGCCTTTGGGCTTGATTTCATAAACAACATCATTTACTCGTGGTATTCCTTAAAAGACCCCAAAACAGGTGCTGAGAGCAACCAGGGACTCTGGGTCCCCTTCCATATAACCATGGTAGTAGCAATCACTTTGGACAAAAGGTTGGTTCTCAAGGAGAGCACCCTGATCAGTGTAACTGAACACAGAAAGGTATCTGGATATCAGATTCTTCTTGGCCTTCATGTGGACAATGTGTCTCTGTTCCCCAAAGCACAGGCTATATGAGAGCCAGCCTGGAAGCTTTATGTTTCTACCAATGCCAGTTATCCTGACAGGTATCACCACTTCTGGGGGGCTGTGGTATTGACAGTGTGCAATCTGGGGCCATCCAGAAAGGAATAGAAACACTCCCAGACAGAGCAGCAAGAGAGTGATCCTCGCCTGCACCGGGGGATCGCCTACAGCCGTTATGGAGCCACCATGATGGAGCTATATGGATGAGACCAAAGGAGGGCAGGGCAGGAGGAACTGTTGGTATCTCCCTCTCTTTGAGTCATTTGTATGCCACACTGACCTTCACAGTCTGTCTTCTGGCAGACTCGACCCATCAGAGCAGCAGAACTAAATAGAAAAACAAGAAGGAAAGGGACAAGGGTGATGCTATGAACAGGCCATGGTGGAGGACAAAAGCAGGGTATGGGTGAAAATGAATTAATGTTTCGCTCAAGACATGACTCGATATACTGTCTTGGATTTGCGCTTATATTTGGGGAGGCAGAGTCAGACTTGGTGTACAAAACAATGACAATTGGCCACAGGTTGATAATTTCTGAACCTAGACGAAGGGTACATGGATTCATTAGGTTGTTCTCTAAATCTATAAGTCTGTGTGTATGTGTGTGTGTGTACATTTCCACAATAAATATTTAAAGTAAAAGGATCTTAATGAAAAGAGAAACATTCATATGGGTTTGAATCTTGATTTATGGATTTATATATATTGACTTGGAATACATAGCAATAGTTCTTCCTTTTGATAATAAATTATGTAGTTACATTATGCAGGAGAGATATATTAAAAAATACATCTTTTTTTTTCTCATGGTCCCTAATACATACTTCCATGCAACAAACCATTACTTGTTCCATCTTCATCTAATTTTGTCAAACTGCAAAGTTTCAAAGTATCAATCGTCCTGCAAAAATAGTAGCATGACCATGAGCAGTGGGTCATGCCTGGAATCCCAGCACTTTGGGAGGCTGAAGTGGATGGATCACTTGAAGCCAGGAGTTCGAGACCAGCACGTGGCCCTGCCCAACTACAGGTCCCAAACTCAGAGACCAGCACGTGGCCCTGCCCAACTACATGTGCCAAACTGCATTCTGGCCAGCCAGGAAAGACAACCTCCACCACTGCCCAGTCAGAGGCAATCACAGCCCAGTCGGCAGATCTGCCTTGCTGCTGAGGTCAGCCTGTGGTCTCACCAAAGCACAGAGCTAAGCTGAGCAGGTCTCACTGCACCACAGAGCAGTTCCACTGAACCCCAGAGCATAATTAACATCCCAGCCAAACTAGAGAACATAATAGTAAAGTCTACCGTCTGAAGTTGCCACCAACTGGCCCCATCACAGTCTCTGACTGGATTAAATAACGAAGGTCTTCCACCATCAGAGAACACCAGCAAAAGCTGGAAAGGTTGGCCATTTCCTCAAATGCACAGGCACCAATGCAAGACATAAAGACTATGAAAAATCAGAGTGAAATGACAACACCAAAAGAAACTAATAAAGTTCCAATAATAGACCCTGAAAAAGCGGAGATCTATGAAATGACAAAGAATTCACAACAATCCTCTTAAGTTCAGAGAACTACAAGAAAATAAAGATAGAAAATTAAATAAAATTTGGAAAATAACTTATTGACAAAATGTTTGATAAAGTGGAAACAAAAAAAAACAGAAATCCTAGCTATAAAAAATACAGTAAACTAAAATTTTCAATAAAAAGTTTCAACAGCAGGCTTAATCAAAGAAGAAAGAATCAGTGCACTTGAAGATAAGACATTTGAAATTTTCTAGTCAGAGGAGTGAAAAAAAATGGAGAAGGCCTATGGGATTATGGAACCCTATCAAGAGAACTAACTTATGCACGATAAGAATTCCTGAAGGAGAAGTGAGAGAGAAAGCCCTAGAAAGCATATTTAAGAGAATAATGGCTTGAAAGTTTCCAAATCTGGGGAAAGATGACAACATCGAGGTATAGGAAACTCAGAAGTCTCCCTTTAAATTCAACCTAAAGAGGAATTCACCGAGACATATGATAATCAAATTATCAAAAATCAAAGACAAGGAAAGAATACTGAAAACAGCAAGACATAAGAAACATAAGGCCGGGTACAGTGGCTCACGCCTGTAATCCCAGCACTTTGGGAGGCCGAGGCAGGCAGATCACGAGGTCGGGAGTTCGAGACCAGCCTGACCAACATGGTGAAACCCCGTCTCTTCTAAATACACAAATTAGCAGGGTGTGGTGGCGCGTGCCTGTAATCCCAGCTACTCAGGAGGCTGAGGCAGGAGAATTGCTTGAACCGGGTAGGCAGAGGTTGCAGTAAGCTGAGATCACGCCATTGCACTCCAGTCTGGATGACAGAGTGAGACTCTGTCTCAGAAAAAAAAAAAAAAAGAAATAAACATAATGTATGCAAGGGAGTTCCTTGACGACATCACTACTCTCGTAATGAAGACGGCAGATATCCTGTGAGTCAAGGCTGAAGCAGTTGGCAGGAGATTAGTACCTGCCTCAAATATGCTTCCCGCTAGATAAATACACTATTTCAGTACTTAGGACAACTTGTCCTTAACTTTGTGATTTCAGAGATGTTAGTGGAAATGTAGCTGGAAAGACAGCAAGACAATCCTTAGGCATTTGTCAAAACTATCTGTCAATGAAATGAAATGTGTTACAAGCCTGTAAAAATACAGAAGGGAAAATGCTTGGGATACTTATTTAAAAGGCAAATTTTCTTTTAGTTTGTAAAATAAAGTAAATATTTTAAAAGACAAATTTTCTAACTTTCCTTTATCTATTTCTAACATGCTGCCTAATTTTTTCTCCTAAGGGATTAAAAAAACTTCCTTATGCTTAGTTTAAAAGAGAATATAATACAAAGGGGGCAAAGATTCAAACAAAATTTAAGAAAAAATAAAGTAAATTTGAACTGTTCATCCCATCTGGCAGCCCTGTGATTAGTGATACTAAGGGGCGTGTGGAGGGGTGTGACTGGTGAATTGCAATCATTGCTTTCTATCTGGTGTTGACGCAGGTGTCAAAAACCAGTTGACAAGTCATGTGTGTTGGGCAATTCTTTTGATAACTTAGTTCAAGTTTCTCCTCTTAGCAAACACCTAAGTGAAAAACACTGTAAATATCCACTAGCTGGAATGCCTGAAGGCTAATCAGTTTTTGCTCCATGTCCTGTATACACTGCATCTCAGCAGATGGTTGAGATAAAGGGTGCAGAATGGGATATGCTCTCTTATTCAGAGACCCACCCGTGACAAATTCTCTGCTATACACAGTTAAGAGTAGTTTGATGCCATCCTGCAAATAAATGTCAGGCTAATAATAAATAATGTCTCTAGGAAAATCTATAAGACCTAAACCACTTTCCTTAAAATAAATCTTAATCGTGGTAACTTGATTTTATGAGAGTGAAAGAAACGCTATTGGATTCTGAAAGAAGCTGACATATGGCTGGCGCTTAAAAATTAAACTTTGTAATAAAGGAATAATGAATTATTGGGGTTTTGAGGTTTTCAAAAATAAATGTAGGCTTATAATGCTTAGAAAATTCTTTTAATGTAATTGCATGGGTCATTACCCAATCCGTAGAGAACGATGGGCTTTCTAAACACCATACTGATGGATAAAACTTACACAGTCTCTGCTCTCCAAAAGTTTGCAGTTGAAAATTGTGGTCAATTAAATCAACATGTAGGACAACATTTGGATATGAAACTCTACAGCAAACACAGGAAAAATACGGCAAGATCCACACGCTTGAATCCCCTTTCAAACACGGTAGTTGATTTTATATAAATAAAATGTTTTATTCCCACCCATCCGCTTACCCCTAAAGAAAGCAAGCATAGTCAACCTCATTTCCATTTAAATTAATAAATCTGAACACAGAATTTTTTAAGTCTCATGTATTCAATAGAAAATAGTAAGCAATGCAATGGTCACCCATAAAGTGTCCATTTTAAAGTAACGGGTAATCCTCAAACGAAACTTTAAAATAGGGAAAAGTAAAATTCAATGCTGTGCCAAGTTATTACTGGAATTCACGAGGAAAAAATGAAAGTAATTTCATTGGGTTTGATTGAGAGAAACACTGTACCAGGCTTTTCCCAGAATATGTTTTGACAATCCCTGTTGCATTTGATTTTTAAGCTCATATGTATTGCAAAGAAAATGAAATCCGTATGTTTCTAATTCACTTACAGTCAACTCATCAAATGTGTGCTGTAGGAGTACTTGAAGTTGGGCAGCTTCTAAACCATATTTCATCCTTGCTAAATAGAGCTCAAAGACAGAATTGGCTTATGTTTAACTCTATAATTAATTTTTATGCTATTGGAGGAATGTCACTGAACTCACATGTTTTAATATGTGTTTTAACCTCCTCTTGGAAATAGGCAAGCAGTATAAAATTTTTAGCTAAATAAATCCTCACTGTCCTTTCTGCCTATTGCCTTTTTATTTCCATTGTTTTTCAAGACAAACAAAAGGAATTAGACTTGCAAAGAAAAATCTGTTCTCTCCTCAAGGAACATAATGTATGTGATTACTTCTCTCCCTAAGTCTTCATGTAAATAATAATGCTAGTCAGCAATGGAGCAGAGTCATTCTCATTTCTAGTTCTTGGTCAGACTTTTATTCAGAGGATTTTGGCGAGAGTTTGATTACTGTCTATAATCGCTCAGCTGCAATGTTAGCAGCATGAAAATAGTGACTGTGTTGTTCAGTTTTGCATTCTCACATCTGGCTTGACACCTAGCTGGTCCTTTCAAGGTGACTGGCACCCTGCCCAGTGTTCTTTGTTCCTCAGTGGAGTGCGAATGGGCTTTACCATCCATTTGTTTTAAGCAGGCATGTTTGAGGATAAAATAAAGATGTAATGCTAAATCTGACACTCGGTTTTGCGGATTTAAAACATTTTAACTACTCCAGTCATTATAACATAAAAGTTCTTCAGTCTTTCAAAGCTGCTGTATTATAACCCCAATGGGATTCAGGAGAGTTACCGAATGAAAAATCCAGTGCACATCTTTACTGTGGCATCAGGAACGTTCCACACTGCCCCCTGAAATAAGTTTCTTTCTCAAAGACAGTGTTTCTAAGATCGGGGCTTTCTCTGTCCTTTCTTCAATCACTCAGTGGTGGCTGGAATTCAGCCCCAATACAGTCAGCTGTCTCCTAGTTTGTGAATCTTTGAGGTAAGGACTTTATAAAATATATATTTACCACATTAGGCTCTTTTCTCCATTATACTGATTCCACAGATGACCCCACAATTATTTTCCAGTCCATTGTAAAGGATACTTTATTATTAATTTTCTTCCAGTGGGGCTTAAATTGGCAGTAAGATATAGAAAAAAAAAATAAGTATTTAAGGTTAGACGCACCTGACTTACAAGATAAGCTATGCAGCCTTGGATAAATAGCTCAACGCCTCTGAACTTCGATTTAGTTACTTCAAAAGTGATCCAAATAGCTAGTTTAGCTGCCGTGCACGGTGGCTCATGCCTGTAATCTTAGCACTTTGGGAGCCTGAGGTGGGTGGATCACTTGCAGCAAGGAGTTCAAGACCAGCTTGGCCAACATGGCAAAACCCCTCTCTACTAAAAATACAAATGTTAGCCAGGCGTGGTGGCACATGCCTATAATCCCAGCTACACGGGAGGCTGAGGCACGAGAATTGCTTGAAATCTGGAGGCGAAAATTGCAGTGAGCCAAGATGATGCCACTGTACTCCAGCGTGGGCAACAAAGTGAGGCTCTGTCTCAAAAAAGAAAAGAAGAAGAAGAAGAAGAAGAAGAAGAAGAAGAAGAAGAAGAAGAAGAAGAAGAAGAAGAAGAAGAAGAAGAAGAAGAAGAAGAAGAGGAGGAAGAAGAAGAAGAAGAGGAAGAAGAAGAAGAAAAGCTAGTTTAAAGATTGTAACACAGGCTAGGGGCGTGGCTCACACCTGTAATCGCAGCACATTGGGAGGCCGAGGCAGGAGAATTTCCTGAGCCCAGGAGTTTGAGACCAGTCTGGGCAGCATACGGAGACCCTGTTTCTACAAAAAAATTTTTAAAAAAGCCAGGCATGGTGGTACACACCAGTGATCCAAGCTGCTTGGGAGGCTGAGGAGAGGGTAGCTTGGGCCCGAGAGGTCAAGGCTGCAGTGAGCTACGTTCACGCCATTGCACTCCTGCCGAGGTGACAAAGTAAGACTCTGTCTCAAAACAAACAAACACAAAAATTAAAAATAAATAAAGATTGTAGTACAAATTAAATGAGGAAAAAACCCACAGTGCCTAATACATAATTGATTCTCATAAATATTAATGTTTTCTCTCTACTCTGACAGCCTGAAGACTATCCCATCTACCTGTACTGTCATTTTTATTATTTCAGTGCATTTTTGTCAGGTATAAGCAGGGTAATATATTAGGCGACTCGAACGTTGCAGCGAAGAAAAGAGACGTGATCACCTTCTTTTGGGGCTTCAAACGGGGTGGAGGAGAGAGACATTAAACAACTGCACAATTAAATATACATGTACAAAGTATCACGTACTATAAAGGGAAAGTAGAGTACTATGAGCATTGTTACTCCCAGACACGTACCTCCTGCTTGGCCAGCTTTTTCCGGGGAAATATCAGGATTCATAACATCCAATAAATTTTCATCGTCCTGGCTACAGTCACATGGGATGCTTTGAAATCCAATTTGATTTTTATGAAGTGGGGAGGGATCAATACCCGTGTTTATCAAACATACATGCCACGTACAAAAGAGTGTGGGATCCACATTAAAAGGTCAGCATAAAGAGAGACTAACATTATCATTAGTATTTATTTATTAAGAAACTGATAAATTATTTAAAAGTTCACACCTAGAAGGCTGTATGATGCATCTGTTTTCACTAGGGATATCCTATGCGCAAGATTTTTGTTATCAATAGAAAGCAGACAGTAGCCTTCATATTTTGCTGCCAAGGAAAGATGGTGGTCTTGTCGATTTTGTTGACAATGATTTGGAATTCAGAAACAAGATCATGAGTGGTGATCAGAGACCCAGACCAGCACACACGGCACAGAGTTCCCTTCACATAGCTGAATCATGATTGTAAATAATGTGCTCAGCTGGGTTCTGGGCTATGTGAAGTAGAATGTAGAAGACAGAGAATACTCACCCTTTCTCCAATATAGGCGTGATCAAAAACAGGTAAGAATGATCTGTGTACTTTTCAGCTTGCCCTCTGTGTCTCTTCCCTAAGCCCCTGGAGCCAGGATATTATTTAAAGCTAAATACCTGAGTCTGCTCAAAGTGATAAATGTTCTCAAGCAAGTGAAGGAGGATTTTATTTTGTTATTTATAGTTCTAAAAATAAAATTGTATTTTAAAAATGTGGAACATACAAAAAAGAAAAAATCCCAGATTTTCATTATACCAACATACATGTCATTCTTACATATTTCCTTTTCCCTCTTCCCATATTACATAAAGGTAATACATACTATTTGGTCTCCTGATTTTCTACCATTTTACTAACCGAGGCATTTCTCCTCTTGCAATTTTGTATTTTTCAACATCACATTTAATGGCAGCTGGTATTTCCCTGGCTAGATGTGCATCTTGATGTCATTAATCCTTCCCCTTGTGCTGGAAAATTAAATTGCATCCAATATTTTTTGTTACTACAAATAACACCATAAAAATTCCTCTTGCATGTAGGTTGTTTTTCTTATTTAGGATAATATCCTTAGAGGTCCCAAAAGGGAGACTTCCAGGGGAAAAGTTTGGGCAAAAATATTATGCCACATTGTTTTCCAAAGATTGTGTCTCTTTCAACAGACTTCAGAAAGATTTGAGAGCATCAGCTGCACTTCTTTCTTTCTCATCTTGCTTATTACCTTGTTATTTTATTTTATTAACTTTCTACTTGGAAATAGTCACAGATTCGCAAGAAGTTGCAAAGAAATGGACAGGGAGATCCCATTCAACTTTCACCTAACCTCACCAGATGTTAACATCTTGTATAACTATAGCACAGTTTTGCTAGGAAATTGACATTGGTACAATCCACAGAGCTTTAGATTTCACCAAACATGTAACCCTTTGTGTGTGTGTGTGTGTGTGTGTGTGTGTGTGTGTTTGTGTGTACCCACATCTCTATGCAAATTTATCACGTGTGTAGCTTCACATATCCAATACCACAATCAAGATGCTTTACTGTCCCCAAAGGCTCCTTCCTATTACCCCTTAGTAGCCACATCCACACGTCTGTTCCCATCCCTAAACCTTGGCAACCATTAACCTGTTTTCCATCTCTATAATTATGTCATTTCAGAAATGTTGAGACTGGCAGGAAGCAGCCAAATGCCTAGGTAGATGGCGTAGGTCCCCAGTGAAACACCACATCCAAACTGGACAGTTTAAAGCCTGAAAGCCAAGCTACAGGCTAAATCCTCGGACCAGATTGAGAACTTGTCTTCCTGTTTGGTGCGCTTTCCTGATCAATCCCTACCCTTCACCTATTTTACATATACCTACCCTTTCCTAATTGGTTTTCTACTCTGTTGTGCCCACTTTTGAGTGGTGTCTTTGCTTCAACCTTTTTTCCATACTCACAAACCAATCAGCACACACTCCCCATTCAGAGTCCATAAAAGGCCCTAGACCCAGCCATACAGGGAAGTTTCCCACCGTCAGGTAGCGGAACCCCCCTCACTCCCTGTATCCTCTCTTTGCTGAGAGCTTTCCTTTCACTTAATAAATTCTGCTCCACTCATTCTCCTCCACTGTCTGCACATCTAATTCTTCCTGGTTGCGAGACAAGAGCTAGGACCTAGCTGAGCTAAGGAGCAGAAAGACCAAAACAATATTACATAATGGAATATAGCAATATATATCCTTTGAGTTGGCCTTTTCTTCACTCCACATAATTTCCTGGAAGTTCACCCAAATGGTTGCATGAATCAGTAGTTTGTACCTTTTATTGATGAATAGTGTTCTATGGCAGGTATGTACCACAGTTTTTTTAGCCATTCACCCTGTAAAGGACATTTGGTTAATTTCCAATTTCAGGCTATAATGAATAAAGCCTCTGTAAACATTTATTTACAAGTTCTTCCTGCAAATGAGTGTTCATTTCTGTGGGATGAATACTGAAGAGTGCAATTGCTGGGTCATAGGGTATATTGTGTGATTTGTTTTACAAAACACGGCCAAACTGGTGGTTGTGGCATTAAACATTTCTACCAGAAACCCATGAGTGATCCAGTTTTTCTGCATCCTTGCCAGCAGTTTGTGTTATCACTATTTTTTATTTTAGCCATTCTGATAGTTATATAGTGATATCTCATTATGATTTCAATTTGCAATTCTCTAATGACTACTGATGTTGAATGTACTTTCATGTGCTTATTTGGCATCTGTAGATGTTCTTTACGAAATATCTATTCATGCCTTTTCTCCATTTTCCAATGGATATTTTTAAATATTCAGTTTTGAGAGTTCTTTATATATTGTAATATAGGTCCTTTGTTGGACACGTGATATGCAAATATTTTCTCCTAGTTTTTATAATTTTTATTTTCATCTTTTTAACAGGGTCTTTCCCAGAAGAAAAGTTTTTAATTTTACTAGACTTCAATTTACATTTTTAAACTAATGAATTATGTTTTTATTGTCAAGCCTAAAAATCTTTGTGTAGTCCTAGTTCTCAGATTGTCTCCTATTTTTTCTAGAAGTTTTATAGTTGTTTTTTTTTTTTTTTTTCCTGAGACAGAGTGTTGTCCTGTCGCCCAGGCTGGAGCGCAATGGGGCATGATCTCAGCTCACTGCAACGTCTGCCTCCTGGGTTCAAGCAATTCTTCTACCTCAGCCTCCCGAGTAGCTGGGATTACAGGCACATGCCACCATGCCCAGCTAATTTTTGTATTCTTAGTAGAGACTTGGTTTCATCATGTCGGCCAGGGTGGTCTCGAACTCTTGACCTCATGATCCGCCCGCCTCGGCTTCCCAAAGTGGTGAGATTACAGGTGTGAGCCACTGCGCCCGGCCCCGTTTTATAGTTTTATATCTTACTTTTAACTCCATGACTTATACTGAGTTACATGTTGTATAAGGTGTGAAGTTTAGGTTATAGTTTTCTTTCTGTGAATGTCCAATTCTTCCAGTACCATTTATTTAAAATGCTATCTCTCTTCCATTGAATTGATTTTGATCCTTTGTCAAAAATAAATTTGATCCATATTTGTGTGGATCTGTTTCTGAATTTATATTCTGTTCCACCGATATGTGTTTATCCTTCTGCCAGAGTCACAGTCTTTGTCAGTTTAGCTATGTAGTAAGCTGTAGGTTCAGGAAAAGTGATTACTTTCAATTCATCCTTCTTTCTCAAAATTGTTTTGGCTATTCTAGGCCTTTCCCTTTTCTATATAAATTTTAGAATCATCTTGTCTTTGTGTACAAAAAGCCTTGCTAGATTTTGATAGGAGTTGTCTTAAACCTATGGATTCATTACTAGTTTGAGTTTCCTAATCCATAAACATAGTATGTCTCTCCAAGTATTGAGGTCTTCTTTGGTTTCTTTAATGAGCATTGGAATTGTATTATTTAGATCTAGTATATGTTTTGTTAAATTTCTACGCAAGTATTTTGTTTTCTTTGCAGTAATTGTAAGTGGTGTTGCATTTTTAATTTGGTTTGTATATAGAAATGTAATTGATTTTTATGGGTTGATGTTGTATTCTGTTACCCTACTTAACTATAAATTCTAAAATTTTTTGTAAATTCCCTGGTATCTCCTTTATAGACAATCCCCTCATCTGCAAATAGATACAGCTTAATTTCTTCCTTTTTAAGCTGCATGCCTTTTATTTCTCTTACCTTATTGTCACGGCTAGAACTTTTAGTAAAATGCTGAGTAAGAATGGTGAGAGCGTATATCCTTGCCTTGTTCCCAATCTTACAGAGAAAGCAATTAGTCTTTCACCAATAAGTATTATGTTAGCTGTAGATTTTTCAGAGATGCTATTTATAAGGTTGAGGACATTTTCCTATGTGACCATTGTATAGAAAGGTTTTTTTTTTTTTTTTGAGACGGAGTTTCACTCTGTCGCCCAGGCTGGAGTGCCACGGTGCGATCTTGGCTCACTGCAACCTCCACCTCCTAGGTTCAAGTGATTCTCCTGACTCAGCCTCCCAAGTAGCTGGGACTACAGGCGCCCACCACCACAACCAGCTAATTTTTGTATTTTTAGTACAGATGAGGTTTCTCCATGTTGTCCAGGCTTGTCTCAAACTCCTGACCTCAAGTGATCCACACTCCTGGGCCTCCCAAAGTGCTGGGATTACAGGTGTCAGCCATGGCACGTGGCCGAGAGGTTTTTTAAAATCATGAATTGTTGTTGAATTTTTCTTCAAATGCTTTTGTTGCATCAATTGATACAATCACGTAATTTTTCTTCTTTAGCCTGTTGATATGGTGGGTTACACTGACAGATTTTTGAATATTGAACCCACTTTGCATGTCTGATATAAATTCTATTTTGTCAAGGTGTTTTATTCTTTTTACATATTGTTGAATTGCTAAAATTTTGTTGAGCATTTTTGCATGTAAGTTCGTGAGAGTTATTGGTCTACAGTTTTCTTAGTCTGGTTTTGTTAGCAAGGTAATGATGGCCTTGTAAAAGGAATTAGGAAATATTCCTACCTCTTTCTGGAAGAGATTGTGCAAAATTGAAGTTAATTATTTAAACATCTGATAAAATTCTCCAGTGAAAGATTTTAAAATACAAATTCAATGTCTTTATAGTTATAGGACCATTTGTGTTATCTATTTCAGCTTTTTTGAGTATTGGTAGTTTTCGGAGTGTGGGAAAGCCGGGAAGGAAAAGCTTTTGGGTGAAGGTAATATTACTACAGTGGTAGGCATATTACACTTGAAAGTCAGCTCCAGGTTAAACACTCAGGACCAGATCCCACTTGTTACTTTTTTTCACCAATAGAGTTTCCAAACTCACTGATTTTCTGAAGGATCTGTTTTTTTTTGAGACGGAGTCTCGCTCTGTCGCCTAGGCTGGAGTTCAGTGGCACGATCTCGGCTCACTGCAAGCTCCGCCTCCTGGGTTCACGCCATCCTCCTACCTGGGTTCACACCATCCTCCTACCTCAGCCTCCCGAGTAGCTGGGACTACAGGCGCCAGCCATCACGCACAGCTATTTTTTTGTATTTTTAGTAGAGACAGGGTTTCACCATGTTAGCCAGGATGGTCTCAATCTCCTGACATTGTTACCCGCCTGACTCGGCCTCCCAAAGTGCTGGGATTACAGGCATGAGCCACCATGCCTGGCCCTGAAGGTTCTATTTTTATTCCTGTGTTTCTTTTTCAACAGTACACGTGACTACAGACAGCTGAGAGTGGGTAAGTGTGGCAGTAGCTATCAGTCTATATACGTAGTTTGGAAGTCAGTATCTGGTTTTATAATTTTAATGTGTGCTGATACAGGCGCCCCACCAATGGGAATCTGACACACTGCAAAACTCCCAGTTTTATTGCACGACCCCCTCCAAGGTGCACATAAACTGAGTCATGTACAGATACTGGACAGTGACAGAGTAGCCAAGCATCTGCCACACAATAGACTAAGGAGGAAAAATTCAACATCCCTTAAAACCCAATAAGCACTTCAAAAGACAACTCTAGGAAATTTGCTCTTCATTTTAATTTAAGAATACTGATTCCAGGCTGGATGCAATGTCTCACGCCTCTAATCCCTACACTTTGGGAAGCTGAGGCAGGAAGATCACTTGAGCCAGTTTGAGGCCAGCCTGGGAAACATGGTGAGAACCCGTATCTATAAAAAATAAACAAAATTAACTGGGTGTGATGGCATGTGCTTGTACTTCCAGCTACTCTGGAGGCTGAGGTGGGAGGATCGCTTGAGTCCAGGAAGTCAAGGCTGCAGTGAGCCATAATCACACTACTGAACTTCAGCCTGGGTGACAGAAGAAGACCTTGTTTCAAAAAAAAAAAAAAAAAATACTGATTACAAAAAGAAAAAAAAAAGGCTGAAATTTCTTTCTCAGGAACCTGATGTAAATGTTGAGAAAACTGTTGCTGGATTTTGGGAGGGGCAGGTCCCTGTTCCGTGTCCCTCTTTCAGCAGCATCAGAATGTTTTGGCCAAGAGTTTCTCAGTGCCACACCCTTGGAACCACGGTCACAGGCTTTTCCAATGTTTCCAGCCTCTGTGGCACCCGTATCCCAGACACAGATTTTAGTCACTCAAACCTTTGGCTTTTTAATCAGATCGTTGGCAAAGTTGCTATTTGCTGCTCACAAAGAATCCTGTCTTTGTGAAAAGCACACCTATAGATTTAGAAAGGTCTTTTCCCATTGTGGTTTCATGTGTAACGTGTCTTAGCAAATATTCACAGCATAGGTGCTACCCTCCAGAAGTAAATATGACCATCTACATTCATGAGGAATCAATTTTGTTAAGCCTGCTGGAAGAACACAGGACCCAAGGCTGTCAACCATGCTCAAGCCTGGTTGTGAGTAGTCATTAGACCATCAAGTGATCAAGGACCCTAGCTGGTCATAAATACCAGCCAGGAGTATCCAAAATCATCCTGTCTCATTTTACAATCACTTACACATTACTAAGTCAGTTCTTGGCCAGAATACTTTTAAAAATAGAATCCAGCTTTTATAGGTCACCATATTGGAGATTTTATTTTTAGTTTCAGAAGAATAAGACACTGGTGACTGTTGCAATTCCAAACATCACACATTGTAGGGGTTTGATCCTATAATGTTATAAACATTATAGAAATTTGATCACCATAATGCCACATAATTACCAGACTCTAGAGCTTGTATTTTATTCACCCTTTTGTTGTTGTGTTTAAGACATTTACAAAATAAGAATATTTGAATATTTAAATGAGGGATCCACTTCTAACTTTTTTTTTTTTTTTTTTTGAGACAGGGTCTCACTCTGTTGCCCAGGCTGGAGTGCAGTGGCTTGATCCTGGCTCACTGCAACCTTCACTTCCTGGGTTCAAGTGATCCTTCCACCTCAGCTTCCCCAGTAGCTGGGACTACAGGCATGCATCACCATTGTGGCTAATTTTTGTATTTTTTGGTAGATACAGTTTCACCATGTTGGCCAGGCTGGTGTCAAACTCCTGACATCATGCAATCCATCCACCTCAGCCTCCCAAAGTGCTGGGATTACAGGCATGAGCCACTGTGCCAGGCCCTCTAACATTTTTATTCAGACTTACTTTTGCTCTTTCCTGGTAGATCTTTTTGGTATTATTTTATAAAATGAAAGGCAAAACGGTGAGACACCTATTCTTTAATTAATAAGTTTATTAGCAGATAAGCTTACAGCAAAAATAATAGCAGATAAGCTGAAAGTGTTCAACATCCGTAGGTATGGTGACATGAAAAAGTTTGAATTTATTTCATCTATCACCTTGCACAGTGTGGCAAGTGGAAAGAGGCACTGTAGGTGCCAATCCAGCAATTACAGCTGGTTAAGCCTAAAACTACAAGAAAATATTCCCAATTTCTTCTTCCATGAACACATGTATCTTGTTTTGGATTATATTTTTCCACTGCATTTTGACCTTCATAAATATTTTTCAAGTCTGCTCTTTCTGTCCATATTATTATGTCTTTCTATTCCATTCTGGGAAGGAATGGGATCTGGAGTAGAAAGATGCCTCTGATTTCCCCAGGCAGAGAGAACACACCAAGGAGAAAGGTTGCGTTAGTGTTTTACCACCCTTTAAAATCGGTGCTTCCCAAGGGTCTGACCGAGACACTTATTAAAATTACTAATTCTCAATCTGGGCCTTTGAAGAGTCTTATTTGATAGGCTTAAAGTGGTACCCAGGGACTTCTCTCTCTCTCTCTCTTTTTTTTTTTTTTGAGATGGGGTCAAGCTCTGTCACCCAGGCGGGAGTGCAGTGGCACAATCATAACGCCCCGCAGCCTTGGCCTCACCGGCTCAAGCAATCCTCCGGCCTCAGCTTCCTGAGTAGCTGGGACTGCAGGTGTGAGCCACTGAATCGAGCTAATTTATTTTTTATTTTTTATTTTTATTTTTAGAGATGCAGTCTCGCTATATTGCCCAGGTTGGTCTTGAACTCCTGGTCTCAAGCAACCCTCTCACCTCGGCTCCCCGAAGTACTGAAATTGCATGCATAGGCCACTGCGCCCAGCCGGTCCTCTCATTCCTTAAGCTACTGGGACACTGTTGTCATCAGGGCAGTTTAGGATGAATTAAAGTAGGTTCAAAGAACACCTTTAAAGGATCAGGACCACCGAGGGAGGCTGTAGAGGTTGTAGTCTGCCCAGCCAAGTAGGGAGGAGTGGGACTGAAATTTTACCAGCCCTGATGGCCAAAAGGTTCTCATTGGCAAGACTGTGGGGAAACCTGAGAAATAAGGGCTCTTAAATTGGTCCACCCACCGGAGGCACCTTTTTCTCATTGGCACCACGCTGCGTGTGTGTCAGCTACTGGCCCGATCAGAATGGCCTACAGCTCTGATTATGTGCACAGATTCCTGGGTTCTTACCCCAGATCTGTTGAAACAGCATCTCTGGATTGGTTGTATTTTAAACTATCTCCTGCCACTCCCCACCACTGTGACTCTCATACACATAAAAGTTGGAGAACCACCAAGTGCTTAGATACAAAGCCTTTTTTTCTAATTTTTTTATTTTTTTTATTTTGTGAGAGTCTTGCTCCTTCACCCAGGCTGCAGTGCAGTGTCACAATCTCAGCTCGCTGCAACATCTGCCTCCCAAATTCAAGCAATTATCCTGCCTGAGCCTCCTGAGTAGCTGGGATTACAGGCACCCACCACCATACCCAGTTAATTTTTTTGTATTTTTGGTAGAGACAGGGTTTCACCATGTTGACCAGGCTGTTCTCGAACTCCTGACCTCAGGTGATATGCCCACCTCTGCTTCCTGAAGTCCTGGGATTACAGGCATGAGACACCGTGAGATCCAAAGCCCTTAAATAGCAAACTCTTTGACAGACATGACGTCATATTCTTTTCCTCCCTAATCTTTGTGGACTTTTCAACCCTCTTCAGAAGTTGCAAGCCTGAACCTGGAGGTGGAGGTTGCCATGAGTTGAGATCATGCCATCGCACTCCAGCTTGGGTGACAGATGAGGCTCTGTCTCAAAAAAAAAAAAAAGAAAAAAAGAAAAAGGAAAAAAAGAAGTTGCAGGTGGCACTGAACAGAAATTAGAAAGGACCCTAGTGCTCTAATAGTACGACCTGAAAAAGCAAAGTCCATAGGTCCTCAGTCCCTTGGGCCAAAAGGCATTCTACCAATTCCTAATACCTTTGGACCTGGAGTCTACTTATAATAAACATACAGACCCCAACTGTGACTGTCATTACTGGAGGTCAATAACCACTGCTCCTACCTGCACTGCTATGTCCATACAGAACCTATGTCTCCCTCAGTTTCCTCTTAGTTTCCACACTTTCCTGGATTCTGTTCCTTATGCTCCAGTCCTACTGCAACTCATTTCAAAGTTTGTCTCTATTCTCTGTAGATTTTGCAAGGTCCCTGAACCTCATCTTCTTTGATATTTCAACTTTTACCTGCTGCGTTGCTTTCCAACCATTGATTCTCTTTGTAGCTTTTCCTCCCCACCTCCCTGACTTCCCACCACCTGATTAACCTTTATCCACCCACAGTGTTCAGCTTTGTTCAACCTAAGTGCCAGGGACATGCCCTCAGGACATGCCCTCAGGACACACTGGCTTCCTTCCTGTGGGACAGAACAAACACCTCTGGATACCTACAGCCAGTGAGACTTCATGGGGGCTGCTCAGGTTCAGCTCTCCAGGAACAGATTTTGTTGAATTGTTTTCAATTTATTTATTTAGGTCTCTGACTTGGATGTTATTGTGTGTGAGTCCAGCACATTACACAAAGTGGTCACTGATTTAAAGCTTAGAGAAATGAGACACAAGACAAAGGTAAAAATTGAGACTCAAAGCAAAACTAAATGAACATCACTTCAGGTTTGCCTCTGGGTCTTCCGTTGTGATTTAAACTCCGCTGCCCCCTTTCTTAGAGCATTTTGATAGACTTTCCTTTTGAATCTACATCGCATGTTCCCCCTCAATCCCTGCCTTCTGAAACAGGGAATGCCTAGAAGTGCTTGTAGTTTTACCGACTTTGAGATGCCGGGAGAGATTTCTTTCCTATTTTCAGACTCCTTTTTTCATATTACTTCAGCTTGCTGCTGATTCTGCTAGGTAACCAGGTTTCTCCTACTCCAGAGTTTAGATGATTTTACTAGACATGTCTAGAAAGTAAGTTACTTCACTTATGGAATATATTGGTCTTTAATGAGTTTCTGCTTGGCTTCATCTAACAAGAGCCATAACGCAGTAGGAGATCAAAAATAATTCCTTAATGTTTTTAAATAGCTTTCCAGAGGTTAAAAAAACCCTAGATTTTGCGGAAATCATTGGTTGGGGGAAAAAAACACCACTGCAATCTACTGATTCTTCCTAGAAACAACTATCTTGTCACGAAGACTGGACAGAATGACTTGTTATTAGAAAAGGATAGTTAGAAAATGGCCATTTCTGAACATGAAAGACTACATATTATCTATTAAATGTTATTAATAAAGTGCACTATTTTCTTCTGTAATACAAGTTTTACTCTTATTAAGCAATTATTTTCCCCCTAACACTTCCCCCTAGAAAACTGGATAATGGGTGGGTAACTGTGCTGATTTTCCATATAACTGGACTCCAATAATCATTGCCAACTCTCCCTAACAGAGTTAAACGTCCTGTGACACAAATTTCCTGAAAAGCTTTGCTACGTGATGCTCTTTCAGTGGCCCTGCGTACGGAGATCAATGAGTGAAAACGAGCCCTTAGACTGAAAGTGAACCTCACAATGGAACAGAACCACCCGCCACCAGACAAGGTTCTACACGTGGTTAAGGGACCAACTGCAGTCACAGGGATGACATACCAGTGCAAGGAGTAACATTTCAAAGGAAGAGAAAGCTCAGGCCACATGCAGTCACCATGCATCACCAGCCTCAGAAGAAGGGTGGACTGGCTTATGCAAATTATCAAATTTGCTTCTGTTTCCCAGCATTGTTTTCCTTACCTGCGACTGTTTGCCTTTCATTATAGAACTAATACCACATGTTCTCACTTACAGGTGGGAGCTAAATGATGAGAATTCATGGACATATACAAGGGAACAACAGCCCCTGGGGCCTTCTTGAGGGTGGAGGGTGGGAGGAGGGAAAGGAGCAGGAAAAAATAACTCTTAGGGCCTATGCTTAGTACCAGGGTGCCGAAATAATCTGTATAGCAAACCCGCATGACATGAGTTATATATAAGAAAACTGCACGTGTACCCCTGAATCTAAAATAAAAGTTAAAAAAATGTACCCAGAGAATATGTCAAGGAAAGGGAGTTTCTCTTTGATTTGCAATACAGAAGAAAAGAAAAGCCCTTCTCTTACTCGGATAATGTGGAAAATATTTCACTGCTGTCCACGCTGTGATAGGTTGGGTTGAGAGAGCGGAGAGGCAGGAGGCTGGGAAGCCGGGAGGACTCCATGGAGCATGGCTCCTCCTCCTGGGGTGTCTTCCAGCCTCGTGTTCTGTCTTGGGGAGAAAGTACATCCATGCTCAAATATTAACGTGGGCTTCTGAGCAGAATAAGATTTGAAAACTAGAATTGATATTTCGAAAGCTTTGGAAAAGTGATCTCTTACCTTTCTTTGTTGGTTGAAGGAGAAAGCTAGGAAATCGATGGGAGTGTTTTGATTAAAAGTTTTGCCAGAGTAATGGGTGGGCTTAGGTTTTTCTTTTCTTCTTTCAGTCTCTGGTATAAAGACACAGCAAGTCAAATCTAGCGGGGAGTAAGGAGTGAAGCAACGGGGAGACAGTGCTTAGTGTCAGGGTCGTCGTTCAGATAACAATTCAAAGTTTCTAACAAGCCCATAAACATCTGGAATCCATGCAAATGGCCTGGCGGGGTTGCAAGAAAGGCTCTCCTGAGATTTGTCAGTTACTTCCTGCCCTAATCAGGACATGCATGTGTGAATATCTTTTCCCAGTATATCTCTACTTTCATTTCCAGGGGAAATGATATATGTAGGAATAATTGGAATGTGGAATGAGAAAACACATTTCGTACATTATTATTAGATGATTATTTCCATAAGCCTCCAGTAGCCAATAATGTTTGTCTGGTGATTTACTTAAAGTATAATTTTAATACAGCTCTATTTTTCATATGTTTGTACATATGTATGTGTATATATTGCACACAAATGTCATATATATGTACTACATATTATACGTGTGTTTAATATATGTGTATTATATATCATATATAATATTTATGTGTAATATATGCACTTATATTTAAAAAAAATAAGGAAGAGGCCAGGCTGGATGACTCACACCTGTAATCCCAGCACTTTGGGAGGCCGAGGTGGGCAGATTACCTGAGGTCAGGAGTTCGAGATCAGTTTGGCCAACATGGTGAAACTCCAACTCTACTAAAAATACAAAAATTACCTAGGCATGGTGGCATGCGCCTGTAATCCCAGTACTCGGGAGGCTGAGGGAGGAGAATCACTTGAACCCGGGAGGCAGAGATTGCAGTGAGCCGAGATTGCGCTACTGCGCTCCAGCCTGGGCAAACAGAGTGAGACTCTGTTTCAAAAAAAAAAAAAAAAAGGAAGACAGCAAAACACTCATGTGCACGGAAACACAGATATAGAAATGCTAGAATCTTTTTGTGTTTCAGGAAAAAGAATGGCAGCCCCATATATGAAGAGACATGATTTTAACTCAAGTCAAACTCTTTATAGGAAAGTATACGGTAAGATTTAAAGACTTTTTTCTGTATATCTAAAAATCAATTACAGCAACTGGCTTAATGAAGAAAAAAATAGATAAGAATAACACTTAGAATTTCTGTACTTTTCTCCAGGGAGCAACTGCTTATTACTATAAAGAATTGCAAATATTAATGTTTTCTGTTTACAGGGAAAGCTTGAAAGTCATACCAGAAGTTTCAAAGACTATCTTCTGAGCCTTGAGCCTTTGCCAATATACTACATTTATTTTTGTCTCCGTGCGTGCTTACAGTTTGCTTATACCCCAAGTTCTATGCAGGCTTTGATTTTTTTCCCAAAAGATCTGTCCAACACTCCTAACGAATTCCCCTCTCTGAAACGTTAGTGACCTTTCCGTAGGGGCTGAATGCACCAGTTTGGCTCATCTGAAACAAACATATAAAACCAGTGATGGCAATGGAGAGAACACCCAGAAACCCAGTGCTGGGGCCTCATGTCACAGCAGAAATGATTCGTCAGCAATATGGTCAGCATTCGCAGGGCAAATAACTTCCATTTCACCACTGGACTGGAAGACAAAGATAGAGATGATTTTTTTAAAATTTTGACGTCTTGTACTTGGTAGTGCCTTTGACAGGATGTATATATACACGTGTCTGTGTGTGTGTGTGTGTGTGTGTGTATACAATGTTAGCCTCTATCCTTCCTAGTCCCTAAAATATGTGATGAGAGATTTTATAAGTGAAGGAGTACTCCTCTGGGCCAAATATGTGGATAAGAGAATTACAAAAAGCAATACCCCAATTATGAAGCCTAATTATATCTACTTAATAAAGGACAAACAAACTTCTTACAAAAAGGCAAAAGTAATTAAACTCTAATTTTATTTTATTTTAAATGTGGTGAGTCCAGTGATTAAATTTTTCAAAGGTGAAGTCTGGATGGCCCTATATGCCTTGAATTTAGTGAATAGTAGGTTGCGGTGAATAATTTGTGCAACAAAGATATTAAAGAGGCTTGGAAATGAGAAAATAAGCTAATATTTAGTTTACTTTTCAAAAGGTGTGAGGCTGAGAATGATTATTCAGGTAATGATTTTAATTTAGAGAGGATCTGAGAACACGTAACCAATCTTTTGGAGGCCAGGAGAGCTACAGGCAAGTTCTGGCCGATCATTCAATTATCAGTTCTTAATGATCTATTTATGTGGCAAGTACTGTGCTAGGCAATGGATATATACAGATAAAGAACTGAAACACTCATGAGCTAGTGAGTAGACATGGAACACATTATTGTAAGGCACCATGCCAAGTGCCACAGTAGAGATGGCAACTAAGTACTCTAGGGGAACACAGAGTCAGAAGATACTGCTGGCCTCAGAGAACTGGGACAGCTTTCTTTAAGTGATGGGATCCTGCTCTGTTTCCCAGGCTGGAATGCAGTGGCACCATCACTGCAGTCTCAAACTCCTAGGCTCAAGTGTTCTTCCCACGTTCGCCTCCCCATAGCACTGGGATTACAGGCGCGAGCCACTGCACCTGACCAGATGAGATGATCTTTGAACTGGATCTTGAAGGAAGAGCAGGCATGTTCCCAATGACAGAAGAGCCAGTCCTTCCAGGCAAGAGGAGCTCTCAGTGCCAAGATATGGAGTCCTAAAATCACCCAATCTTTTAGAGAAGCTTAATGCTGCTGGAGTGTAGTTTGCTTGTAGGTAAGTACAGGGTAAGAGTTGAGCTCTGTGGATAGATTTTCCCACTGTTTTCCTGCAGTATCCTTGGCTGCTTACTTAGTTTATAAAGTTAGACAAAAGGATCTCTAAGCTTCAAAATTTTATGATCCTATGAAATTTTGGGTAAAAAAATCTGTTCCTAGTTGGACGAAAAGGACTCTTTGGGGTGAAGAAGGGTGTGGGATTGTTTCCATGAAAATGAAGGGTTGCAGCTGCCTCACACAGCTACATTAAACAAAACAAAGAACAAGACTTTTTTTTTTATTCTTAGCACATCTTCTTGACATGTGCTTCTAGCACTATTCAGAAGGCAAATAATTTTTCCTCCTATAATAGATAAGTTTCTTTTTTATTTCTTTAATTAGACTCCCTCAGCAAATGGAAAGTTTTTGTCCTGGTGTCATTAGATGAAAAACTGTGTGTTTTAAAAACAGCCAACCTACTTCTAAGAGCAAGATGAATACCTATTTATTGTCATTTAACTATACATATGTACAAATGCAGGAAACTGAGGGTCCGAGTCTGGGTGGAACGGTCTGATCACAAGTTCTTAGCAGACTTCAGAAACCACAGTGGACCTCAAGTTATTGGGATGAAAGGAATGACTTGTAAAATGGATACACTGCTAATTAACGAAAGAGAAATAAACAGAAAACATCTATTCGGCACAAAACGTATAATCTCAATTAAAAACATAAAAGTTGAAAAAAAATAAGGTAGGCTTATAAAAGACAGGCAGACATTTGGGATTTTTTTTTCAATACATAATATTGAAAATTATTATGACTTGATTATTTAAGTAATGTCACTTTAACTCATAAATACAGAGACTGTAGCTAAATTTTAAATTTTAACTCATAGACAAAACTCCAGGAAAAGATAATTGCTAGTTTTACAAAGTCATTTTTTAAAAATCAGAAAAAAGCAATTATCTGCTGTTAAAAACTTGAATTTTAATATCTTATTTTTGTTCTTTTTTTTTTTTTTTTTGACAGGGTCTCGCTCTGTTGCCCAAGCTGGAGTGCAGTAGCACGATCTTGGCTCACTGCAACCCCACCTCCTAGGTTCAAGTGTTTTTTTGTGCCTCCCCCTCCCAAGTGGCATGTGCCACCATCCCTGGCTAATTTTTTTTTTTTTTTTTAGTAGGGATGGGGTTTCGACATGTTGCCCAGGCTGGTCTCAATCTCATGAATGCAAGTGATCTGCCCGCCTCAGCCTCCCGAAGAGCTAGGATTACAGGAATGAGCCACTGCACCTGGCCATAATTTGTTTTATTTTCATCTCCAAGGTTTTAAAGAGTACTTGAGACATTTTGCTTCTCTGAGATCTGTGGTTAAAGACCACTGATTGCTCTGACATAAGCAACTTCACCCCAAACACCTTTTTACACTCTCTGAAATGGAAAAACGTGTGACATATAAGAAACCTTTGTGTTTCCCTCTTCTGATGCTCTGATAGCAACTGGCCCACCTGCCCAAAGCATACCCATGCTTTTTCATCAGATTCGCACTATCTCCCTCCTGTAAAACATCTGCTTGGTCATCTCTGCTTGAATAACTACTTTCTGCTCAGAAATTCTTCATTACCTATTCCCCATCACTTAACTGGTAATTAGCTCCATGCTGGCTTTTTAATAATTATCCTCAGCTCTTTCATTGGTGACTCTAAGTAGGTTCTGGTGTTAATGCCTCAATCTACTCAATAAGGTCATTGATGCTTGGGGACACAGACCTTTTCTTGTTGGCACTTCCACAGAGTTTAGCTCAGTAAATATTTGTTGATTTTGAATAACTGGTTAATTCAACAAACATTTACCAGGCAGCTACCGTGTGAAACTAGCATAGGCCCTGTATCTTTTTCCAGGTTTGTCATTAAAAGCTGCCAGCAAACTCAAAGTAATTTAAATGTAAAAATCTGTATCCCTTATAGATGAGTTATTTATAGAAGTTAATGATTTGAAATTTTTTATTTGGCAAAAAAGAGGAAGAAGGAGAAGGAGGAAGAAGAGAAGGAGGAGGAGGAGAAAGAGAAGGAAAAGAAATGGAAATGTTTATGGGGCTTTTACAAATCCAAATGTTTATTTTCTGTATGTTTATTTCACAGCATTACTATTTATGTCATAGGTTTATGGCTAATGGTGTGAAGACAAAAGGAATATGTGCTATCTCTCTGAACTCAGGAACCTCCCATGGCTGTCTTGAAAAAGATGTGAGCCTCCTTCCAAAAAGGGCTAATAACCTATGTGATGTCAATATGTCAGCATCCTCAGTGACATGATGACTATCTTTGTTCATTTAGTGTTGCTGTAACAGAATATCTGAGACTGGGTAGTTTATAAAGAAAAGAGGTTTATTTGGCCTACAGTTCTGGTGACTGGAAAATTCAAGATTAAGCATCTGCAACTGGCGAGGGTCTCGGGCTGTTTCAACTCACTGCAGAAAGTGGAAGAGGAGCCAGCCATGTGCAGAGATCACATGGTGAGAGAGGAAGCAAGAGAGAAGGGAGAGCCGTGGCAGGCTGTTTTACACAAGCAGCTCTGGAAGGAAGTAATAGACTGAGAATTCACTCCTTGACCTAAGGATGGTGTTAATTTATTCATGAAGGATCCACCCCCGCTAGGACCCAAACAGATTTCACTGGGCCCTAAGTCCAATATGGGGGATCAAATTTCAACATGAAGTTTGGAGGGAAAAAAACATCCAAACCATTACCAATAACCTAGTGGAAATGACAGGGCATGGGAATTTGAGTTCAATAACTCAATTTTTAATCTAGCTGTATTGCTTAGTTTAGCTGCTCAGCTTCACCTCTTGGAAAATCAGGGAAAATTTTTATCATGATAATTACAATAAAGTTGTCTTCATAGGGTTGATATAGAAAAAAAGAACATGAGTATGCATGAAAAGGTGTTTGAAAGCCTTTGAAAAATTGGTTAGGAAGACAAATTTCACATTGGCCCATCAGTCCTCCACAATCATTCAACAAATACTATCTTCCCATATTACGATCCAGCCACCATGGATTTTGAAACTTGCTTAATTGTGGCACTCAATAACAATATCACCACATAATCTTGTTTTGTTCCTTGTAGATGAACTTTTTTTCTTAGATGAACTTTTTTTATATGGAGGAGAGCTCTGGCTCTTTCATTTCCCTGTATTTTAGGTAAGTTCCAAGGACTTAATAATAGACATAGATTCCTTATAATTGATGTCAAATCACAGCATTAAATATATTGCAAAAATTATAAAACAGAAGGTAGTACATTAAAAAAAACAAGGAGTTTTAATGCATGTAAGCTATGCCGTAAGAGATAAAGGTGTTGGATCATGCAATTCAAATCTGCAAAACCCCAAAAAGGAATTTATTTATCTGGTAATGGAAGGCTATGAACAAAAAGAATTGCAACTAAATACTGTACCCAAGTTGGTAAATTTCTTTCTGACAGGGGGTGGAAATTAGCACTTCTGAAACTGCTCTGCATGTGGAGTGAACAAATGAGTACATATGAGGAACCAGATTTCTCACAGTCAGATATGAAGTTAAAAATACGGAAGACGTGAAGCTCAGAGTGAACCCTGTGGCTCTAGATTAGAGTCCGAGGCATCTATATAAACTCCTGTTTATGTTCATATATATGCAAATAGATAGAAAAGGAAATAATCTTAGAAGTGCGTATATATGAGTTAGTATGCATACATACGTTGACTCAGCAGCAGTAACACCCCAAAGGCAATAAGCACATTCAGTGTCCAGATTTTGGTTTCCACATATCATTCTCCAGTAAAAGGAAGCAGGGCTCCTTGGAGAAATGGCTGATTCTAGAGCTGGGGCAAGGAAAATACAAGACAGTCATGGAGCATTTTGTAGTGCCAGAAAGTAAGGAAGTACTAATAAGAAGGAGGAGGAGAAGGAGGAGTGGAGGGGCGGGAGGAAGAGGAGGAAGGGGGAAAACGAGGGATGGAAGGATCAGAAGGAGGAGGAGGAGGGGAAGAATCAGGAGGAAGAGGAGGAGAAGGAGGAGGAAGAAGGGTAAAGAGGGAAAGGAGGAGGAGTGAGGGGCAGGAACATGAGGGGAAGTATTAAGAGGAGGAGGACTAGAAGGACTAGAAGGAAGAAGAAGAGGAGGAAGAGGAAGAGGAGAAAGAGGAAAAGAAAGAGCCATATTAAAAGGACCAAAAAGCCAACCTGAAAGGGCTCCCTATTGACAAACCTGGAACAATTTGAGCAACCAAATAAATAATGATAGCATTGGATTATAACACAAAGAATAAAATAAGTACTGATGAGTCCATACTGGTATAAATGAATGAATGAATGAATGAATGAATGAATGAGAAGGGCCATCTCTTTCTTACAGAGGAAAGCCAAGCAATATATGTAGATACTTCCCGCTCCAGGAGGTAGAGTTTAATTTCCTTACTCTTGAGCGTGGGATGAACTTTGGGACTCAATGCCAAAACACAGAGAATGGAAAGGAAAAACACTAACTTTACAGAGAAGAAACTTAGAAGATACCATCTTAACCAAGTGGTAAGTCATGTGAATATCACCTACCCACTAATATGATGTGAAGAGAGCTGCGAACCTCATCTCTGAGGTATTCTTATGAAAAAGAAACCCTGGGAGCAATCTTTGTGTTTTTTTTTTTTTTTTTTTTTGAGACAGTCTCATTCTGTCTCCCAGGCTGGAGTACAGTGATGAAATCACGGCTCACTGCAACCTCCACCTCTCGGGTTCAAGCGATTCTCCTGCCTCAGCCTCCTGAGTAGCTGGGACTGCAGGCTCATACCACCATGCCCAACTAATTTTTGTATTTTTAGGAGAGACGGGGTTTCGCCATGTTCGCGAGGCTGGTCTCGAGCTCCTGACCTCAGGTGATCTGCCCGCCTCGGCCTCCCCAAGCACTGGGATTACAGGTGTGAGCCACCGCACCTGGCCCCCTGGGGGCAATAGTGAAGAAAAACATGCAACTAATGCAAATTGGGGGAAATTCTATAAAATACCTGGCCTATACCCTTCAAAATTTCTGGATCATGAAAAACAAGAAAAATAAGAAAATGTTATACACCAGAAGAGAAACTAAGGAGACATGACTACTAAATGCAGTATGGTTTCCTGGATTACATCCTGAAACAGAAAAAAATATATTTTATTTAAAAAAAACTGAAATCCAAATAATGTCTATAGTTTAGTTAAACGGTACTATTTCTTAGTTTTGTCAAATGTACCATGGTCATTTAAGATGTTAACCTTAGGAGAAACTGGGTGAAGAGTATGGGTATTATATTTGCAACCTGAAAGTATTACAAAATAAAAAGTTCATTTCAAAATTTTTTTGGTTTTGGCAGTAAAAAAATGAGGTACTGATACATGCTACAATTTGGATAAATCTTGAAAACATTATGTTAAGTGAAAAAAGCCAGTCAGAAATGACCCTATATTATAAGGTTCCATTCATATGAAATGGAATCATCCATTTGTCTGGAACAGGCAAATCTCTAGAGACAGAAAATAGATTAGTGGTTGCCTAGGGCTAGAGGGAGAAGAGGAAGGGGAGTCACCACTAATGGGTACAGGTGTTTCAGAGAGTGGTGAAAATGTCCTGAAACTGATGGTGGTTTTGGTTAAATATGAATATTCTAAAAACCATTGAACTGTAAAGTTTAAAGAGGTGAATGATATGATGTGCGAGTTATATCTCAATAAAGCTGTTTTTAGAACAAATTCTCCTGGGCAGATTTTTCCTGTCACTGGATGTTGAAGTTCAAACATCATCATTAGACTTAAACTTGATTTTTCTGCATTTCTTGGTTCTACCTTCCTTTATGTTGGTGACCCCTCAGCTCCACATGGCCCCTTCAGGCTCAAATTGTACTCACTATTCAACACTCTGGTAGCATGAGCATGTCTTCCTACCTACGGTCCCAACAAAAATCTCATTTCACTTTATTTTTTATTTTTTGAGGTGGGGGATCTTGTTATGTTGCTCAGGCTGGTCTCAAACTCCTGGACTCCAGCGATCCTCCCACCTCAGTCTCTGGAGGAGCTGGCCTACAGGTGCAAGTTCTGATGGGATGATTAGAAAGTTTCTAAACCAAACTCCTCCCAAGTGTGTGTAATAGGACAGGGGTGGGAGGGGTGGATAGATTTGTGTGGCATTGATAGTTACTCAGACAACAAACAAAACCCATCGTTCTGTTAACAGAAAAAATGTGAGTGAATGCTGAGTAGCAAAATAACATATCTACCCTTTCTCCGTCAGTATGTGGAACTCGAAGGAAATGAATCTTTTTTTTTTTTTTTTTTTGAGACAGAGTCTCGCTCTGTCGCCCAGGCTGGAGTGCAGTGGCACAATCTCGGCTCACTGCAAGCTCCGCCTCCCGGGTTCATGCCATTCTCCTGCCTCAGCCTCCCGAGTAGCTGGGACTACAGGCACCCACCACCGCACCTGGCTAATTTTTTGTATTTTTAGTAGAAACGGGGTTTCACCGTGTTAGGCAAGATGGTCTCGATTTCCTGACCTCGTGATCTGCCCGCCTCGGCCTCCCAAAGTGCTGGGATTACAGGCGTGAGCCACCACGCCCGGCCAGTGAATCTTCATGAAATGAATGAGTTTTCCTTAAAAAAAAAAAAAAAAAAAAAAGCGAATAAATATTTATGCTGTATTTCTAAATTTTTCTCTTTGTATTCAACAGAAAAAAAAAGAAAAACCAACAGGAATAGAAAAAAAATTGTACCAGTTTTGAGTATACAAAAGTATACAGTATACAAAAGTATTGGCGCTTTTTCTTTGTAGCAATTTAATTGGTTTCTAACTTTCACTCAGGCGGGGAAACATGATATACCACCAACTAAAATGCAGACTGTTTCATGACAGGATAAAACTGTTCACTATTGTAGCCATTGGCCACAGGTCACTATTCAAATACAAATTGAAATTAGTTACAGTTAAATGCAATTTAAAATTCAGTAACTTAGTTGTATTAGTCACGGTTTTGAGTGTTCAGTGGTCACATGTGACTAGTGGCTAATGTGTAACAAAGAATATTTCCATCATGGAAAAAAAATTCCACTATTGAACAACAATAGTTTAAACTATTTTATTTTTTATTTACTCATTCATTCATTCATTCATTCTTTTTTTAGAGATAAGGCTGGAGGGCAGTGGCACAATAATAGCTCTTGGCAGCTAATTTATTCTATTTTATTTTATTTTTTGTGGATACAGGGTCTCACTTTGTTGCCCAGGCTGGTCTCAAACTCTTGGCTTCAAGCAATCGACCCACCTCAGCCTTTCTCTGGGATTACAGGTGTGAACTACCATGCCAGACCCTGTTATATTTCTTTCTAGAGTTTTATCAGACATCAGATTCTTGAAAGCATCTCACATAAGACAATTTAATTAGGCAGACAAAAACAAAGAAAGACGCACACTTAGTTACCTTCATTTCCTGAATATTTGAATGAGTCCATTCTTATGAGGTTAGCTGGATGCCCTTCAGTGGTTACTGTTAACTGTCCATCCCAACGTGGCGTTGGAGTCCTTCGTGGCTAGACCCCAGAGTGTCTCTGTCTAGCAAGCAGTGAGTATTGTTAGTTTCCTTTCTTAACTCATAGTGTGTCCCTTGGTGACTTCATTTGCGAGGGCATTGCTCACTGTAGGCAGAGCCCCAGTGTGCTCCCTAACGTGGAGCCAAAGACATTTGCTCCTGGTCACAGCTGCTGTCACCACAGATACACAGTGGCCCTTTGCATGCCAACATTGCCAGTTCAACCATCACATTGAATCTGTTATTGAAATTGGCAGAAACACAAAAATCAATCCCACAACACACACTTGGATCACCTTGAACCCTTTTGCTCTTGTCAGCTTCTCAAGCAGACAGAGGACACCAGGGGTCTCTGAGTTGTGATCTTTGCATGCTCTAGCACAGGGCTTTGTGGTTGTCTTTTCACAAATTAGAAGAGCCAAGCAAACATGCCCTTGGTAAGACAGTGCCCCTCGCTCTGTGCAAGTGGGTGGGTGAGGACAGTCAACTCCAAGAAGACTTGTAACGAATACTGCCAAGGCACTATTTCCGCTCCAATATTCCAAGCTACCAGCACCATGTTCTCCTATCTGGGTTTTCCTTGAGATCCCATCCTCTCTGGAATGTGTAAATCTCCTGAGCCCCTAAAGACAAAGCCTTTGAACATTTCACCCATGGAACGCTACATAGCACCAGGTTTCACTGAATGATATCAGACCCTTGTTGACACAGATTTGCCATCTAAAGACTTTACTGTACAGTTTTACTTCTTCAGTCAGACCATTAAAATGTGTAAACAATCCTCATGCCTGTAATCCTAGCACTTTGGGAGGCCAAGGCGGGGGGATTGCCTGAGCTCAAGAGTTAGAGACCAGCCTGGGCAACATGGTGAAACCCGGTGTCTACTAAAATACAAAAGAAATTAGCTGAGCGTGGTGGCGTACGCCTGTAGTCCCAGCTACTCTGGAGGCTGAGGCACGAGAATTGCTTTAACCCAGGAGGTGGAACTTGCAGTGAGCCGAGATCACACCACTGCACTCCAGCCTGGGCGAGAGAGTGAGACTCCATCTCTACAAAATAATAATAATAATAAATAAATAAATAAATAAATAAATAAATAGTGTGTAAATGTTCTTTTAAAATTGCTGCTTAAAGAACTTCCAAAAGTAACTCAGTTTTGGATTTTAAAATACAGGATATAGAAATAGGCTGGGTGTGGTGGCTCACGCCTGTAATTGTAGCACTTTGGGAGAACTAGGCAGGTGGATCACCTGAGGTCAGGAGTTCAAGACCAGCCTGACCAACATGGTGAAACCCTGTCTCTACTAAAAATACAAAAAAAAAAAAAAAAAAAAATTAACTGGGCGTCGCGGCGGGCGCCTGTAATCCTAGCTACTCAGGAGGCTGAGGCACGAGAAACGCTTGAACCCAGGAGGCGGAAAGTGCAGTAAGCTGAGATGACGCAACTTCACTCCAGCCTACGCAAGAGAGTGAGACTCCATCTCAATAAATAAATAAATAAATAAAAATTAAAAAAAAAAGAAATAATCCAGATCTTTCTCAAGTGAATAAATTAAAATAACAAAAAGGTTTTTGCATAACAGCTTTACTGAAGTATAATTGACATACACTAACGCCGTGTTCAAAGTGTGAATTTGATAGGTTTTGACATACAGGAAATCTTTGCCACAGTCAAGATAATGAATCACCAGGCTGGAGTGCAATGGTACAATCACGGCTCGCTGCAGCCTCAAACTTCTGGGTTCAAGGGATCCTCCCACCTCAGCCTCCCATGTAGGTGGGATTACAGGCATGTGCCACCATGCCTGGCCATTTTTTTTTTTTTTTTCATTTTTAGTAGAGATGGGGTCTTGCTGTGTTCCTCAGGCTGGTCTTGAGCTCCTGGGCTATAGCGATCCTCCCACCTCAGCCTGTCAAAGTGCTGGGATAACAGGCATGAGACACTGCAAGCTAGCTTATACGAATTTTGGTGAAGTTTCTGTTCAGGTATTTTGCCCATCTTTAAAACTGGGGTTTGTTTTCCTATTATTGAGTTTTGAGAGTACTTTATATACAAGTTCTGGACATGAGTCTTTTAACAGATGTGTGATTTGTAAATATTTTCTTCCAGTCAGTGGCTTGTCTTTTTAATCTGTTAAGATGTTTTTGAAAGAGTAGAATTTCTTGACTTTGATGAAGCCCAATATATGATGTTTTAGTGCATTGTGCTTTTGGTGTTACAGACAAGAAAATTTCACTTAGTCCAAGGTCACATAGATTTTCTCCTATGTTTACTTCTGGAAGCTTTATAGTTTTAGGTTTCACATTTACATCTATAATCTGAGTTAATTTTTGATTGGTGTGAAGTACAGATCATGGTTGTTTGGTTTTTTTGCATTCAAAAATTAACTTTTCTAACACTGTAGTTGAAATGACTCTCCTGTTACCACTGAATTGTTCTTGTACTTTTGTTGAAAACCAATTGACCATACATGCGCAGGTCTGTTTCTAGCCTCCGTTTTATTTAGTTACTCTCATATAACTGGTCTGAAGTCAAAACTACGTTGTCTAGGTTACTGCAACTTTGTAAGTCTTGCAGTTTGGTAGTATATTGTGCAGTATATTAAAGTGAAATTTGATCATGAATATTTCCTGTCTGTCTCTCTTTGGACAGTATATTGGTTAGTATAAAGTGGTTCTTATTTTTCAAAATTATTTTGGGTATTCTAGGTTCTTTGCATTTCCATATTGTCAAATCAGTTTGTCAGTTCTACAAAAACAGCCTGCTAGAATTTTGACTAGGATTGCACTGTATGTCCTATATGTGGAGTACATCATAATAATATTGAATCCTTCAATCCATGAAGATAATACAACTCCATTTATTTTGGGTTTCTTTAATTTATCTCAGCAATGTTTATAGTTTGCTGTGTACAAGGGTTATACTTTTTTGTTAGATTTATCCTTATTTCATATTTTTAATGTTATTAATGGCATTTAAAAAATTTCCAATTTCCAGTTGTTATTTGCTAACATATAGAAACATAACTTATTTTTTTGTGTTGATCTTGTATCCTACATCCTTGCTAAGCTTACTTATTAGTTCTAATAGCTTTTGTAGAGTCCATCAGATTTTCTGTGTATGGAGCCATGTCTTTTGGAAGTAAAGATAGATTTACTCCTTCCTTTTCAGTTTGGATGTCTTCAAATTCTTATACTTGCTACGGCATTGGCTAGACCATCCAGTACAATGTCAAATAGTAGTAGTGGCATTGGACGTCCTTGACTTGTTTCTGATATTGGGAAAGCTTTCAGTCTTTCATCATTGTGTATGTTAACTGTAGTTTTCTTGTGGATTACTTTATCAGATAGAGGAAGTTCCCTTCTATTCATAATTAGCTGAGAGTTAGTTTATTTATTTATTTATTTTTATTTTTAAATCAGGAATGAATGCCGAATGTTGTCAAACAATTTTTCTATATCTATTGAGATGACAATATGGAGGTTTCATTAGTTGGACAATATGATGAATTAAATCGATTTGTTATTTTTAAACCAACCTGCATTTCTGGGATAAACAAAATGTTTTCAAAAACAGAGAAATTCATCAGGTTGGATTTAAGTTAAAGGAATGTGACTGCTTGGTTATTATTGCAGCACAATTTATCAAATCATGGAAGATAAGTTATTTTTCTAGTTATGACTGTTTTCAATAAATCTCAAAAAATTTCTTAACTTTTCAGTGAAACTATATTAAAGTATGTGAAATTTGTAGTGATCATTAGTTTATCAAGGTAAAATGCAATATATTCTTCTCTTCAGTCTATTTAGAAATTAGAAAATATCTGAAGTGTCTACTTTTCATGAGATCTTAGGCATTTCCAAACACATAATTTTTTAGTCTAGGGCAAAGTATTTTGTGTGGTTCTACCTGTCTACACAATCCTCTCTTTTCCCTCCATTTTATGAGACTATTAGTTGAGAACTAGTCTAAACTCCCTTTTTGAGGCATTTTCTCAAAGGAGGTTGCAGTATTACTGCCTTGGGTGATCCTGGTAGCCCATGGAGGGAGGTGAACATAAATGCTTAAACACTAATACCACCCGTTAGCTACTGCTCCTGAGAGAGACGGACAGGAAATATTCATGATCAAATTTCACTTTAAACTCAGGGCGGGAAGTGACTATCCTCATCAAAAGGTAATTAAAAGATTCCCTCGGGCCTCAGAAGACACGGAGGCTGTTTGTACTATTGAGAAAGTTGCCAAAGTGAGAAGGCAGATAATGAGCACTTCAGATGTGGGGACAGAGCCAAGCAGACATCAGCTCTTTCATTAACCAGTCAATCAGGTGAAGCAGATTGGAAGGAATTCAAGCCTTCAGAAGAAGTAAGATGATCAAGACTTAACCCTCAAGGTTGTTAAGCAAGTACATAAGCAAAGTCCAGGAATTTTTGCCATACGGTGGCTAGTGGTGCAGGATTTGGGGACAGGGAGACCAGGGTTGAGTGGGGACTGCACAATTTCTTACCTATCTCTTCTTTCATTTTCTTTCTGGGCCACCCCAGTTTTCTTATTTGTGGTGTTGTGAGATGAAGTAAGTAAAGCAACTAGCGCATTACTGGTACTTCATTGTAATAGAAGAAAGATGCCATTCATAAC